>NC_000003.12:48494848-48797878 GCF_000001405.40 Homo sapiens | reverse complement strand
ATCTCCTGGAAACAAAAATGCTTGGAGAAAGATAGTGAGTCATTACCTATATCCCATTGTTACTTTCCTGGCTCAGTAACCCAAGGCCCACATTAGCCAGAAACTGGGCCAGCCCTCTGCAGAGCATCACCTAATGCTATTTCAGAGACTAGAATGGTGTATCTTTTCTTAACTCTATCCCCCCTAATTTTTCTCTTATGTGTTTTAGGATATAGGGTCCCTGTTGGGCACTTGGTATCGATGGCATTACTGCACAAGTGGCATGGGCCACACAAGTAGAGTATTATTTGCTAAGGCAGGGATGGGAGAGTCCTGGGTATAGGACACAATGGAAGCCATCATTTCTCAGATCTTTTATTGGTTTAGAGAATCGATGAGGAAAGGGAAGCTGGGGTGTACCTAGACCAGGACTGCAGTGAGTGTCTCTAAGAAACTGGGAAATAACTGGGAGTGGGGCTGGGCGTGGTGGATCACTTGAGGTCAGGAGTTCAAGACCAGCCTGGCCAACATGGTGAAACCCCGTCTCTACTAAAAACATAAAAATTAGCTGGGTGTGGTGGCTTGCACTTGTAGCCCCAGTTACTCAGGAGGCTGAGGCAGGAGAATCACTTGAACCTGGGAGGCAGAGTTTGCAGTGAGCTGAGATCATGTCAACTGCACTACAGCCTGGGCAAGACAGCGAGACTCTGTCTCAAAAAATATAATAATAATAATAATAAAAATAAATAAATTGGGAGTGGTATGTATCAGCCTGTCCCGTAGTTGTAGATACATGGAGTCTTTTAGCCATCACACATAGATTGAGAGTAGGGTCAAGAACTGTTTGTTGCCTGTTAACAGATGATAAATAAATCCTAATAAACAATACAGGGCCTATGAGTGAACTCAGCTGGTTAAGGATATAAGAGGAGTGAAGACTAGAAAGGTCCACTACAAAATGCTCAGTAAACTATAAGAAATCATTGCACTTATGAATTCTGAGCAAAAAGCCAAGGATAAAATTGGCTGAGATGAAATAGAAAATGAGTGTGATAAGATTATAAGGAAACTAAAAAAAAATGAGCAAGAATTAAATACATAAAAAGAGTTGGCCGGGCGCGGTTGCTCACGTCTGTAATCTCAACACTTTGGGAGGCCGAGATGGGCAGATCACTTGAGATCAGGAGTTCGAGACCAGCCTGGCCAACATGGCAAAAAAAAAAAAAAAACCCCGTCTCTACTAAAAATATAAAAATTAGCACTTGTAATCCCAGCTACCTGGGAGGCTGAAGCAGGAGAATCGCTTGAACCTGGGAGGTGGAGGTGGCAGTGAGCCAAGATTACACCACTGCACTCCAGCCTGGGTGACAGCGTGAAGCTCTGTCTTGGGAGCGGGCGGGGCAAACCGTAGAGAAAGCAAAAAGAGCAAAGTTGTAAGGGTAGAAATATGTGATGGAGGTTAGCTGGGAAGAAAGGACAGTTGTTAAAGGAGCTGAAATAGAGAACAGAACCAACATAACAATAATTCTTCTAAAACCCAGAACAAATGGAACCAAGATAATAATGGTAATAGTTCAAGTTGCCTCCTTACTGTGCCTGACACCTGTCTACTTGAATCCTTACAACAGTCTTCAGAGAGAAGTCACCACTGTTCATGCCATTATGCAGAGGAAGGGTGGACATAGGCAATAAATTACCTCTGGTCACACAGCTGTTACAGATCACTGATGATTTATTAGAAGAAAACTTTTCCCAGCTGTAATGGCCTGTATTGTGAAGAGGCAGTAGGTTTGCTTCATTCTGAGAAACAGTAATCACAACTAGTTCATTCTTGGTAAAACAGTTTTCTTAGTAAGTACAAAACTCTTTATTCAGTAGATAATTTATTGTCTCTTTGCAAATAACACATGGGGTGAGATTTTAAAATAATGATTTGTATCGATATCTCCA
This sequence comes from Homo sapiens, assembly GCF_000001405.40. Lineage (NCBI taxonomy): Eukaryota > Metazoa > Chordata > Mammalia > Primates > Hominidae > Homo > Homo sapiens. The sequence goes on along the minus strand of NC_000003.12, from coordinate 48,795,949 downwards.
TTTCTAATTCTTCCTCCAGTCCATATTTGTATCCCCCTTCTCACCAGTAAAAAAAATATCTGTGTGTTCGTTTATTTACTCCCTACAGTAATACACATAGAGTTTTGGAATTACAGGTCAGGCGCGGTGGCACATGCCTGTAATCCCAGCACTTTGGGAGGCCAAGGCAGATGGATCACAAGGTCAGGAGATTGAGATCATCCTGGCCAACATGGTGAAACTCCATCTCTACTAAAACTACAAAAATTAGCTGGGTGTGGTTGCACATGCCTCTAGACCTAGCTACTAAGGAGGCTAAGGCAGGAGAATAACTTGAAACAGGGAGGTGGAGGTTGCAGTGGGCCAAGATTGCGCCACTGTACCTCAACCTGAGCGAAGGAACGAGACTCTCTCAAAAAAAGAAGAGTTTTGGAATTGCTATACCATCACCAACATCAGTTGTTTTTTGTTGGAATGCAGTATATCCCACTGAGGGTGGATGGTCAGATTACTATGTTCAGAAGCTACTTAGAATCTGATTCTTTCCTTCTCTAATTATGTTATCACCCCGATATATGGGTAGGTTTTTTTTCTTTGTACTTCGTTTTAGGGTCCTTCTTATCTATCTAATTTTTAAAATATGTGAAAAATTAACATGACTTAAATGTCAAAACTTTTTATATAAAAATGTTTCCTCAGGCTAGTCGCGGTGGCTCACGCCTGTAATCCCAGCACTTTGGGAGGCCGAGGCGGGTGGTTGAGGTCAGGAGATCGAGACCATCCTGGCTAACACGGTGAAACCCTGTCTCTACTAAAAATAAAGAAAATTAGCCTGGCATGGTTGCAGGCGCCTGTAGTCCCAGCTACTCTGGAGGCTGAGGCCGGAGAATGGTGTGAACCTGAGAGGCGGAGCTTGCAGTGAGCAGAGATCACGTCATTGCACTCCAGCTTGGGTGACAGAGCGAGACTCCGTCTCAAAAAAAAAAAAAAAGTTTCCTCAGAGAAGTTTCATTCCTTTCCCTATCCCTTCTTTCCTGTTTCTTTCTATACACTAGAAAATAATTTCATTACTTTCCGGTTTATTCTTCCCAAATTGTTTCCTTTTGGAAAAATTAACCAGTAAAAGTATATTATATTTATTTTCCCTCCATTCTTAGCTCTCCTTTCTCATGGAAGTCCTTTCTTCTGCAAGGGATAGCATGCCATATATACTCTTCTTCACCTTGCTTTTTTTCCCTTTATGTCTCCCACAACTTACCCTCTTTTCATTTTTTTTGAGACGGAGTCTCATTGTGTCAACCAGGCTGGAGTGCAGTGGCATGATCTCGGCTCACTGCAACCTCCGTCTCCCAAGTTCAAGCGCTTCTGCTGCCTCAGCCTCCCGAGTAGCTGGGACTACAGGCGCACACCACCACGCCCAGCTAATTTTTGTATTTTTAGTAGAGATGGGGTTTCACCATGTTGACCAGGATGGTCTCGATCTCTTGACCTCATGATCCATCTGCCTCAGCCTCCCAGAGTGCTGGGATTATAGGCATGAGCATTTATATTATACATCAGGTGGATATACATCAGGTGGATCACCTGATGTCAGGAGTTTGAGAGCAGCCTGACCAACATGGTGAAACCCCATCCCTACTAAAAATACAAAATTAGCCAGGCATGGTGGTGCATGCCTGTAATCCCAGCTACCTGGGAGGCTGAGGCAAGAGAATCGCTTGAACCTGGGAGATGGAGGTTGCAGCGAGCCGAGATTGTGCCACTGTACTCCAGCCTGGGCAACAAGAGCAAAACTCTGTCTCAAAAAAAAAAAAAAGAAAAGAAAACAGTGAATAAAAGAAAATTGAGTTCACTTCCTATTTTTCCTAAAGCCACACATCTGTTAAATTCATTCTTTTTGTTTTTTTCTCTCCAATTTTAGTCTGTGCTGAGACCTATAACCCTGATGAGGAAGAGGAAGATACAGATCCAAGGGTAAGACCCAAAGCAAAGATGTTAGGTAGAATTGTTCTATTTCTCATTAACTCCCCTTCTCTACATACCAAAAACTCATCATGCTAATAATTAAATACAAATTAAAATATCACTGAAGTGACATTTTTAATCTAACAAATTGAAAGTTGCATTGGTTGAGGGTATGTGAGCAATGCCTAGCTGTAGCTGTCAGAAGCCTTAAACAGGCTGGGCGTGGTGGCTCACACCTGTAATCCGAACACTTTGAGAGGCTGAGGCAGGAGGATTGCTTGAGGCCAGGAGTTCAAGACCAGCCTGGACAATATAGCAAGACCCCATCTCTGTGGGGAAAAAAAAATTAGCTGGTTTGGTGGCATGTGCCTGTATTCACAGCTACTTAGGAGCCTGAGGCAGGAGAATTGCTGCTTGAGTCTTAAAAAAAAAATGCTGGGCATGGTGGCTCACACCTGTAATCTCAGCACTTTGGGAGGTTGAGGTGGGAAGATCAGTTGAACCCCAGGAGTTGAGACTAGCCTGGGCAATGTAGTTAGACCTCATTTCTGTTAAAATAACAACGACAACAACAACAAGCCTTAAATACTTACAGTCAGGCCAACTGATTTAGCATTTACCTAAAGGAGAATTTATCCCCAATGAAAGTTGGATCCTTCCTGAGGATGTACAAATGGAGTTTATCATAGTATTATAACAATGAAAAATGGCAACAACTTAAATGACCCAAAATATGGGATTACCAGGGCCTAAATTATGGTACATTCAAATGAAGAGAATCTGTAGCCATTGAAAGTGATGGTACAGGACAGTATGTAATGGCATGGGATGTATGTTTGTGTGAGGTGTATTTTATAGAGCATTTCGTAAATTAAAAAATTTGAAATATATATATTTATTTGTATATATGTATGTATATATAGAAAATTCTGTCTGGAAGGATATACCCCAGATGTTAACAGTGGTTGTGGCAAGACCATGTTTGATTTTTGGGTGCTTTTAAAAAAAAAAAAAAACTTAGTGTTTTAAACTTCTGTACAATTGACATAAATTACGTTTGTTTGTTTGTTTGTTTTTGAGACAGAGTCTCGCACTGTCGCCCGGGCTGGAGTGCAGTGACGTGAATTCGGCTCACTGCAACCTCCGCCTCCTGGGTTCACGTGATTCTCCTGCCTCAGCCTCCCAACATAAATTACTTTTATGAGGGCATATATGAGCTATCATTTTTAAAAGATTGATGTTATAGGTTGGGTGTGGTAACTCACGCCTGTAATCCCAGCACTTTGGGAGGCCGAGGCGGGTGGATCACCTGAGGTCAGGAGTTCGAGACCAGCCTGGCCAACATGGCGAAACCTTGTCTCTACTAAAATACAAAAATTAGCTGGGTGTGGTGGCAGGCGCCTGTAATCCCAGCTACTTGGGAGGCTGAGGCAGGAGAATCGCTTGAACCTGGGAGGCCGAGGTTGTGGTGAGCTGAGATCACGCCACTGCACTCCAGCCTGGGTGACAGAGTGAGACTCCATCTCAAAAAAAAAAAAAAAAAAAAAAAAGATTAAACCTTTAGTGGGCCAGTCACGGTGGCTCACACCTGTAATCCCAGCACTTTGGGAGGCCGAGGCAGGCGGATCATGAGGTCAGGAGTTCGAGACCAGCCTGACCAATATGGTGAAACCCCATCTCTACTGAAAATACAAAAATTAGCCAGGCGTGGTGGCACCCGCCTGTACTCCCAGCTACTCAGGAGGCTGAGGCAGGAGAATCACTTGAACCTGGGAGGTGGAGGTTGCAGTGAGCCAGAATTGCGCCACTGCACTCCAACCTGGGCAACAGAGCGAGACTCCATCTCAAAAAAAAAACCAAAACTTTAGTGATCTATTATGTTACCCTTAAATCAAGTTACTCTTAAAATGAGTAACTTATGAAAGATTTCTGAAGTATTCTAATAAACGCTACCATTTTTGTGAATGTAAAAATCATGTAATTTTTTTATTCTAGTTATTGTAAAATTATTGATGACTGTGAAACAGTTTTTTTCTAATTTAATATCACAAATTAAAAATATTTAACACTATCTTTTTTTTTTTTTTTTTTTTTTTTTTTTTGAGACAGAGTTTCGCTCTTGTTGCCCAGGCCGGAGTGCAATGGCCTGATCTTGGCTCACCACAACCTCTGCCTCCTGGGTTCAAGCGATTCTCCTGCCTCAGCCTCTCGGGTAGCTGGGATTACAGGCATGTGCCACCATGCCCGGGTAATTTTGTATTTTTAGTAGAGATGGGTTTCTTCATGTTGGTCAGGCTGGTTTCGAACTCCTGACCTCGTGATCCACCCACCTCGGCCTCTCAAAGTGCTGGGATTACCTGGGATTACAGGAGTGAGCCACCATGCCCAGCTTTTTTTTTTTTTTTTTTTTTTTGAGACGGAATCTTGCTCTGTCGCCAGGCTACAGTGCAGTGGTACGATCTTGGCTCACAGCAACCTCCAACTTCCTGGTTCAGACGATTCTCCTACCTCAGCATCCCGAGTAGCTAGGATTACTGGCATGCGCCACCATGCCCAGCTAATTTTGTGTTTTTAGTAGAGATGGGGTTTATCCATGTTGGTCAGGCTGGTCTCAAACTCCTGACCTTGTGATCCGCCTGCCTCAGCCTACCAAAGTGCTGGGATTACAGGCGTGCGCCACCACGCCCAGCCCTTTTTTTTTTTTTTTTTTTTTTTTTTTTAAGATGGAATCTCTCTCTGTCGCTAGGCTGGACTGCAGTGGCACAATCTTGGCTCACTGCAACCTCCGACTCCATGGTTCAAGCGATTCTCCTACCTCAGCCTCCTGAGGAGCTGGGATTACAGGCACGCGCCACCATGCCCAGCTAATTTTTCTATTTTTAGTAAAGACAGGGTTTTACCACGTTGGCCAAGATGGTCTCGATCTCCTGACATCGTGATCTGCCTGCCTCGGCCTCCCAAAGTGTTGGGATTACAGGCATGAGCCACCTCGCCCGGCCAACACTTTTAACATCTATTATTTCTGGTCAGATTAAAAGATGTACTTTTTCTTTTTTTTTTGAGTCGATGCTCAATATTTGTTTAATGAACAAATTTATAACCCTCTGCTTTATGGATGAAGATCCTGAGACTCCCAGGGAACAGCTGACTTGCTGCCAGCCATGTAGTCGGCAGGTAGCTTCAGGGTTGGTGCTTTTCACCCCTATATTACATTGCCTCTCCACCTTTAGCATGCAGCTTGATATTTATGTAAAATTAAAATAACAGAAACCATGCTCTTTATTTTTCCCACTTTTTGGAGAAACAAATATACCAATCTTTAAGTGGTTATTTTAAAATGGAATAAAACAGTTTCCATGGTTTTATTTGGATTGGCAGGTGATTCATCCTAAAACTGATGAACAGAGATGCAGACTTCAGGAAGCTTGCAAAGATATTCTCCTTTTCAAAAATCTTGATCAGGTAACATTGATTTCTAAAGTATTTTTATTATAATGATCTTTTAGCTTTGCTCCTATTTGTCACTTAAACTTTAATTTTTAGCACCCTAGCCACAGCCGTGTTAAGCATAAAACCTTAGATTCATCTTACATACAGATGTTTTCATTGTATTGACCACTTTAACCCAGGCATGATCTTTCAGATGCCTTTTAGTGTGGTAGTCCCCCTTATCCTTGGTTTTGCTTTCCAGGGTTTCAGTTACCCATAGTCAATGACAGTCCAAAAATACTAAATGGAAAATTCCAGAAATAATTCCTAAGTTTTAAAAGGCATGCCATTCCGAGTAGTGTGATGAGTCTCATGCTGTCCTGCTCTACTGCCACCCAGAACGCAAATCATCACTTTGTCCCCGTGTATTCATGCCATATATGCCACCTGCCCATTAGTCACTTAGTCACCATATAGCAGTACTCATATTCACGTAACCCTTATTTTACTTAATAATGGCCCCAAAGCACAAGAGAAGCAATGCTGGCAATTCGGATATGCCAAAAATAAGCCATAAAATTCTTCCTTTAAGTGAAAAGATGAGAGAAACTTAAGGAAAGAAAGGAAGAAAGAGAGAGAGAAAAGAAAGAAAAGAGAGGGAGAGAGGGAGAGAAAAAGAAAGGAAGAGAGAAAGAAAAGGAAGAAAGGAAGGAAGGAACAAAAGGAAGGGAGGGAGAGAGGGAGGGAGGGAGAAAGAAATTGTATGCTGAGGTTGCAAAAATCTATGGTAAGAATGAATCTTCTGGCTGGGTGCGGTGGCTCATGCCTGTAATCCTAGCACTCTGGGAGGCCGAGGTGGGTGGAGTTCAAGACCAGCCTGGCCAACAGTGAAATTCTGTCTCTACTAAAAATACAAAAATTAGCCAGGTGTGGTAGTGTGCACCTGTAATCCCAGCTACTCAGGAGGCCGAGGCAGGAGAATTGCTTGAATCCAGGAGGCGGAAGTTGCAGTGAGCTGAGATCGCACCATTGCACTCCAGCCTGGGTGACAGAGCAAGACTCTGTCTAAAAAAAAAAAAAAAAAAATAGAATAAGAATGAATCTTCTATCTGTGAAACTGTGAAGAAGGAAAAAGAAATTTATGCTAGTTTTGCTGTTGCACCTCAGACTGCACAAGTTACAGCCACAGTGCGTGTTAAGTACTTGGTTAAGATGGAAAAGGCATTACATTTGTGGGTGGAACAGAAATGTGTTCCAATTGACATCAGTAGGGTTCAACACTATCTGTGGTTTCAGACATCCACATATCCCCTTGGAACATACTCCCCATGGATAAAGGGAGGACTGCTGTATTTTTCTGAGCTGCTTTGGCACTTTCTCCAAGACAATACTGATAATTTGAAGAGCATGCGGTTTTGTCATGTTGCAAGGAAATGCTCAGATTTGCATGACCCTGGCTTAGTTAGGAGGGTCTGAATTTATCCTACAAAGAGATTGATTTTTCTGAAGATGCTGGTATGTAGTTCCCTTCATTGATAATAGTTAACTCACTGGCTTACCACAGTGTGTAGTAAGTGCTTCTTAGGAATGGTGTGTTTCTGCAGGGCCTAGCATAGGATCTATGACCTGGGCCTGTCCTCCCTCTCTTGGTGGTAGAAATAAAGAACAAGGGCTATCTCCTGATAGGTGTCCTAGTACATTTGGGCTGCTATAACAAAATACTGTAACCTGGGTGGTTTATAAACAGTGGAAATTTCTCACAGTTCTGGAGTCTGGGAAATCCAAGCTCAAGGTGCCAGCAGATTTGGTGTCTGATCAGGAGCCCACTTCCTGGTTCGTAGATAACCATCTCTGTGTGTTCTCACATGGTGGAAGGAGGGAGGGAGCTCTCAGGGTTTCCTTTATAGGGGAACTAATCCCATTCATGATCATGTAAAGGCCTTACCTTCTAATACCATCACATTGGGAGTCAGGCTTTAACATGAAATTTTGGGGTGACATAAACATTTAGTTCATAGTAACAGAGAATCTTCAGATTTCCTGTTTCTTCTCTATTCTTCTCTACTGTTTCTTCTCTACTTTGAAGGCCACACATTAAAAGAATGAGGCCAGGCATGGGGGCTCACGCCTGTAATCCCAGCACCCAGCACTTTGGGAGACTGAGGCAGGCAGATCATTTGAGGTCAGAAATTCAAGACCAGTCTGGCCAACATGGTGAAACCCCGTCTCTACTAAAAATACAAAATTTGGCAGGGCACGGTGGCTCACACCTGTAATTCCAGCACTTTGGGAGGCCGAAGTGGGCGGATCATGAGGTCAAGAGATGGAGACCATCCTGGCTAACATGGTGAAACCCCGTCTCTACTAAAAATACAAAAATTAGCTGGGCGTGGTGGCGCGCACCTGTAGTCTCAGCTACTCGGGAGGCTGAGGCAGGAGAATTGCTTGAACTGGGGAGGTGGAGGTTGCAGTGAGCTGAGATCATACCACTGAACTCCAGCCTTGGCGAGAGAATGAGATTCCATCTCAAAAAAGCTAAAAATTTAAAATTAAAAACATTTAAAAATTTAAAACCGCATGAATGGCTAAGGTGCTAGGCCTATTGAGGAGTCCCAGAATGTGCAGAGACAGGAAGGCTGGAATTAGATTTCCTCTGTTACCCAGCTCCTACCAAAAAGGCTTCTGAAGACATTTCCACAGCCCTCCTTAGGAATCTGGGCTGGTCAGATATGAGCTTACAATGCATCAGTCAAAGGAGTTAACTAACCTTGGTGTCTGTAAACCAGACTAATAACTGTGTGGTTTACAGTAATAGCCAGAGCTTTACTCAGAGCTTGTTAGTTTGAGACTGAATGAGACAAGGACCATGAGCTCAAGGAAAGGCTGGTTATGAGAAACAGTGGTCTGTGTTAGCTGTTTTCCCTGGAAGACCCATCCATGTAAATGGAAAAGGGGCTTGCTTCTTTATCTGTGAATAAAACCTCTTGTAAATTTTATACCATTAAAGTTACTATAAGGAAAGTTTCTATGTCAATCTAACAGTTTTCTTAGAGTTGGAGAATACCATTTGAGTGTTGAAAAGTTATAACTTGGACGGGCACGGTGGCTCATTCCTGTAATCCCAGCACTTTGGGAAGCCAAGGAGGGAGGATCATCTGAGGTCAAGAGTTTGAGACCAGCCTGGCCAACATGGTGAAACCCCATCTCTACTAAAAATACAAAAATTAGCCAGGCTTGGTGGCAGGTGCCTATAATCCCAGCTACTTGAGAGGCTGAGGCAGAAGAATCGCTTGAACCCAGGAGGCAGAGTTTGCAGTGAGCTAAGACCACACCATTGCACTACAGCCTGGGCAATAAGAGTGAAACTCTGTCTCATTAAATAAATACATAAATAAATAAATAAATAAATAAATAAATAAATAATTACTTTTCTCAATAATGTCTTTTTTCTGGTAGAGGATCCAGTCCAGGATCCCATGTTAGATTTAGCAGTTATTTCTTCTTAGTCTCCTCCAATCTGTGGCAGTTTTCAGTCTTTACTTGTCTTTCATAATCTTGACACTTTGAAGAGTACTAGTTAGTCATTCTATAGAATGTCTCTTCATTTGAGTTTGATGTTTCCTCATGATTTTGGAATATGGTTATATATTTTTGGCGAGACTACCACAGAAATTATATTGTGTCCCTCTGAAAGCATCATATCAAGGGGCCCATGATGTCAGTATGTCTTATTGCCAGCAATGTTAGTTCATTCCTTTTTATTGCTCAGTAGTATTTCATTGCTCAAAAATACCAATTTATCCATTTTTCTGTTAGCGAATACTTGGTCTATTTCTAGTTTTTAGCTATTATGATTAACACTATCAACATTTTGTACAAATCTTTTTGTGACCTTTTCCCCCAAGTTATCTTTTTTAAAAATTTTTTTTTATTTTTTATTTTTAGTAGAGATGGGGTTTCACCATGTTCGCCAGGATGGTCTCGATCTCCTGACCTCGTGATTCGCCCGCCTCTGCCTCCCAAAGTGCTGGGATTACAGGCATGAGCCACCGCGCCCGGCCCCCAAGTTATCTTGAGTAAAGTACCTGAGAGGAAGATTACTGAGTCATAGGATAGGTATATGTTTGACTTTGTAAAAAAATCTGCCAGATCAGCCGGGCGCGATGGCTCATGCCTGTAAACCCAGCACTTTGGGAGGCCGAGGCGGGCAGATCACCTGAAGTCAGGAGTACGGGACCAGCCTGGGCAACATGGTGAAACCTCCTCTCTACTAAAAATACAAAAATTAGCTGGGCATGGTGGCACACACCTGTAATCTCAGCTACTCGGGAGGCTGAGGCAGGAGAATCACTTGAACCTGGGAAGCAGAGGTTGCAGTGGGCCGAGATCATACCACTGCACTCCAGCCTGGGTGACAGAGCGAGACTCTGTCTCAAAAAAAAAAAAAACAAAAAAAAACCAAAAAACTGCCAGATATTTTTCATAGTAGTTTTACCAGTTTGCATTCCTGTCCACAACATATGAGATTTCAGGTTGCTTCATACCCTTACTAACATTTTATAGTGTCAGTATTTTTTCTGATTAGTATATTTGTTTCAAATTTTAAATTTATTTCCCAAATTTCTATTTTTAAATTTTCAAAATTACAGAAAATTCAAAAGAATAATAACATGAATACCCAGATGCCCTTTACTTAGACTGGCCAGTTGTTAACATTATACCACATTTGCTTTTTCTCTTGTGTGCAAGTTTATGTACAGAGAAAAAGAAAAGAGGAGTATATATAAAATGCTTTTCTTTTGTTCTGAGCCATTTATGACATCATGACCCTTCACCACTAAATATTTAGGATGTATTTTCCAGGAACAAGAATATTTTCTGGCTAGGCAAGGTAGCTCACGCCTGTAATCCCAGCACTTTGGGAAGCCGAGGCAGGTGGATCACTTGAAGTCAGGAGTTCAAGACCAGTCTGACCAACATGGTGAAACCCTGTCTCTACTAAAAATATAAAAATTAAGGCCGGGCCCGGTGGCTCACGCCTGTAATCCTAGCACTTTGGGAGGCCAAGGCGGGCGGATTACCTGAGGTCAGGAGTTCAAGACCAGCCTGGCCAACATGGTGAAACCCCGTCTCTACTAAAAATACAAAAATTAGCTGGGCATGGTGGCACATTCTGTAATCCCAGCTACTCAGCAGGCTGAGGCAGGAGAATTGCTTGAGCCCGGGAGGCAGAGGTTGCAGTGAGCCGAGATCGTGCAACTGCACACCGGCCTGGCCGACAGAGCGAGACTCTGTCTCAAAAAAAAAAAAAAAAAAAATTATCCAGGCCTGGTGGCATGCGCCTATAATCCCAGCTATTGGGGAGGCTGAGGCAGGAGAAATCGCTTGAACCCAGGAGGCAGAGGTTGCAGTGGACCAAGATCGCGCCACTGCACTCCAGCCTGGGTGACAAAGTGAGACTGTCTCAAAAAAAAAAAAAAAAGAATATTTTCCTATGTTAACACAATACCATTTAATAAACCCAAGAAATTTAATGTTGGTATAATATAAAATCACCTAACAACAGTCCATACTCAGATTTCCCGTTTTCCCAGTAAAGTTCTGTATAGCTTTTTGTTTTGTTTTTCAGTCCTGAATCACATACAATAAGTCTTCACCTAACATCATGAATCACATATAGTAAGTACTTCAACATTGTTGGTAGTCTTGGAAACTGCAACTTTAAGCAAAACAACCTATAATGAAACCTTTTTTTCCCCTCATCAGTGTTATAACTGTGTTATTTGAGGACCTTCTATACATTGTTTTGCTTAAAGTCACAGTTTTCAAGAACCTATCAACCACATTGAGGACTTACTGTATTTCATTTGGTTGTCATGTTGTTATTTTAGTCTCCTCTAACCTAGAAATGCTCCCTTTCCGCCCCTGTTATTCTATATCTCATGACACATGTGTTTGAAGAGTCCAGACTAGAAGAAGAAAAGTGACTCAGAACAAGCGGCTTCCAGCAGGCAACCCACAGGCTAGGTACAGATGTCTGTGTTTGGTCTGTATTGAACATGAAAATTTAAATTTATTGCCAGTGTTTAAATAGGAGATTTCTGGCAACACTGGGCTCACATTCCAGTCAGTGTGGGTAACACGTCAGTTGCAAGCCATCCTTTTTAGTATTTGTTAGCTTATACAGTATTCAACGCACGTGGAACTAAATACACTTTTTGGTGATACTCAATTATCTTGGTAGTACAGTCACTCTGATAGAACATAAAATCACATGGAATTATGCAGTCATAAAATTATTCTCTTTTCAGGTCTTCAGTCTACATTTCTCCAAAGAGAAAGTCTCTTTTTTTAATTGAACCTGGTATTCTTTAGTGACTTCCTAATAATTACTGATCTCCCTGACAGGGATGCTGGCCCCAGACTGAGACCATTGTTTCATTAGAATTTAATAGTATTATTTTCTTTTCATTATACTTATTGACATAGTTGATGTCTGGTTATGGCAGGCAATATTTGTAAGTAATTGTATGTGCTGTATGCAAATGAAGCAATATTAGCTGTCTTATAATATATCTCATTTATTGAGTATCTGTTGTTTCATAAATACTTTCCTAGGTTTTTTTCCTTTGGTCATAAAAATTGATGACCTGGAATCTTTGTTATACCCTTTTTACATATGAAGAAACTGGAGTTCACCGGACGTGGTGGCTCACGTCTGTAATCCTAGCACTTTGGGAAGCCAAGGTGGGTGGATTACATGAGGTCAGGAGTTCGAGACCAGCCTGGCCAACATGGCAAAACCCTGTCTCTACTAAAAATATAAAAATTTGCCAGGCGTGGTGGCACAGGCCTGTAGTCCCAGCTACTCAGGAGGCCGAGGCAGGAGAATCGCTTGAACTCGGGAGGTAGAGGTTGTGGTGAGCTGAGATCACACCACTGCACTCCAGCCTGTGTGACAGAGTGAGACTCCGTCTCCAGAACAAAAAAAAACAAACAAGATACTGAAGCTCAGTGAGGTTAAGTGACGTGTTTCGCTAGTCAAAAGTTGTGCTGTTCCAAAAGATAACCTCTAAGGCCATAGCAGCCCTTTAGATCTGATGCTCCTGTTAAGGTCAACAGCTGTAGGAAGGTGGGAGCATATGACTTTACACATGACATAGTGGAGCCATCAGGCAGGTGACAGTCATGTGGGTGTGGCTGGGAGAACATGGACCATAATTTAGATAATATTTTTGTGTAAATTTTGGGAAGCTTTTTCAAAACAATACTGCCTCAGAAGACTTGCCAGTTTGCTGTCTGCTGAGGTACATGGAGGTGCAAAGCTGAATGGTCCCAGGAAAGCATTTGTTTCAGACAACCTTTAGGTTTCTGCTTGAATGTGGGGACTTCTGTTACATAGTCACAAATTGAGATAATTATGGTCACTGCTTTTTTTCAGCATATGTAAAGGCTATTTTTTTCTTCTTGTGCATACCCTGCAGGAACAGCTTTCTCAAGTTCTCGATGCCATGTTTGAAAGGATAGTCAAAGCTGATGAGCATGTCATTGACCAAGGAGATGATGGAGACAACTTTTATGTCATAGAACGGTAGGAGATGGAGCTTTGAAATTGTGTGGCCACACTTAATCGGATTCATGACTCAGGGCAGATGCTTTATCCTATTCTGTATTCAGCCCAGAGAGGCTAAGGGCCAGGTGAACAAGCTTCCCAAAGCCTTGTGAGAGTCCACAGCTTGTCCCTCTCTACCAGTGCTGTCCTGAGTCCTCAGCACAACTCATATTTGAAGAGCAATCATTTAGAGTAGAAAGTCTCCTTTAGGCCAGGCGCAGTGGCTCATGCCTGTAATTGCAGCACTTTGGGAGGCCAAGGCCGGTGGATCGCTTGAGGTGAGGGGTTTGAGACCAGCCTGGCCAGTATGGTGAAACCCCGTATCTACTAAAAATACAAAAATTAGCCGGATGTGGCAGTGCATGCCTGTAATCCCAGCTGCTTGGGAGGCTGAGGCTGGAGAATCACTTGAACCTAGGAGGCTCACGCCTGTAATCCTAGCAAAGGTTGTTGCAGTGAGCTGAGACCCCGCCACTGCACTCCAGCCTGGACAACAGAGCAAGACTCCATCTCAAAAAAAAAAAAAGAAAGTCTCCTTTACAGTTAGTAAGGAGTGCAGGGTGTGCTTTATAAACATGTTATTTGCCAGTGTCAAGTGAATTGATTCCTTGAAGAATTAGCCATGGTACTATAGTCATTTGAATGTTTGTATTTGAGCCTGATTTTACTCATGAATACACTGCCCTGACCTTAACCCCTCTGGCTCAGATCTAAGTATTAGGAAAAGATTAAATATTTGGGCTTGACCTGCTCACCCTACTGTGTCCTAACCTCTTGAGTTTAGTATCCTCTGGCTGGTGGCAGTGAGGTGGGTGTCCTTCTGATCTCCTTAGTCCTGAAAGAAACACTCTCACTAGAGTTTAACACCAATAAGATATTGCTTCACCTGATATCTTCCATTAATTTAAAATAAAATGGTTTTTGGAGCTAGATAATAAAAAGGAAACAAAAATAGTTTTTTTATCTTAAAGTAATTTCAGAGTTACAGAAAAGTTAAATAGTGCAAAAAATTAATCATAGGCCTGGTGCGGTGGCTCATGCCTGTAATCCTAGCACTTTGAGAGGCCGAGGCAGGTGGATCTCTTGAGGTCCGGAGTTCGAAACCAGCCTGGCCAACGTGGTGAAACTCCCTCTACTTAAAAAATACAAAAATTGGCCAGTCGCAGTGGCTCATGCCTGTAATCCCAGCACTTTGGGAGGCTGAGGCGGGCAGATCACGAGGTCAGGAGTTCGAGACCAGCCTGGCCAACGTAGTGAAACTCCGTCTCTACTAAAAATACAAAAATTATCTGGGCATGGTGGCACGCGCCTGTAGTCCCAGCTACTCGGGAGGCTGAGGCAGGAGAATCGCTTGAACCTGGGAGGCAGAGGCTGCAGCAAGCTGAGATCGCCCCACTGCACACCAGCCTGGGCAACAGTGTGAGACTTTGTCTCAAAAAAAAATAAAAATAAAAAAGTAACCGGGCGTGGTGGTGTGCACCTGTAATAGCAGCTACTTGGGAGGCTGAGGCAGGAGAGTTGCTTGAACCTGGGAGGTGGAGGTTACAGTGAGCCAAGATAGCGCCACTGCACTCCAGCCTGGGTGATAGAGTGAGACTCAGTCTCAAAAAAAAAAAATTGTAAATACAGGTTCCCTAGGTTAGCGTTCTACTCCCTTTGCTTTATTAAGTTGTTGGCAAGGCTGGGCGTGGTGGCTCACACCTGTAATGCTAGCATTTTGGGAGGCTGAGGTGGGTGGATCACTTGAGGTCAGGAGTTCAAAACCAGCCTGGCCAACATGGTGAAACCCCAGCTCTACTAAAAATACAAAAAAAAAAAAAAAAAAAATTAGCCAGGCATGGTGGTGCACGCCTGTGGTCCCAGTTACTTGGAAGGCTGAGGCAGGAGAATCACTTGAACCCACAAGGCAGAGGCTGCAGTGAGCTGAGATTGTGCCATTACACTCCAGCCTGGGTGACAGAGTGAGACTTCGTCCCCACCACCAAAAGAAAAAAAAGTTGTTTTAAGTTGCACATATAATGCCCCTTTATCTCTGAATACCCCAGTGTGCATTTCCTAAAAAGGATATTCTCTTACTTTACTACAGAACAATTATAAAAAACACAAATTAACATTTATACAATACTACATCTAATGTATGCACCTTATTCAAATTTTTCTAATTATTCTCCTCATTTTTAAGATTCTTTTAATCTCCATCAAATAGCTGTACTAGATACATTGGTTGCCTTTCTTCTTGAGCCTTTTCTTATTTAGATTCTTGAACAGAAAATACTCTCCCTCCTTGAGTAACCTTTGGGTTCTTGCTACCTGTGACAAATTATTACACTCAGAGGAAATTTTTTTTTTTTTTTTTTTTTTTGAGACGGAGTCTTGCTCTGTCGCTCAGGCTGGAGTGCAGTGGCGCGATCTTGGCTCACTGCAAGCTCCGCCTCCCAGGTTCACACCATTCTCCTGCCTCAGCCTCCCGAGTAGCTGGGACTACAGGCGCCCGTCACCATGCCCGGCTAATTTTTTGTATTTTTAGTAGAGATGGAGTTTCACCACGTTGGTCAGGCTGGTCTCGAACTCCTGACCTCGTGATCTGCCCGCCTCAGCCTCCCAAAGTGCTGGGATTACAGGCGTGAGCCACCACCCTGTCCAAAGGAAATGTTTTCTTTACTCTAAATGCTGATTTAGGGTAAAGATGACATAAATAATATCTTCTCAGAGAAAAGACTTTTGTCTTCATCTTTTATGCTAATACTTCTTACACAGAAATTCTACAAGTAATGACAGAATAGGTTTTTTTGTTTTTTTTTGGGGGGGGTACGGAGTCTCACTCTGTCGCAAGGCTGGAGTGCAGTGGCATGATCTCAGCTCACTGCAACCCCCGCCTCCCAGGCTCAAGTGATTCTCCTGCCTCAGCTTCCTGAGTAGCTGGGACTACAGGTGCCTGCCACCAAGCCCAGCAATTTTTGTATTTTTAGTAGAGATGGGGTTTCACCATGTTGGCCCTGATGGTCTCGATCTCTTGACCTCGTGATCCACCCACCTCAGCCTCCCAAAGTGCTGGGATTACAGGCATGAGCCACCGCACCCAGCCCAGAATAGTTTTAAAATAAAATTATAAATATAATACAAAACTATATATTTTATTTATTTATTTATTTATTTATTTATTTATTTATTTATTTATTTATTTTGAGACGGAGTCTTGCTCTGTTGCTCAGGTGGGAGTGTAGTGGTGCAATCCTGGCTCACTACAACCTCCGCCTCCCGGGTTCAAGCGATTCTCCTGCCATAGCCTCCTGAGTAGCTGGGATTACAGGCACCCACCACCACTCCCAGCTAATTTTTGTATTTTAGTGGAGATGGGGTTTCACCGTGTTGGCCAGGCTGGTCTTGAACTCCTGACCTCAAGCAATCCACCCGCCTTGGCCTCCCAAAGTGCTGAGATTACAGATGTGAGCCACCATGCCAGGTCTATATTTATAATATAATAAAATTATATTACCACCTCCAGCAGCCACCTTTCCCCTTTGCCCTGCTGTGTACTCCCCTACCAAGACAGAGGTCCCATTGGGCACTTATGATCTGGGAAATAAGCATCCACCTGTACATGTCCACAACTTAAAGACTGAAATGCCTTTGTACAGAAGGAATGATTTATTTCATATGTAAACAAAAGGGGTTATTCTTTGTACAGTGAAAGTGGTGAATAAGAGCCTGGCACAGTGGTTTGCACCTGCAATCCCAGCACTTTGGGAGGCCAAGGTGGGAGGATTGTCTGAGCCCAGGAGTTCAAAACCAGCCTGGGGAAGATAGTGAAACCTCATTTTTACAAAACATTTTTTTAGGCCGGGCACGGTGGCTCACACCTGTAATCCCAGCACTTTAGAAGGCCCAGGTGGGCGGAGCACTTGAGGTCAGGAGTTTGAGACCAGCCTGGCCAACATGGCAAAACCTCATCTCTACTAAAAATACAAAAAATTAGCTGGACATGGTGGTGGGCGCCTTTAATCCCAGCTACTTAGGAGGTTGAGGCAGGAGAATTGCTTCAACCTGGGAGGTGGAGGTTGCAGTGAGCCGAGATCATGCCATTGCACTCCAGCCTGGGCAACAATAGTGAAACTCCATCTCAAAAAAAAAAAAAAAAAAAAATGCAGGCCGAGCACCGTGGCTCACGCCTGTAATCCCAGCGCTTTGGGAGGCTGAGGCGGGCAGGTCACAAGGTCAGGATGTCGAGAACATCCTGGCTAACATGGTGAAACCCCATCTCTACTAAAAATAAAAAAATTAGCTGGGCATGGTGGCATGTGCCTGTAGTCCCAGCTACCTGGGAGGCTGAGGCAGGAGAATAACTTGAACCCGGGAGGCAGAGGTTGCAGTGAGTGGAGATCATGCCACTGCACTCCAGCCTGGGTGACAGAATGGGACTCCATCTCAACAAAACAAAACAAAACAAAAACACACAAAAAAGCATTTTTTAAAAAATTTGCCAGGCATGGTGGCGCATGCCTATAGTCCCAGCTAATTGGAAGGCTGGGGTGGGAGGATCACTTGAGCCCAAGAGGTTGAGTCTACAGTGGGCAGTGATCATAACACTGCACTCCAGCCTGGGGGACAAAGTGAGACCCTGTCTCAGAATAAAAAGAAAAGAAAAAAGAATGTGGTGATAAACAAATAGGAAAGAGCTGAGCACAGTGGCTCACACCTGTAATCCCAGCACTTTGGGAGGCCGATATGGATTACTTGAGACCAGGAGTCCGAGACTAGCCTGGGCAACATAGTGAGACCCCTGTCTCTACAAAACAAAAAAGAAAGATTGTCGTTCAAGTAAAAAGGTACAGTTCCTGACCTCAAAAAATTCATGGTCAAGTTGGAGAGACAGACCTTTCAATAGATAATTATTACATAATGTGGTGGTAACAATGATAAAAACATATGCCCCATTATATAGAGGATGACCTGAATGGGAAAGGTCGAGAGGCTCTCTGCAGTGCTGCTGCCTGAAATGAGTTCATGTCACTTCCAAAGTTAAATGCTAGTGTCTGGAGGAGACGCTAAAAACACTGAATTCTATGTTTCCTATTTATAAGCTTATTTTGCCTTGTCTATAAAGGCCTAGGACAGGTCAGCTTCCCTACTGAGTGGTAAGCTCCCCTGAGAGCAGGGTTGGTGGCACATTCTCTGCTTTTCTTTTAATACATGATATTTAGTGATTTTGTCAGACAGTTGGAAGTTCTTTGTAGGAAATTTAGAATATAAAAAAATAAAAGGCCTGGCGCGGTGCCTCACACTTGTAATCCCAGCACTTTGGGAGGCTGAGGTGGGTGGATCACAAGATCAGGAGATCGAGACCATCCTGGCTAACACAGTGAAACCCCGTCTCTACTAAAAATACAAAAAATTAGCCGGGCGTGGTGGCGGGTGCCTGTAGTCCCAGCTGCTCGGGAAGCTGAGGCAGGAGAATGGTGTAAACCCAGGAGGCGGAGCTTACAGTGAGCCGAGATCATGCCACTGCACTCCAGCCTGGGCAACAGGGCGAGACTCCAACTCAAAATAAAATAAAATACAAACAGGATAGAAATTAATTTAGGCATAATCTGATTACCAGTGTATGATTCCATTATTTTTTCCATGCTTTACTGTTGAGATCAGACACCTCACCCAAAATTTGGTTAAGATGTCAAGACTGATGACACTACATATACAGTAAAAGGGTATGAAAAGGTTTATTACTCACATATAGAGCCTTTTTAGAGAGAGCAGGGCAGGCTCCCAGGCAGATCCAAAAATGACTTCAGATAGCAGGCGAGATGACTGTCTTGGGATTTATGGTGGTTAGAAGGTGGGATTAAGTGAGGGTACTCTTACACAGGGGCTGGCATTTGTGTTGATTGAACTCCCCGTCAGCACCGAAGGAGGGAGCACTCAGGCTTTCTTATCAGCTTGCCCAGATATGGGGCAGAAGAGGAAGGGTTTGAAAGCTGTCAACAATCAAACATCAAAAATGGAGTCGACTAATGGAATTATCTTTACATAATTTTTTTTACATTAAATCATACATTGTTGTGTGATTTAATTTTTTTAATCTGTTTTAAGCATGTTATGGAATATAGCATTCTGTTATTATTATTTTGAGATAGAGTCTCACTCTGCCACCCAGGCTGGAGTGCAATGGTGCGATCTTGGCTCACTGCAACCTCTGCCTCCCAGTTTCAAGTGATTCTCCTGCCTCAGCCTCCCGAGTAGCTGGGATTACAGGCACATGCCACCACACCCAGCTAATTTCTGTATTTTTAGTAGACACAGGGTTTTACCATGTTGGCCAGGCTGGTCTCGAACTCCTGACCTCAGGTGATCTGTCTGCCTCAGCCTCCCAAAGTGCTGGGACTACAGGTGAGCCACTGTGCCCAGCCATACTCTGTCATTATTATTATATATATATACACACATACACAGGCGTGAGCCACCATGCCTAGCCTCTGTCATTATATTTAATGACTCCATGATATATATAGAAACATGTATTTGACCCATCTCCTATTATTAGCAGATGAAATTACATATAGTTTTTACTATTATAGATATTACCTGGTGAAATCCTGGCAATTACATCTTTTGCAGTATCTTTGATTATCTCTTTTGGAATGACTAGAAATGGAATTGCTATATCAAAGGGTCTTTTTAAGGCATTTGCTATAAGCTTTAATTACCTTGCAGAAACTGAAAAGTTTATGTTTCCCTCAGTGGTATGTTGAGAGTGCCTATTTCTGCAAATGCTTGTCAGTTCTGAATATTTTTTCCTTAGCAATTATTGCCAATCAATAGATAAATAATTGTATCGTTTGTTTGTTTGTTTGTTTGTTTGTTTTGAGACTGAGCCTCTCTGTTGCCCAGGCTGGAGTGCAATGATGCGATCTTGGCTCACTGCAACCTCCACCTCCTGGTTTCAAGTGATTCTCCTGCCTCAGCCTCCCGAATAGCTGGGATTACAGGCACCTGCCACCCGCCCAGCTAATTTTTGTATTTTTAGGAGAGACGGGGTTTCACCAGGTTGGCCAGGCTGGTCTCGAACTCCTGACCTCAGGTGATCCACTCACCTCGGCCTCCCAAAGTGCTGGGATTACAGGCGTGAGCCACTGCACCCAGCCTCTGTCATTATTTTTAATGACTCCATAATATAGATAGAAACATGTATTTGACCCATCTCCTATTATTAGCAGATGAAATTACTTATAGTTTTTACTATTATAAATATTACCTGGTGAAATCCTGGCAATTAAATCTTTTGCAGTATCTTTGATTATCTCTCTTGGAATGACTAGAAATGGAATTGCAATATCAAAGGGTCTTTTTAAGGCGTTTGCTATATGTTTTAATTATCTTGCAGAAACTGAAAAGTTTATGTTTCCCTCAGTGGTATGTTGAGAGTGCCTATTTCTGCTTGTCAGTTCTGATTTTTTTTTTTTTTTAGCCATTATTGCCGATCAATAGATAAATAATTGTATCGTTTTGTTTGTTTGTTTGTTTGTTTGTTTTGAGACAGAGCCTCGTTCTGTCGCCCAGGCTGGAGTGCAATGACATGATCTCGGCTCACTGCAACCTCTGCCTCCAGGTTTCAAGTGATTCTCCTGCCTCAGCCTCCCGAGTAGCTGGAATTACAGGCACCCGCTACCCGCCCAGCTAATTTTTGTATTTTTAGTAGAGACGGGGTTTCACCAGATTGGCCAGGCTAGTCTCGAACTCCTGACCTCAGGTGATCCACCCACCTTGGCCTCCCAAAGCGCTGGGATTATAGGCTTGAGCCACCGTGCCCGACCTGCTTTGTTTTAATCTTTGTTTTAACAGACTATGAAAGAAAACCCATGCATTCATATCAATACCTACAGCAAAGCATTTGACAAAATTCAACATCTTTTTGTGATGAAAATGCTCAGTAAACTAGCAACAAAAATAACTTTCCCTAACTAGACTAAAGGCATTTATTAAAAACCTACAGCTAACATCATATTTAATGGTGAAAAATTGTTTTTTCTTACAACTCAGAATAAGGCAAGGATGTTTGCTTTCACCACTTCCACTTAATATTGTACTGGAGGTTATAGTCAATGCAATAAGGCAAAGAAAGGAAGAGAGGGAGGGAGGGAGGCAAGGAAAAAAGGAAGAAAGAAAGAAAGTGTGGCATAGTACACAATGAAATACCATTTGACCATAAAAAAGAAAGAAGTCATGTCATTTGTAGCCACATGGAGGTTGCTATATTAAGGTAAATAAGATAGGCACAGGAAGACAAATACCACATGTTCTTGCTCACATGTGAATGCTAAAGAACATTGATATCGTAGACATAGAGAATAGAATGATATATACCAGAAACTGAGAAGGGTGGTGGGTGGATGAAGAAAAGTTGGCTAATGGGTACAAACACACAGTTAGATAGAAGAAATAAATTTTAATGTCTTTTTTTTTTCCTTTTTGTGGAGAGAAGTCTCCATACGTTGCCCAGGATTGTCTCAAACTCCTGGGCTCAAGCAACCCTCCCAGTTTAGCTTCCTAAAGTGCTGAGATTACAGGTGTGAGCCACTGCACCTGGCAAGTTCTAATGTTTTATAGCATGATAAGGTGACTATACTTGGGTGACAATATTTAGCATATTTCAAAGTAACTATTAATAGAAGAGAGGACATGAAATGATACTGACACATAGAAAGGACATATATCCAAGGTGATGGATACCCCAGTTACCCTGACTTAATCATTACCCATTCTATGCATGCAACAAACACTCACATGTACGCCATAAATTATGTAAAATATTATATATTAATAAAAGAAAAAAAATTAGGCCGGGCATGGTGGCTCATGCCTTTAATCCCAGTACTTTGGGAGGCTGAGACAGGAGGATTGCTTGAGCCCAGGAGTTCCAGACCAGCTTGGGCAACATAGTGAGACCCCATCTCTACAAAAATAAAATATTAGCCAGGTGTGGTGGCACACGTCTGTGGTCACAGCTACTCGGGGCTGAGGTGAGAGGATTGCTAGGGGGCTGAGGTGAGAGGATTGCTTGGGGCCAGGAGGTGGAGGCTGCAATGAGCCATGATTGTGCCTCTGCACTCCAGCCTGGGTGACAGAGCAAGACCCTGTCTCAAAAAAATATATATGTCAAAAAATGTATATATGTGTATATATATATTTATGTGTATGTATATATGTGTGTGTGTGTATATATATATATGTTTAAGTTAAAGATGGGGGGAAAAAAAGGAAGGGGCATATAGATTGGAAAGGAAGTATTAAAACTTTGTTTCAGGTGACATGATCCTCTATGTAGAAAATTCTAGCCGGGTGTGGTGGCTCACACCTGTAATCCCAGCACTTTAGGAGGCTGAGGCGGGCGGATCACGAAGCCAGGAGATCGAGACCATCCTGCTAACATGGTGAAACCCTGTCTAAAAATACAAAAAAATTATCTGGGCCTGGTGGCGCGTGCCTGTAGTCCCAGCTACTCGGGAGGCTGAGGCAGGAGAATGGCGTGAGCCCAGGAGGTGGAGCTTGCAGTGAGCTGAGATACCGCCCCTGCACTCCAGCCTGGGTGACAGAGCGAGACTCCGTCTCAAAAAAAAAAAAAAAAAAAAAAGAAAAGAAAATTCCAAGAATGCCACAAAAAGGCTACTAGAATTAATAAGTGAGTTTAGCAAGGTTATAGGACACAGTACAAAGTCAAAATACAAAAATATGTTTTTTTTATATACTAGCAAAGTTCCATTGGAAATCTCTTAAAACAACATTTTCTATTATATGTACCTGCCAGTTCTTAACATTTATTATCAGAAGTAACTAATTAAATTATTCTTTGTCATTCTTCTAGGGGAACTTATGACATTTTAGTAACAAAAGATAATCAAACCCGCTCTGTTGGTCAATATGACAACCGTGGCAGTTTTGGAGAACTAGCTCTGATGTACAACACCCCGAGAGCTGCTACCATTGTTGCTACCTCAGAAGGCTCCCTTTGGGGACTGGTGAGTGAGAGAAATCGTTCCCCTTGCAAGGCACAGTATTAATTCCCTTTCTGTGTCTCTGTCCTTGGGCTGTTGATTTACACTATATCTTACAGCCATCCTGGCTAACACGGTGAAACCCCATCTCTACTAAAAAATACAAAAAAAATAGCCAGGTGTGGTGGTGGGCATGTGTAGTCCCAGCTAGTTGGGAGGCTGAGACAGGAGAATGGCGTGAACTCGGGAGGTGGAGCTTGCAGTGAGCCGAGATCGCGCCACTGTACTCCAGCCTGGGCGACACAGCGAGACTCCGTCTCAAAAAAAAAAGCACTTTATTGTGACATCCTGATGTTAAATTAAGAGTGCTCCTGAAAGAGATACAGTGACTTAAGGATAGGTCACACACTTGGGGACTCAATGATTGAAAAACTCAAGAATAGATTTGTATAGGGGAATAATAAATAATGGGGGCCAGGCACGGTGACTCACACCTGTAATCCCAGCACTTGGGGAGGCCAAGGCGGGAAGATCACTTGAGGTCAGGAGTTCGAGACCAGCCTGAGCAACATGGTAAAACCGTGTCTCTACTAAAAATATGAAAATTGGCCAGTCATGGTGATGGGCGCCTGTAGTCCCAGGAGGCGGAGGTTGCAGTGAGCCAAGATCACGCCACTGCACTCTAGCCTGGGCGACTGAGCAAGACTCCATCTCAAAAAATACAAAATCAAATAATAAGCCTTGGTGCTAACTACTGGTTCAGACCAAGATGGAATAGCCCTATTCCATGCTAGTGTTCTCACTTAAAAACTTAAACACACACACAAACAACTATGGACATAATAGAGCAAACATAGGAAGACTCTGAAAGGTGGAAAGAAGAAGGCAGACTATCTAGGGATATTGGGGCTTGAGGAAAGACATGACAGTGAGTTCCCAGGTTCCCATATATCCCAGATGGGGTGCTGGAAAGCCTGAAATCCAGATCTTCTAACAGGTATATTCAACAAAAGCAAAACTCCATCTCAAAAACAAAACAAAACAAAAGAACGAACAGCTAAACAGAAAATCAGCTAGTGTCAGCTAGGATATAGAAGAACTTAACACCATTAATTAACAAAAGCTATCTGAAATTTATAGAACACTGCACACAGCAACAACAGAATGAACATTTTTTTCAAGCCCATGGAACATTCACCCAAATAGGCCATATCCTGGAATATAAAATAAAACTTAAAAAATGTAAAAGATTTGAAATCAGGCCAACCACAGTGGCTCAAGCCTGTTATCCCAGCACTTTGGGAGGTTGAGGTGGGAGGATTGAGTCCAGGAATTTGAGACCTACCTGGGCAGCATAGTGAGACCACATCTCTATTTAAAATTTTAAGAAATAATGAAAATTTAAAGAAAAAATGAAATCAGAATGTGTTCTCTAACTACAATTGAAAGAAAGAAACTAAAAATCAATAACAGATCTCCAGACACTTAGAAATTAAATAACATTGTTTTTGGTGTGAGCAGGGGCTAACTGCAGCCTTGACCTCCTGAGCTCAAGCAATCCTCCCACCTCAGCCTCCCAAGTAGCTGGGACTACAGGTGTGCACCACCACACCTGTCTTTTTGTTGTTGTTGTTGTTGAGACAGAGTCTCACTATGTTGCTCAGGCTGGTCTTGAACTTCTGGGCTCAAGCAGTCCTCCTGCCTTGGCCTCCCAAAGTGCTGGAATTACAGGCATGAGCCACTGTGCCCAGCCAAATAACACATTCTTTCTTTTTTTTCTTTTTTGAGATGATCTTGGCTCACTGCAACCTCTGCCTCCTGGGTTCAAGCGATTCTCCTACCTCGGCCTCCTGAGTAGCTGGGATTACAGACGTGTGCACATGTGCCACCACGCCCAGCCAATTTTTGTATTTTTAGTAGAAATGGAGTTTCACCATGTTGGCCAGGCTGGTCTCGAACTCCTGACCTCAGGTGATCTGCCCACCTCGGCCTCCCAAAGTGCTGGGATTACAGGCAAGAGCCACCGCACCCGGCCAAATAACCCATTCTTGGATAATCTCTAAGACCAAGTCTCAATGAAAATTGAAAACTGTATATTGAGCTGTAAAACCACCTGCTTTGTGGCTGGGGTATGAGGATTAAATACATGGGCATAAGAGAAGTGACTCCCTTAGTGCCTGGTACAAGGTGGGTGTTCACAGAATGATGGCACAAGCTCCCCATGGCCATGGTGCTACTCACCACCCTTCTTTTCCTGAGACTTCCTTTCCTAAGACTCCTATTCTTTCTATTTCCTTGCCTTTGGCAGTCATTTCCTCTTCTCCTTGCTTTCTTAGGTCAGTGACCTATCAAGATATCCTTTTGGCCTCTACTTTTCTCCTGTTAATTGACTTGCTTTGCAAGCCCAGACTCTTCCAAAGCTTCAATACCACCTCTAGGAAAGTAACTCACAGAAGGTCCTCTCCAGCCTGACTTCTTCTTTGGCCTTGGAAATGCCTTCTGAGGTTGAAGTAGGGAGGATCTGGTGTCGTCACTGAGTTTTTCAAGTTGGATCCTACATTCCTGCTTTTATAATGGGCAGCTGCCATCACGGCCCCTATACGTAGTCTCTTTTGCTTTCTCTTGCTTTATTGAAAGTCAATAGAAGGTTTCCTGGGAAATTCCTGCAGTCACAGGAGAGAGTAGCACTCCTTTTCTCTTTTGAACTTCAGGGGTGTTTGCTTGCCTCTGACCACTTGCTGCCTGTGGGAATTTCCTCTTCACTGCTCGATTGGATGCTCATCAAAGGCTATGTTGATGTCTGGTGCTTTTTTTATATTCTCCACAGCCATGGGAACTGGCCTTGCACCACATGAAAAGAGAGTTTTGGGAAGTGTTAAAGCATGCGTAAAAAGGGGTAGAACCAGCTGGGTGTGGTGACTCATGATGTAATCCCAGTACTTTGGGAGGCCACGGTGGGCAAATCACATGAGCCTAGGAATTCAAGACCAGCATGGGCAACGTGGTGAAACCCTGTCTCTATGAAAAATAAGAAATTAGCTGATGTGGCGGCACATGCCTGTAGTCCCAGCTACTTGGGACGCTGAGTTGGGAGGATCACCTGGGCCTAAGAGGTCAAGGCTGCAGTGAGCTGTGATCATGCCACTACACTCCAGCCTGCTGAGTGACAGAGTGAGACTCTGTCTCAAAAAAAAAAAGTCGCTTGCCGGGCGTAGTGGCTCGTGCCTGTAATCCCAGCACTTCGGAGGCCAAGGTGGGCAGATCACCTGAGGTCAGGAGTTGGAGACCAGCCTGACAAACATGGAGAAACCCTGTCTCTACTAAAAAATACAAAATTAGCTGGGCATGGTGGCGCATGCCTATAATCCTAGCTACTCTGGAAGCCAAGGCAGGAGAATCACTTGAACCTGGGAGACGGAGGTTGCGGTGAGGCAAGATTGCGCCATTGCACTCCAACCTGGTCAACAAGAACGAAACTCCATCTCAAAAAAAAAAAAAGTCGCTGTAAGAGATATTTGTTGTGGTCGGGCACAGTGGCTCACGCCTGTAATACCAGCACTTTGGGAGGCCAAGGCGGGCGGATCATGAGGTCAGGAGATTGAGACCATCCTGGCTAACACGGTGAAACCCCGTCTCTACTAAAAATACAAAAAATTAGCCGGGCGCGGTGGCAGGCGCCTGTAGCCCCAGCTACTCAGGAGGCTGAAGCAGGAGAATGGCGTGAACCAGGGAGGCGGAGCTTGCAGTGAGCCGAGATTGTGCCACTGCACTCCAGCCTGGGTGGCAGAGCGAGACTCTGTCTCAAAAAAGAAAAAAAAAAAGAAAGATATTTGTTGTTTTCTCTTTAGTTAGAAATCTGTTGTTGTTGTTGTTGTTTTTGAGATGGACTCTTGCTCTGTCATCCAGGCTGGAGTCCAGTGGCATTATCTCGGCTCACTGCAACCTCCGCCTCCAGGATTCAAGCAATTCTCCTGCCTCAGCCTCCTGCATAGCTGGGATTATAGGCATGTGCCAACAGTACTGGCTAATTTTTTATATTTTTGGTAGAGATGGGAATTCACCATGTTGGCTAGGCTGGTTTCGAACTCCTGACCTCAAGTGATCCACCCACCTCAGCCTCCCAAAGTGCTGGGATTACAGGCGTGAGCCATGCGCCCAGCCGAAATATTGTTTGCTATTGCAATTGTACTAATCTTTGTTACACTGTAGGTGGATTTGTAAAATATTGGGAGTTAACTTTGCTGCCCTCTGTGTATTTTTTAATATTTATTTATTTATTTATTTTGAGACGGAGTCTCTGTTGCCCAGGCTGGAGTATAGTGGTGTGATCTCGGCTCACTGCATCCTCTGCCTCCAGGGTTCAAGTAATTCTCATGCCTCAGCCTCCCAAGTAGCTGGGACTATAGGTGTACACCACCATGCCCAGCTAATTTTTGTATTTGTAGTAGACACGAGATTTCACCATGTTGGCCAGGCTGGTCTCGAACTCCTGACCTCAAGTGATCCACCCACTTTGGCCTCCCAAAATGCTGGGATTATAGGTGTGAGCCACTGTGCCAGGCCTTTTATTTTATCTATCTATGTATCTATGTATGTGTGTGTGTGTGTCTGTCTGTCTGTCTCTCTGTCTGTCTATATCTATCTATCTATCTATCTATCTATCTATCTATCTATCTATCTATCTTTTGAGACGGTCTCACTCTGTTGGCCAGGCTGGAGTGCAGTGGTGCTCTCACACCTCACTGCAACTTCGCCTCCCAGGGCTCAAGCAATCCTCCCACCTCTGCCTCCCCAGTAACTGGGACCACAAGTGCACGCCACCACGCCTGGCTAATTTTTGTATTTTTTGTACAGATGGGTTTCGCCATGTTGCCCAGGCTGTTCTCAAACTTCTGGGCTCAAACAATCCACCCACCTCCCCACCTCAGCCTCCCAAAGTGCTGGGAATACAGTCGTGAGCCACTGTTCCCAGCCTGTATGGGTTTTTTTTAAATAAATAAATAAAATATTGGGGTTTTCTGTTTTTGTGGGGTTTTTTTGTTTGTTTTTTTTTTTGAGATGGAGTCTCGCTCTGTCTCCCAGGCTAGAGTGCAGTGGTGTGATCTTGGCTCACTGCAACCTCCACCTCCCAGGTTCAAGCGATTCTCCTGTCTCAGCCTCCCTAGTAGCTGGGACTGCAGGCGCGTGCCGCCATGCCCAGCTAATTTTTTGTATTTTTAGTAGAGACGGGGTTTCATTGTGTTAGCCAGGATGGTCTCGATCTCCTGACCTTGTGATCCACCCGCCTCAGCCTCCCAAAGTGCTGGGATTATAGGTGTGAGCCACTGCGTCCAGCCTGTTTTTGTGTTTTAAATAGAGTTGAGGTCTCATTGTGTTGCCCAGGCTGGTCTTGAATTCCTAGCCTCAAGCGATCCTCCTGCCTTGGCCTCCCAAAGTGCAGGGATTACAGGCATGAACCACCACACACAGCCTAAAATATTGTTTTGTTTTTGTTTTTTTCGAGGCAGGGTCTCGCTCTGTTACCCAGGCTGGAGTGCAGTGGCATGATCTCGGCTCACTGCAACCTCTGCCTCCCAGGTTCAAGTGATTCTCCTGTCTCAGCGTCCCAAGAAGCTGGGATTACAGGCGCCCACCACCATGCCTGGCTAATTTTTGTATTTTTAGTAGAGATGTGGTTTCACCATATTGGCCAGGCTGGTCTTGAACTCCTGACCTCAAGCGATCCGTCTGCCTCGGCCTCCCAAAGTTCTGGGATTACAGGCGTGAGCCACTGCGCCCAGCCCATTATTATACTTTCTGACAAAATGTATATATGTATAGTCCTGACAGCCTGAGGTGGAAGAAAGGTAGTTAACTTAGATACAAATAACTGCTTGCCCATTTAGGAATCTAAGACTAAGCAATTAACATTCTCACATGTATCTCCCTGCACATGTGTACACATATCTGAGAAGTGCCTGGTTTGGTTAACTGTCTTCTGATCAGAATCCATTACTTACTAAGCCAGGCACAGTGTTGTGTACCTGTAGTCCCAGCTACTTGGGAGGCTGAGGTGGGGAGATCACTTGACCCCAGGAGTTCAAAGCCAGCCTGGACAACATTGGGGGACCCTATCTCAAAATAAAACAGAAGGAATCCATGACTTGCTAGAGTCAAGGTATCTTTCATATGCCTGCCTTCCATCTTGCGTATTCCTCCCGTGTCTCTCCATTAACTTAAATCCTACCTCTCTTTCAGGTCCTAGACATTTTTGCTGCAAAATAATCTTTGATCACTCCTGCCTACTGTGATCTCCCCTTCTTACCTTGAAATTTATGTGGCACTTGTCTTCTGTAGTTTCATCAAGCACATTTCATATGCTCATATGCTGTCTTGAACTGTAGACTTTTTATTTTTATTTTATTTTTTTTTGAGACACAGTTTCAACTTATGTCACCCAGGCTGGAGTGCAGTGGCGCAATCTCAGCTCACTGCAACCTTAGCCTCCTGAGCTCAAGTGATTCTCCAGCCTCAGCCTCCCAACTAGCTGGGACTAGACAAACGCCACCATGCCCAGCTAATTTTTGTATTTTCTGTAGAGATGGGGTTTCACCATGTTGCACAGCCTGGTCTTGAACTCCTGAGCTCAAGTGATCTGTCTGACTCAGCCTCCCAGAATGCTGGGATTACAGGTGTGAGCCACTGCACCTGTCCTTGAAATGTAGACTTTTTATTCCTATGTATTTTGTTGTTGTTGTTGTTGTTGTTGATATTGTTGTTTTTGGGACATAGTGTCACTCTGCTGCCCAGGCTGGAATGCAGTGGTACA
This sequence comes from Homo sapiens, assembly GCF_000001405.40. Classification (NCBI taxonomy): domain Eukaryota; kingdom Metazoa; phylum Chordata; class Mammalia; order Primates; family Hominidae; genus Homo; species Homo sapiens. The sequence goes on along the minus strand of NC_000003.12, from coordinate 48,766,170 downwards.
ATCACAACTCACTGCAGCTTTGACCTCTCAGGCTCTGGTGAGCCTTTCACCTCAGCCACCCAAGTACAGACAAGTGCCACCATGCCCAGCTAACTTTTTTTGTGTATTTTTTCGTAGAGAGCGTGTTTCACCATGTTGCCTAGGCTGGTCTCATACTCCTGGGCTCAAGCAATTTGCCCACCTTAGCCTCCCAAAATGCTAGGAGTACAGGCAGTGAGCCACTGCATTCAGCCAACCTTCATATTTTGATATTTTATATTATCTCCCCATTAAGATTGTAAACTTTTTTAGGGTAAGAACAATCTAATTGTTCTTTTTTTAGGCAAGAACAATCTAATTGTTTTGGATTTTTTAAGTTTTTTTAAATCCTGGATTCTAAGGATTAAATGATTGTTTTATTCTCTCTTTTGGTGAGGTGTCTCTTTTTTTTTTTTTTTTTTTTTTTTGAAATGAGGGTCTCACTCTGTCACCCAGGCTGGAGTGCAGTGACATGATCTCGGCTCACTAGAGGTGTCTTTTTTGATATTGAACAGTGACAGTGAGCTCATAAATGTTTAGGTGTTTTCTGTTTTGGGTTCTATTTATGACCCATAGGTGGCACCTATTGAGTGCTAGATAGCAAGCAACAGCATGTGGGCATCTGGCTGGCTCAGGCTATAGGTCCTTTACTTCCAGTGATGACTCAAGATTGAAGTATCATTAAACACTTAATTAACACAGTAACTTACATATTCCTCTAATATTTGCTTTGGCCAGTTAATTAAACCATAGATGTTCCTGTATATAGGCATTTACTAGAATTTTCATATTCTTTCTTGTAGGACCGGGTGACTTTTAGAAGAATCATAGTGAAAAATAATGCAAAGAAGAGGAAGATGTTTGAATCATTTATTGAGTCTGTGCCCCTCCTTAAATCACTAGAGGTAAAGTGGCTTGAATAAGAATCTGTTCATGGGGATCAGGAAAAGCTTTTAAAACTATTCTGTTGTTAGGTTTTCAAATCATACTATTCTAATCCTATTTCTGTGCTGCATAGCTATTGTGACTTTCAATTAAGGTCTTTTCCTTTTATTTGTGAATTTGTTGTTTCAGGTGTCAGAACGAATGAAGATTGTGGATGTAATAGGAGAGAAGATCTATAAGGATGGAGAACGCATAATCACTCAGGTGAGTGAGGGCTTTACGCAGCTCCTTTCCTGGAAGTCACCCCTGAAGAACTAGTACATCATTTATCTCAAAAACTTCTTGCCGGACGCAGTGGCTCACGCCTGTAATCCCAACACTTCGGGAGGCTGAGGCAGGTGGATCACTTGAGGCCAGGAGTTCAAGACCAGCCTGGCCAACATGGTAAAACTCCATCTCTACTAAAAATACAAAAATTAGCTGGGTGTGGTGGCCCATGCCTGTAATCCCAGCTACTTGGGAGGCTGAGGCGGGAGAATTGCTGGAACCCAGGAGGCAAAGGTTTCAGTGAGTCGAGATTGCGCCACTGCCTCCAGCCTGGGCAACAGAGCAAGACTCCATTTCAAAAAAAAACCAAAAAACCTTCTATGTTCTCCCACTGTTGGGAGCTCTTATTACCAGGTAATAGATCATACTTCAGAGGACTATTATGTAGTCCTCTGAAGCTTATTGACGTCCGTCTTACTGACACGTGCAGATCTCTTGCTTCCTCTCACCTTTCCTTGGCTTCTAGTGTTTGTTCTTTTGATGTCATTTTCTTTTGACCTTAAGTAAGTTTCATCCATTGCTATTAGAACCTGGGGAAGGTTAAAGAGTTCTGTCCTCTAACTTTCTATATTTGACACAAAGGCATCCTTTTGGCTAATCTAACACAAATCAGAGTTCACAGTCTTCAGTGATTAACCAAATTTGTAAGATGTAAAGATTACTAAACAGTGGGCTAGATCATTGTAATGAGTACTGTCTGATAATTTTCTTTGTCCGCTGTGTTTGTATTTTTAATTAAACATAAATAGTATTGGACTTTTCCAGGTATAAGCTTATCTGCCTATGGTTCTGGCTCAAGAGCACGGAGAAGATACATGGTTGGTCTAGGTTGGGTGATATGCTTATCCTAGAACCCAGTACTGAGACTACGAGGAGGAAAGGCTCAGATTGGTCAGGTGTGGGTCCTGTGGGTGGAGTTGGCCCCACTAGAACACAAGGACTAATCAGACTTACCATAAAAGGGGAGAAAAAAGCTCCCTTGGAAGAGATAAAGGACTAACAAAAATATGATGTCTACTCTGAGTCACATCTCTAAATGTATTTGTTTTCTAGGAGCCGTTACTATTAATAATTCTTTTAATTAGAAATTGGAATATTCTATAAACATTTATTAAGATAGGTAGGACCAGATATGATAAGCACTATAATGAAGGAGAGTATGAACGACAGTGAGAACATAGAAATGGAAGTAATACATATGGTTTCATTGAGGAAATGCCATTTGAGATGGGCTTAAAAAACAAGTGCAATTTCAATGTTTGGGATCAGGGAAAGGTCCTTCAGAGCAAGAAAACAATATTAGCAAAGGCCAGTGGTGTGAGCTGTGTTTCAGAGCAGGTATCCTGGTATGGTAAGAATGTAGTGCTGAGATTCAGAAATGGGAGATGTTAACTGGCCACATTTGCTTCTGAACCTAAGGTGCTTTAAGTAACATTCAAAGGACCTTCAAGTCATCCTGAAGGTTCTAGGCCTGTCTCATACTGGGTTTTCAGGAAGTATGTCAGGAGATGTGAGAAGTCAATAGTGTTTTCTTCATGGTCTGTGCTCTTGAAGATAGAGTGCTATCTATCTTCAAGGTAGATAGGTAGTGGTACAGAATGGACATTAATTAAGATGATATTAAAAGGGGCTTATTGTAGGTCCCTTTTGTCAATGTCTCTCACTGGACCAAGGCTTCTCAAAGTGAGGTCCCAGGACCAGCAGCAATCAGCATCATCTGAGGATGTTAGAATTGTTAGGAATGCAAGTTCTGGAGCCCCCCACCAGACCTGCTGAATCAGAAACTACATTTTATGTTGTTTCATTTGTTTTGATCAGCTTTGTTACAGTGTATTTTACATACAATAAAATTACTAAGTTTAAGTGTACAAATCGGAAGAGTTTTGTAACCATCCCCAAGTGGTATTTCCATCACCCATACAGTTCCTTGTTTTGTATTTGCAGTCAGTACCCTCCCCCACACTCACATTCCTGGAAACCATTGATGTTTTCTGTCACTGTAGAAATTCCTTTCTACAATTTAGTATAAATGAAATCATGTAATGTATAGTCTCTGTGTCTGGCTTCTTTCTCTTAGCATAATATTTTTGAGATTTATTCGTGTTGTATGTATCAGTAGATCGTTCCTTTTTATTGCTAATAATATTTCATTGTACAAATGTAATTTTTTTTTCTTTTTGAGACGGAGTTTTCCTCTTGTTGCCCAGGCTGGAGTGCAATGGCGCAATCTCAGCTCACCATAACCTCCACCTCCCAGGTTCAAGCTATTCTCTTGCCTCAGCCTCCCATTACTTTTTCTTTTTAATGAGATACAGTCTTGCCCTGTTGCCCAAGCTGGAGTACAGTGGCATAATCTCAGCTCACTGCAACCTCTGCCTCCCAGGTTCAAGCGATTCTTGTGCCTCAGCCTCCCGAGTAGCTGGGACCAGAGGCACGTGTCACTCTGCCCAGCTAATTTTGTGCATGTGTGTGTTTTTTTAGTAGAAATGGGATTTCACCATGTTGGCCAGGCTGGCCTCCTTAGTAAATACTTAAGAGTGCAATTGCTAAATTATATTTTAACTTCATAACAAACTGTTTCTTAAAATGGCTGTACTGTCTTGTATTCCTACCAGCCATGTATGAAAATTCCAGTTTCTCTGCATTCTCACCAATAAATAGTATTTACAGCCTTTTTTAAAAAAATTACAGTCAGGGTCTTGCTATATTGCCCAGCCTGGTCTCGAACTCCTGAGCTCAAGCCATCTGCCCGCCTTGGCCTTCTAAGTGCTGGGATTATAGGTGTGCACCTCCGCACCTGGCCTTCATTTTCTTAATGGTATCTTTTGAAGAGAAAATGGTTTTAATTTTGACAAGTCCAGTTTATCATCTTTTCTTCTTTGTAGTTGTGTACTTTTGCTGCTGTATTTTAGGAAATCTTTGCAAAATCAATAATATGTTCTCCTAAGTTTACTTCTAAGACCAGCACTATTCAATAGAAATAATATGTGAGCCACATATGTAATTTTAAAAATTTTTGGTCAGGCAGGGTGGCTCACGCCTGTAATCCCAGCACTCTGGGAGGCTGAATAGCTTGAGGCAGATAACTTGAGGCCAGGAGTTCGAGACCAGCCTGGCCAACATGGCGAAACCTCGTCTCTACTAAAAAGTAATAAAAAAAATTAGCTGAGTTTGCTGGTGCACAACTGTAATCCCAGCTACTTGGGAGGTTGAAGCACGAGAATCGTTTGAACTTGGGAGGCAGAGGTTGCAGTGAGCCAAGATCATGCCACTTGCATTCTAGCCTGGGGGACAGAGCAAGACTTGGTCTCAAAAAAAATAAATAAATAAAAACTTTCAGTAGATATTTGAAATGGTGAACTTAATTTTAATATATTTCATTTAACTCAGTATATCTAAAATGTTGTTTCAACATCTAAGTGATATAAAACTTTATTAATGAGATATTTTACATTTTTAATACTGTCTTCAAAATCTAATGTATGTTTTCCATCTATAGCACATCTAAGTTTATACTAGCAACATTTCAAGTGCTCAGCCACATTTGACTCGTGGCTAATGTATTGAGCAGTACAGCTCTAGACAGTCAGAATTTTAGCTCTTACCTTAGGTCTGTGATCCATTTTGAGTTATTTTTATTGTTTTTGTTTTGTTTTTTTGAGATGGAGTCTCCCTCTGTCACCCAGGCTAGAGTGCAGTGGTGTGATCTCGGCTCACTGCAAGCTCCGCCTCCTGGGTTCACGCCATTCTCCTGCCTCAGCCTCCCAAGTAGCTGGGACTACAGGCGCCCGCCACCACGTCCGGCTAATTTTTTGTGTTTTTAGTAGAGACAGGTTTCACCGTGTTAGCCAGCATGGTCTCAGTCTCCTGACCTCGTGATCCTCCTTCCTCTGCCTCCCAAAGTGCTGGGATTACAGGTGTGAGCCACTGCACTCAGCCTTGTTTTTGTTTATTAGAAGCAAGGTCTCACTCTGTCTTTCAGGCTTCAGTACAGTGTGCAATCATAGCTCACTGCAGCCTTGAACTTCTAGGCTCAAGCAATACTCTTCCCTTAGCCTTCCAAGTAATGCCACCACACTAAGCTAATTTTTTTTTTTTTTTTTTTGAGACGGAGTTTTGCTCTTGTTGCCCAGGCCAGAGTGCAATGCCACGATCTCAGCTCACCACCACCCCCGCCTCCTGTGTTCAAGCGATTCTCCTGCCTCAGCTTCCTGAGTAGCTGGGATTACAGGCATGCACCACCATGCCCAGCTAATTTTTTTTTTTTTTTTTTTAGTAAAGACAGGGTTTCTCCATGTTGGTCAGGCTGGTCTGTGAACTCCCTACCTCAGGTGATCCGCCCACCTCAGCCTCGGCCTCCCAAAGTGCTGGGATTACAGGTGTGAGCCACTGCGCCCGGCCTACACCCAGCTAATTTTTAAATTTTTTGTAGAGACAGGGCCTCTCTATGTTGCCCATGCTGGTCTTGAACTTCTGACCTCAAGTGATCCTCCCACCTCACCTCCCAAGTAGCTAAGATTACAGGCTTGTGCCACCATACCTGACTACATTTTTGTGTTTTGTTTTGTTTTGTTTTGTTTTTTGAGACAGAGTCTTGCTCTTGTTGTCCAGGCTGGAGTGCAATGGCACAATCTCGGCTGACTACAACCTCCACCTCCCCAGTTCAGGTGATTCTTCTGCCTCAGCCTCCCGAGTAGCTGGAACTACAGGCATGCATCACCATGCCCGGCTAATTTTTTTTTATTTTTAGTAGAGAACAGGGTTTTTGCCTGTTGGCCATGCTGGTCTCAAGCTTCTGACCTCAGGTGATCTGTCCGCCTTGGCCTTCCAAAGTACTGGGATGGCGTGAGCCACCACACCTGGCCTACATTTTTGTTTTTTAATGACTTGTATAATTTTCACAAGTAATTTTCATGATTGATAGAATATTTAGCTTATTCTTAGAGTAATGTAGACAGAAGGTGGCTTTAGTTTTACAAAATCATGTTTTATGTTTTTGCTATTAAAGTACCATTGCATTAAACCAAAAAGATTCCCATATCCTGAAAATTAGGGCTTCAGTCATTCTTATGGTGGAATGTGGATCTTATATTATCTGTTGTGAAAAAGAGACATATAAGAACCTGATGACATGTTCACAAAGACCTAAAATGCAGTACAGTCTGGCTTCTTTACTGTTGAATGTAGAATGGAATGTTCTTTCTGTGAGATGTGTACACAGAGCCTATTAGTGAACTTGAAAAGCAGGATACTTGGCCGGGCGCAGTGGCTCATGCCTGTAATCCCAGCACTTAGGGAGGCCGAGGCAGGCGGATCACCTGAGGTTGGGGGTTCGAGACCAGCCTGACCAACATGGAGAAACCCTGTCTCTACTAAAAATACAAAATTAACTGAATGTGGTGGCACGTGCCTGTAAATCCCAGCTACTCAGGAGGCTGAGGCAGGAGAATCACTTGAACCCAGGAGGTAGAAGTTGTGGTGAGCCAAGATCGCGCCATTGCGCTCCAGCCTGGGCAACAAGAGTGAAACTCCGTCTCAAAAAAAAAAAAAAAAAAAGGGGCAGGATGCTCTTCCAGTGAGCTCTCTTTTCCAACTGGGTAGTCATCTCATTCTACCCTGCAAAATGACAGCAGTCCTACAAAGCCTGAACAGCCAGTATACCCAGAATATCCACCACTGGACAGCATGGAAACAGGAAATGTGTGTCTTGGCCCACACATTTAGCCTGTCCCAGCCTAACCAGGCTGTTTCATGAGATTGGAAATGCAAAAGAGTGCATCCCTTAACTGCCACAAAGATCAACTGTTTTCAGCTGATGGTTAAAATCATCAAAACATGGTTTTATTTTAAATTTTATCCCCTTGCATTGTTTCACATTATCATAATCCATTGTAGTGAAGTATTACCAAATCAGTAAAATTTAATGGACCAAAGTCCTTTCACTGTCCTTCATTTGGTCCAGAGGAAGAGGTGAACCAAGGCTTTTTGTTTCTCATGTATTCTAGATGACATTCTTTCCCATCTCCTCTCAACCCTGAATCTACCAACTACTCACGCTACCTGCTAGGGAAAGATTATTTATCCCCCAGGCTTCTGAGGAAAGTCATCCACAAAATTGGATAGTAATAGTACCTACTTTCTTAGACTTCTTTGGCAAAAAAAATGAAATGATACACATAAAGTACTCACCAGAGAGCCTGCTGGGAGTGAGCACACAGCAACATTAGCAGCTTCTATTCTATATGAGCTCCCCTGTTCATTCTCCTCAGGCCCTAAGTCATTCTTATCCTGTACACATACCCTAGTCTCTGCTGTCTTCTTCATTTTGTTTTCCTTTTCTCTTTTTTTTTTTTTTTTTTTGAGACAGTCTTGCTCTGTCGCCCAGGCTGGAGTGCAGTGGCACAATCTCGGCTTACTGCGACCTCCACCTCCTGGGTTCAAGCGATTCTCGTGCCTTAGCCTCCTGAGTAGCTGGGATTACAGGCACACACCACCACGCCTGGCTAATTTTTTGTAGTTTAGGTAGAGATGGGGTTTCGCCGCCATGTTGCCCAAGCTGGTCTCGAACTCCTGAGCTCAGGCAGTCTGCCTGCCGTGGCCTCCCAAAGTGCTAGGATTATAGGCATGAGCCACTGCACCAGGCCATTTTTTTTTCCTTTTTTCTTTTTTTCTTTTTTTTTTTTGAGATGGAGTCTGACTCTTTTGCCCAGGCTGGAGTACAGTGGTGCAACCTCGGATCACTGCAACCTCCACCTCCCAGGTTTAAGTGATTCTTGTGCCTCAGTCTCCCAAGTAGCTGGGATTACAGTTGTGCACCACCACTCCTGGCTAATTTTTGTGTATGTATGTATGTATGTATGCATGTATGTATTTTATTTATTTTTGAGACAGAGTTTCGTTCTTGTCGCCCAGGCTGGAGTGCAATGGCGTGATCTCGGCTCACTGCAACCTCTGCCTCCCGGGTTCAAGCTATTCTTCTGCCTCAGCCTCCCAAGTAGCTGGGATTACAGGCATGCATCACCACACCTGGCTAATTTTTGTATTTTTAGTAGAGATGGGGCTTCACCATGTTGGTCAGGCTGGTACCAAACTCCTGACCTCAGGTGATCCACTCACCTCAGCCTCCCAAAGTGCTGGGATTACAGGCGTGAGCCACCACACCTGGCCTGTTTTTGTATTTAGTAGAGACAAGGTTTCACCATTTTGCCCAGGCTGGTGTCGAACTCCTGGCCTCAAGCAATCCACCCCCCTCAGCCTCCCAAAGTGCTGGGATTACAGGTGTGAGCCACCGTGCCTGGCCTTTGCTGTCTTCAAAACACACGTACACTCCTTCCTTCAGTTTGTTTCTATTTTAGCTACCAGCCTAATTTCTTGCATAGCCAGAGACTTTCAAAGTGTGATCTAACAATATGGACTAAAATAAGCCAGATACAAAAAATATATGATTCCATTTATATTAAGTTAAGGAATGGCCAAAACCTACAAGGACAGAAATTAGATATAGTTACTTCATGGGTGGGAATGTGGTAGTTTTGACTGAACTCCGGAGGGAGCCTTTTGAAGAACGGATATATTTTCTATTTTGATCTAGGAGGTGGTTATACAGGTTTATACATTTGTAAAAAGTCATCAAGCCTTGAAATGTGACCACTTTAAATGGTGGATGTTATACACCTATCTAAACAAAAAGGGCTCAAGCACTATCCTTCACCACCTATCACTTGCAGATCTTTCCTACCACACAGATCTTCCCTTTTCACCACCCTCTTCTTGGTGAAGTACCTCTCCCTCTTTGTGACTCTGCCTCTGGCTCCTACTAAGTTTCTTTCATGGCTGTTCATCCTTTGTCAGCTCCTATCATGAAGCTGTTTGTGTAATGCTAGAACTTCATGGTGATTTGGCTCTGCTGGTTGTTAAGATACCTACCCAACATAGCAGGGCAGAAACCCACAGGCACCCCTTTGTAAAGCTGTGGCATTTACTCATATGGGGCAGTGATACGTCCTGGGACTAGATTAACTCAGAAACATCAGCCTAGCTGTGTATGGTGCCCACTTGGGGCTCTGTGTGATGGTCAAAGGGCATGAAGTTTGTGAAAGCCTCAGAAGTAGATTCTCAGTGAAGACAAAAGACCCACACAGAGTGAGAGTGCATGAGTAATAATGCGTTATCTGATGTAGATGGTGTTTGTTCCACAAGTTAATAGTGAGGGGTCAGAAACTGAAGTGTGCCTGAAAGCTGCTTCGCGTATATCTGCATGCCTGACTCAGACGTCCTCCCAATATTTGCTCAAATCTCACCTTCTCAAGCTCTTTTTTTTTTCCTTTTCCTAAGAGGCAAGGTCTCATTGCCTGCTCTGAATTTGTTTACTATTGATTCATTTGCAGAGTTAAAAAATAAATACAAATCAGAGCTTAAGCAGTGAAAAAGCAATCTATTTCTTTATTCCCCTTCAATACTACTTATGGCTCTGACCTGACCTCTCTTTTCTTTCAGGGTGAAAAGGCTGATAGCTTTTACATCATAGAGTCTGGCGAAGTGAGCATCTTGATTAGAAGCAGGGTGAGTTTATCAGTTTATATGTGATGGTGTACACACAAAAAGTAACTATTTGTTTTAAATAATGTGAAGTGTGTTGAATACACCAAACCATCATTGTTATGTGAGGTGTGTGACTGGCAAAGACCCATGTTTAAGCCCATTTAGTATAGATTTAGCATATTTAGATTAGATTAGATATAGATTTAGCATATTCTTATTCTTGCTCCCTTTGCCTCTGCTGTGTAATTAATGATTTAGGGAATATTGGCCTACAAATCAATAAGAAAAAGATAAAAACCCTAATAGAAAATGGGGGCTGGGGCCGGGCACAGTGGCTCACGCCTGTAATCCCAGCACTTTGGGAGGGCAAGGCGGGCGGATCACAAGATCAGGAGATTGAAACCATCCTGGCTAACACGGTGAAACCCTGTCTCTACTGAAAATACAAAAAAAATTAGCCAGGCATGGTGGCGGGCGCCTGTAGTCCCAGCTACTCAGGAGGCTGAGGCAGGAGAATGGCATGAACACCGGAGGCAGAGCTTGCAGTCAGCTGAGATCGTACCACTGCACTCCAGCCTGGGCGACAGAGCGAGACTCCGTCAAAAAAAAAAAAAAAAAAGGAAATGGGGGCTGGGCGCAATGTCTCACACCTGTAATCCTAGCACTTTGGAGGCCTAGGCAAGAGGATCTCTTGAGCCCAAGAGATTGAGGCTGCAGTGAACCGTGATTGTGCCACTGCACTCCAGCCTGGGTGACAGAGCAAGACCCTGTCTTTAAAAAAAAAAAAAAAGGAAAGAAAATAGGGAAATTATATAATAAAAAGAGATTGGAAGGGATGAACATGAAGAAAGCTTCCTTGTTAGAGCACTGTTAGAAGAGGTCTCTAGGATAACTGTGGTCATTTAATGGATGGTGTGACCTAGAAAACTGAGGAGCTGTAAGTAGGAGGAATGACTGTTACTGGTAAATCTGTCATCACCAGATTTTTCGGTTTCTTTTTTTTCTTTTTTGAGAATACAGAGTGTGTTAAAACAGTTATATATAATACTAAGTCGAGTTAATATGAAAACTTTAGCAAAATATATTGAGTAAAAGTTAATAAGTAGCCGGGCACGGTGGCTCACACCTGTAATCCCAGCACTTTAGGAGGCTGAGGCGGGCAGATCACGAGGTCAGGAGATTGAGACCATCCTGGCTAACACAGTGAAACCCTGTCTCTAATAAAAATACAAAAAATTAGCCAGGCATGGTGGCGGGCGCCTGTAGTCCCAGCTACTCGGGAGGCTAAGGCAGGAGAATGGCGTGAACCCGGGAGGCAGAGCTTGCGTGAGCTGAGATCACACCACTGTACTCCAGCCTGGGCAACAGAGCAAGACTCTGTCTCAAAAAAAAAAAAAAAAAAAGTTAATAAGTATGGAAAAAGAAGAATATTACTGTCTGTAAGATAGCTGGATTTGTTTTCTCTCTCTCTCTTTTTTTTTTTTTGAGTGAGTCTTGCTCTGTTGCCCAGGCTGGAATGCAGTGGTGCAATCTCAACTCACTGCAACCTCCAACCCCCTAGTTTCAATCGATTCTCGTGCCTCACCCTACTGAGTAGCTGAAGGTAGCTTGATTCTTTTTTATTTTAAGCTAGAGTGTCGCTCTTGTTGCCCAGGCTGGAGTGCAGTGGCGTGATCTCAGCTTACTGCAACCTCCGTCCCTGGGTTCAAGCGATTCTCCTGCCTCAGCCTCGCAAGTAGCTGGGACTATAGGCTCCCACCACCAAGCCCAGCTAATTTTTTGTACTTTTAGTAGGGACAGGGTTTCCCCATGTTGGCCAGGCTGGTCTGGAACTCCTGACCTCAGGTGATCCTCCTGCCTCTGCCTCCCAAAGTGCTGGGATTACAGGCATGAGCCACCGGCGCCCATGTGATAGCTTGATTCTTAATTAAAAGTAGATCTTTGAGACCAGCCTGACCAACATGGAGAAACCTCATCTCTACTAAAAATACAAAATTAGCCGGGCGTGGTGGCACATAGCTGTAGTCACAGCTACTCAGGAGGCTGAGGCAGGAGAATCGCTTGAACCCGGGAGGCGGAGGTTGCAGTGAGCTGAGATCGCACCATTGCACTCCAGCCTGGGCAACAAGAGCCAAACTCTGTCTCAAAAAAAAAAAAAGAAAAAAGTAGATCTGTTGTTTCAACTGAAAACAATAGTTTTGGCCTGGCATGGTGGCTCACGCTTGTAATTCCAGCACTTTGGGAGGCCGAGGCAGGCGGATCACGAGGTCAGGAGATCGAGACCATCCTGGCTAACATGGTTAAACCCCGTCTCTACTAAAAAACACAAAAAATATTAGCCAGGTGTGGTTGCGGGCACCTGTAGTCCCAGCTACTCAGGAGGCTGAGGCAGGAGAATGGCATGAGCCCAGGAGGCAGAGCTTGCAGTGAGCTGAGATCACACCACTGCACTCCAGCCTGGGCAACAGAGTGAGACTCTGCTCAAAAAAAAAAAAAAAAGAAAACAATAGTTTGAAATGTCTGTGTCATTTTACTTACAGTTTTTGGACTAGTGATGTTTGTAGATTTCTCAGATATTCATTGACACCTGCTATGATCACAGCATAGTGTTAGGTGCATAAGATCAGCAGCAGCATGGCACTGGGATATTGGGGATGGGTGGTTTGTCAGAAGTTCAGAGTCCTGGCTTTTCCCCAGATTTACTGAATCAGAATGTGCATTGCGAGAAAACCTGCGTAATACGGGAGCTGGTGTGTATGTGACAGTGTGATAAGTCCCTTCTGTTTTAGAGAAGGGACTAAGTGGGCACGAATATGGCTGCAACTCCAGAGAATACTACTGAAATTGGAAAGGGAAAGTTGGCTCAGATGAAACAGACCAACTTCAGAGCAACAGGGCAGAAGTGTAGAAGGAAGAAGGGTCAAACCGTGTAAGCTAGTGTAGCAGTTTTGTTTCTTTTAAAAATTAACCAAAAAGGAAATTATCTTTCTGCCTACAACATAAAGTGGTTCTTAGAGATTGAGACTAATTCTTACTAATAAATTCTAAACAATTATTTACTTAAATTATCACTTTGGTTAGCAGTTGGATTTGTTAAAAAAAAAAACCTCTAGATATTAATATAATGTAGTATATTATCTTAAATTTAGTTACTTAACTCTTATTTTAAAAAATGGGAGGGGGGAGTGCCTATAATCCCAGCACTTTGAGAGGCCGAGGCGGGCAGATTATGAGGTCAGCAGATGGAGACTATACTGGCGAACATGGTGAAACCCTGTCTCTGCTAAAAATACAAAAAAATTAGCCAGGCGTGGTGGCGGGCGCCTGTGGTCCCAGCTACTTGGGAGGTTGAGGCAGGAGAATGGCATGAACCTGGGAGGCAGAGCTTGAAGTGAGCGGATATTGCGCCACTGCACTCCAGCCTGGGCGACAGAGCGAGACTCCATCTCAAAAAAAAAAAAAAAAAAAAAAAAAAAAAAAAAAGGAGGAGGGAACCACTAACTTAAGGTACAAATAGTACTTAAAAAGAAATTTGTTGGCCAGGAGCAGTGAATCACTCCTGTAATCCGAGCACTTTGGGAGGCCAAGATGGGAGGATTGCTTGAGGCCAACAGTTGAAGGCTGCATGAGCTGTGATCATTCCTCTGAACTCCAGCCTTGGTGACAGAGTGAGACCCTGTCTCTTAAAAAAAAATGTGGGGGGCATGGGGGATTTTGTCACTGTAAAATGTTGTTCAAGGCGCAGTCTCAAATCAGAGAAATAGCCCAAGTTTGTGGCTCATTACCTAAGAGAAGCATTGTCCTTATTTAGACAAGATTGGGCATGTTCAGAATGGTATGGCTGTAGATTACCTTGAAAATGTTAGGACTCCGAGCTCTAGGTAAAAAGCAGACTTTTCTGATCAAACCAGACCACTGAGATTAGTCCATGGAGTTTACATGGTACAGTTAGTGAATTTTCTGCAAAGTGAATTCCTCAGTAATTGTGTAGAGTATGCTGAGAACAGTGTATGTGTGTGCAACTGGACATGCCCAGCTGTGATCCTGGAGTCAGCCTAGGTCATGTTCTTTGCCTGCTGTAGACTAAATCAAACAAGGATGGTGGGAACCAGGAGGTCGAGATTGCCCGCTGCCATAAGGGGCAGTACTTTGGAGAGCTTGCCCTGGTCACCAACAAACCCAGAGCTGCCTCAGCTTATGCAGTTGGAGATGTCAAATGCTTAGGTAAGAAAAGTTCTTTATGCATTAATATTCTTTTTCTAACATGTAATATTTTTTTCCCATCAGCAAGCCTTGACATATTCTGCCATCTTTTACTGCTGTCTAGGCCTAGGCAGTTTATGTGACCAACCAGAGATGGATGAATGGATGCTTTCAGCAAACATTTCTGAGTACTGATGACAGCCTGTGAGCAAGACAGGCATGCAGGTTCTTTAGCCGTATGAAAAGAACTGATGTCCAGGGCTGTGGGAGAATGGGGAGAACAGGAGCTGCTGGACTCTGTAAAGTCTCTAACCTGGATGACAGTCTTCTGAATTCATATAGAAACATCCCTTTTTGCAAGTGGCTGGTGTCCCAAGGCGTAATCTCATACAACATGAATGGGTATGTTTAGGAAAAGGTTTGCATGAGGGAAATGGCTTGAATTCATTCTCTCCCTCACCTCTTTTTAACAATGCAGTTATGGATGTACAAGCATTCGAGAGGCTTCTGGGGCCCTGCATGGACATCATGAAGAGGAACATCTCACACTATGAGGAACAGCTGGTGAAGATGTTTGGCTCCAGCGTGGATCTGGGCAACCTCGGGCAGTAGGTGTGCCACACCCCAGAGCCTTCTTAGTGTGACACCAAAACCTTCTGGTCAGCCACAGAACACATACAGAAAACAGACATGACAGAACTGTTCCTGCCGTTGCCGCCACTGCTGCCATTGCTGTGGTTATGGGCATTTAGAAAACTTGAAAGTCAGCACTAAAGGATGGGCAGAGGTTCAACCCACACCTCCACTTTGCTTCTGAAGGCCCATTCATTAGACCACTTGTAAAGATTACTCCAACCCAGTTTTTATATCTTTGGTTCAAAACGGCATGTCTCTCCAACAATTTAAGTGCCTGATACAAAGTCCAAAGTATAAACATGCTCCTTTCCTCTCTTGCTGCTACTCTTGCTTTTGGAAGTTACCACAGGGTCTGCAGAAACCTGTTGTATAACTGTAGACACTCTCTAATGGTTCTCAAAGGAGGAAATGTAGCCTTCAGTCTCCTCATTTGTCCTTTGAGGAAGTCCACATTTGTTCACAGTTGCAGCCTTTGGTTTTACAGTGGGAAATGGTGGTGGATGATATGGACATATGTAGCCCAGTGGCATTGTACTTTCTGCTGACAGCTGCACACATTACAGCTGTCTCCAAACCCACAGTGATGCTTAGGGAAAGACCCTGCTCAGGACCCAGCAGGTCAGCACCCCAGAGCAGACTGATAGGTCCGTGGGACCCATGTTAGAGCAGAAAATTTGGGCTCAGCACATTTTACTGTTAGTAGAGAGCCAGGAAACGTTTTCTGGGTTGGGGATTTTGTGGGATTTTTTAATTTTTTTAGTAGGTTTTGTTTAACCTCTGTGCAGTTTGTATGAATGAATTGCTATACATTTATAAGGAGCCAGGGTCTGGAGGGTTGCTATCACTTTGTCCAGCCCAAATACCTTCCTGGGCAACTCCTACCATTTGTTTGCAGTTGCCTCTACTAGCTGATGGCAGTATGCTGGAAAGAGGTTGTACTATAAAGAGAGTTCTTTCCTTCTACTCCAGAGTTGTTGTGTAGCTTTGCCATTGAACCGATCAATTTTTAAACTCTTTAAAGAAGCAGCAGCTATTTTTTTGAAATTAAAGAAAATTCTCAGGCCAGGCTCAATGGCTCATGCCTATAATTGTAGTGCTTTGGGAGGCTGAGCTGGGAGGATCGCTTAAGACCAGCCTAGGCAACAGAGTGAGATCCTGTCTCTACAAAAACAAAAATTTTTTTTTTGTTTTCTTTTTGAGACGGAGTTTCGCTCTTGTTGCCCAGGCTGGAGTGCAATGGTGCGGTCTTGGCTCACCGCAACCTCCGCCTCCCAGATTAAAGTGATTCTCCTGCCTCAACCTCCTGAGTAGCTGGGATTACAGGCATGCGCCACCATGCCGGGCGAATTTTGTATTTTTAATAGAGACAGGGTTTCTCTGTGTTGGTCAGGCTGGTCTCAAACTCCCAACCTCAGGTGATCCGCCCACCTCAGCCTCTCAGAGTGCTGGGATTACAGATGTGAGCCACTGCACCTGGCAAAAAAAAAATTTTTTTTTAATTTGTCAGGTGTGGTGATGCATGCATGTAGTCCCAAATACTTAGGAGGCTGAGGTGGAAGGATCACTTGAGCCCAGGAGGTCAAGGCAACAGTGAGCTGTGATCATGCCACTGCACTCCAGTCTGGGTGACACAGTGAGACCCTGTCTCTTAAAAAAAAAAAAAGAAAGAAAAAAAATTATTCTTTAGGTAATTTCACTTGGACATATTCATGTATATGGAGTTTGTCAGCTGACTCAGGCATTTACCCTAAAGATCAAATCTGTTTTCAAAAATTGGCATTGGCCAGGCACGGTGACCCACACCTGTAATCCCAGCACTTTGGGAGGCCGAGGCGGGCGGATCACGAGGTCAGGGGTTCAAGACCAGCCTGGCCAACATAGTGAAACCCCGTCTCTACTAAAAATACAAAAAATTAGCTGGGCATGGTGGTGGGCGCCTGTAATCCCAGCTACTTGAGAGGCTCAGGCAGGAGAATCGCTTGAACCTGGGAGTGGAGGTTGCAGTGAGCCGAGATTGCACCATTGTATTCCACCCCGGGTGACAGTGCAAGACTCCATCTCAAAAAAAAAAAAAAAATTTGGCATCATTTACAATTTCATAGAATTACTGTGAAGGCCTTTCTAGTTGAGATGTTGGGGTATTTGGGATTCTAATTGTTAACCCCAGAAGAAGGTAATTTAGCTTGTATTTATTTAAAACCCATTTAGCCTTTTACTTATATCTGGTAGAATTCCAGTGATCATCCTAATAAGGTATATTTCAGAATAATTTTTTTTTCCTTCAGAATAACTTAGAATCAGATGCTATAAGGGCTCCTAGGAGCAGTGTGAAATTTCCGTAAAGATAAATTTGAATGTTGTAACCAAGTTTATATTAAACCAAGAGGCCATTTCCAATATGATTTTTTGTTTCTTTTTAACTTGTTAAGTCCCTAAGAGATTACATGCTAGGGCTTGAGTCATTTCTATTGTAGATAATGATGGCCCACACAGTCACCTTCAACTATCCACATAAGCTAGGCTTTCCGCTTTTGCCACGGACAGTGTGACCAAGATATTTCCAGAGTAAATAACCCACCACAACCTTGGTAATTCCTCTTTTCTTCTTAAGCTCCAGGAAGCGAAAGCAGAAGGACTCTTTTCAGACTGCCCTCTGTAGCCTACATTGCAGCTTTCCAAAACAGGCAGCTAGCACTGGGAAAGCCCATGTGGTGACCCCATATTTTTCTGAGGTTCTTCTTTTCCATGGTGTTACTTTATTATCAGAAAGTAAATTCAGAAAACAGGTCTTGCCCTTAGCAGACAAGAACCACACCAGTTTCTTGTAAAGGTAACGGATACATTGGGATTCAGGAGTGACACAGAGGTCCAGCCCCAGAACTTGTAAGGATTTTGTTTGAACACTGAGCAGATGCCTCCTCCCTGCCACCCATCACACTAGTTAGGGCTGGCCATGAATTCTATGCCAGAGTCACTCCTGCAGTCTGCTAGGGATGGGCCTTCTTATCCCACTCTCGCACACATCCCAGTCTAGTCTTTGCCTTCACAGAGTCCTCCTTGACACCCCTGACTTAATGATAGTTGCTGTTTTGGAGTAGAATTGATCAGGTTTAAGTCATCCTGCTCAGGTTGGGCATAGTGGCTCATGCCTGTAATCTCAGCACTTTGGGAAGCCAAAGTGGGAGGATTGCTTGAGCCCAGGAGTTCCAAACCATCCTGGGCAACAGAGGGAGACCCTGTCTCTACCAAGAAAAAAAAAAAAAAAAAAAGTTAAAAAAACAATTAGCTGGACCTGGTGGTGCACACTCAGTAGGCTGAGGTGAAAGGATTCCTTTAACCTGGGAGACTGAAGCTGCAGTGAGCCATGATCGTGCCACTGCACTCCAGTCTGGGGGACAAAGTGGGACCCTATCTCAAAAAAAAAAAAAAAAAGTCATCCTCCTCCAACTACTGATTGACATATGGATCATCAGTTCAGACCCTCACTGCATACAGGATCCCTAGAGGGTTCTATTTAATAGCTTGAGGAAGGGAGACTTTAAAAGGACGTGTGTGAGTGAAATAGGATATAGCCATTACCACGGTGCCAGGACCTGACAGCGTTCCAATTCTTTTTGCAGCATGGGGAATCAAAGGTGGCATGCCAAGTTCAACTCAGGGCTGAGGTATCCACATTGTCCACATCAGGCAAGCCCTGCACTGACGGTTGAGCCTCATGGAGAGGAGCATGTGTTGGAAAGAGATCCCTTTGTTAACTGTTTTGTGGTGTTCTCTTCAATGAATTAGAGCTCATGCCCCTTTTCTGGCTTTGCTGTTGATTTTGGATGGTAGAGAATATTCCTGAGAGCCTTCCTTTTGGCCCCCAGCTTATGCCACCCACTCTCTTCTCTTGGTTGAATTCTCTGAAGGAAAGGTTCATGTGCTATTGTCCTGTTAGTCAATAGTCTTCATATATAATTGTGTTACATATATTGCTGTAGACTCTCAGAAATCAGGGTAGAGCTTTTCCTTTGAGCAGTTTAATGAGTGAATTCAGCAGCAAAGTCGCAAGAAATGGTTCTCCAGCCAGGAGAGGTTATGTTTATCCTCTGATTGCCCGTTTTCTCTGCACACAGTGATATCGTATTCAGTGAGAGGTGCTGTTGGCACCCAGCAGCACCCTGGGCACACAGCATTTCATGTCATGTCACAGTGTACAAGCTACCCTCTAATTCAGAAAGAAGAGCATTTTGCACAGAGAAAAATAAAAAGATCCATGAATGTCATCTTTTATCTTTTATTTTCAGTTGGCTGATGTTGGAATTTTTGTTCTTGTCATGAACTTGTAAACCAATCTTGCCAAGATACAAGTTGTTTTGGTTTTTCACTACAATGACCTCTTGTTCCTCCTGTCTTGACTGCTGACGTTCCTCAATGATTCTATTGTCTATTTTATGGGAAGCAGCCTTCCCATAGGTTTCCTTTTACACACTGCAGGGCTATCTTTATACTTTAAAAAAAAAAAAAAAAAAAAAAAAAAGGACAAGAACTGTCACTAACCTCATGGAGGGGTTTGCGTAAAACCATTTAGCCCACCTTGAGCAAAGGGTAGATTCCGTGTTGTTTTTTTAAGCTCACTGTAATAAAATAAATCTAATTCAGCATTATTGTGCTACCTCAAAGGTAAAAAATGTTTTAAGGTCTTCTTTTGGTCCTGAGTTCTATATACAGTGTTTGAAATGTCCTTCATTTGGAATTATTTTTTAAATTCTTGGAGTGAATTTTATTTTAATCTGTTTTAATCTTGTATTTTAATCTCAGAAGAATAAGTGATTGAAACGTGATCAATTCTTGCTCTGTGGTGTTAAACATATAATGAACAGTCATTAAGAATTAAGTCACTGTTTGCCATAAACAAGGTTGATGTTCTTTTTGTTGTTGTTAAGGAAACCCTAGGGCTCGGCTTTACTCTTGATTAATAAAGGCTGACAAATCATGTCTGACTTTCTGGTGCAGTCTTATGTTACGTGTTTGCCATTTTGCTTCAGGGCTCCAGGCCGTCATAGCACTCCTTTGGCAGATTCATTCTTCTGGTAGATCTGGGATTAGGGTATGAGCCCTTGAAAATTAGGGACCCCTTGTACTAGTCAGGGTTCTCCAGAGAAGCAGTCAGTAGGGTGTGTGTGTATGTGTATAAAGATTCTTTTTTTTTTTTTTTTTTTTTTTTTAGTGACAGGATCTCACTATGTTGTCCAGGCTGGTTTCAAACTCCTAGGCTCAAGCAGTCTTCCTGCCTCAGCTTCCAGCTTCCCAAAGTGCTGGAATTATAGGTGTGAGCCACTGCACCCAGCCTAAAGATTTATTATAAGGAATTGGCTCACACAGTTATGGAGGTGGGCAAGTCCCAAGATCTGCAGGGTGAATTGGCTAGCTGTAGACCCAGGAGAGCCAATGGTTTAGTTCCAGTTCAAATGTGAAGGCCTGAGATTCAGAAGAGCCAATGT
The DNA here is from genome assembly GCF_000001405.40 of Homo sapiens. NCBI lineage: Eukaryota > Metazoa > Chordata > Mammalia > Primates > Hominidae > Homo > Homo sapiens. The sequence continues at coordinate 48,746,077 of NC_000003.12, read as the reverse complement.
TGTTGTTCTTGTCCAAAAGCCAGCAGGCTCAAGACCCAGGAAGAACCAGTGTTTCAGTTAGCGTCCAAAAGCAGGAAAAAAGACAACATCCCAGTTCAAAGGTGGGCATTCTGTCTTACTTGGGGAAGAGTTGGCCTTTTTGTTCTATTCACGCCTTCGACTGATTGGATGAGGCCCACACACATTAGGGAAGGTCATCTACTTTACTTCTATACCAAATTAAATGTTAATCTTATCCAGGCTGGGCACGATGACTCAGACCTGTAATCCCAGCACTTTGGGAGGTGGAGGTGGGCGGATCACCTGAGGTCAGGAGTTTGAGACCAGCCTGGCCAACATGGTGAAACCCAGTCTCTACTAAAAACACAAATATTAGCCAGGTATGGTGGCACATTCCTATAATCCCAGCCATTTGGAAGGCTGAGGTAGGAGAGTCACTTGAACCCAGGAGGTGGAGGTTGCAGTGAGCCGAGATTGCATCATTCCACTCACTCCAGCATGGGCGACAAGAGTGAAACTCAGTCTCAAAAAAAAAAAAAAAAAAAAAAAACCTTATCCAAAAACACCCTCACAGAAACATCTGGAATAATGTTGGATCAAATATCTGGGCACACTGTGGCCCAGTCAAGTTAACACATAAAATTAGCAATCACAACATGGTATTTGAATGGTTGTGGATGATGTGCAAGGGTATCCTGTATATCCCTTGCCAGGAAGACAAACTCACCAATGAAACCCAGCAGAGCTGGGTATGGTGGCTCACACCTGTAATCCAGGTGCTTTGGGAGGCTAAGGCAGGAGGATCATTGAAGTTTGAAACCAGCCTGGGCAACATAGTAAGACCCTGTCTCTACAAAAAATAAAAAATAGCCTGGCACGGTGTCTGAAAAAAAAAAAAAAAAAGGCTGGGTGCGGTTGCTCATGCCTATAATCCCAGGACTTTGGGAGGCTGAGGCAGGTGGATCATTTGAGGTCAGGAGTTTAAAACCAGCCTGGCCAACATGGTGAAACCCCGTCTCTACTAAAAATACAAATATTATCCAGGTGTGGTGGCGGGTGCCTGTAATCCCAACTACTCAGGAGGCTGAGGCAGGAGAATTGCTTGAACCCAGGAGGTAGAGGTTGCAGTGAACCAAGATTGCGCCACTGCACTCCAGCCTGGGCAACAGAGTGAGACTCCGTTTAAAAAAAAAAGTAGAAAACATCTGTCACTCAATATTATTTACATAATTTCCTTCTCTGTGACATGGCTATAACCAGAACTAGCAAGGATGCTGTGACAGCCCACTGTACCTACAATTTCTTTTCAGGTGACCAAAGGAAGCGCCTTGTTGCAGTTTGATCTTGCCCACATTTGGACAGAGACACCTGCCTGTACCAAAGGGCCAACTGTGGGAGCATATGAAATCTAGGACCCAAGCAACTGGTAGATGGAAATCTTGGGACTCACTAGGGCCCAATAAACTGGTAGCTGAACCCTCTAAAAACCAAAGTGTCTTTGTTTGAAAGCTTTAAAAATTAAATGTCAGCCAGGCATGGTGGCTCACTCCTGTAATCTCAGCCCTTTGGGAGGCTGAAGTGGGAGGATCGCTTGAGCCCAGGAGTTTAAGACCAGCCTGGGCAACATAGTGAAACCGCATCTCTCGCTCTTTTTTTTTTTTAAAGACAGAGTCTTGCTCTGTCGCCCAGGCTGGAGTGCAGTGACGTGATCTTGGCTCATTGCAAGCTCCACCTCCTGGGTTCATGCTATTCTCCTTGCCTCAGCCTCCCGAGTAGCCAGGACTACAGGCGCCCACCACCATGCCCGGCTAATTTTTTTTTTTTTTCAGTAGAGACAGGGTTTCACCGTGTTAGCCAGGATGGTCTCGATCATGAAACCGCATCTCTAAAAAATTTTTTTTAATTAAAAAAAAATTGTGGCTGGGCACAGTGGCTCACGCCTATAATCCCAGCTCTTAGGGAGGCAGAGGCAGGAGGATAGCTCGAGCCCAGGAGTCCGAGACCTGCCTGGGCAACGTAACGAGACCCCATTCTCCACCAAAAGGAAAAAACAAAATTGTGGTTTTGTTTTCGTGGTAGTACTGCTATGACATAAGACATTCCAGGACAATGTCAAGATCATATCATCCGTAGTCTCAGCCTTGAAGAGGGAACATTACATGAGGACTATGTTAGTGTGTCCTAACAGGAAGCTAGAAATTTGTCCCATCAAAGTTACCTGAATATATTACCTGAGTATATAGTGATAGGGAATCACTTAATTTTATAACAACAATTAAAACAGTATTAAAAAGTGGGAGGAAATTGGGGTCACTTAACAAAGCATCATATTAAGTATAAATTTTGCTTCCTTTACCCATTCTCTCTAGAGACAAATCATGGCCAGTGATACATACTGTTACCTGATTGTTTTCTGATATATAAATAAAATGTGGAGTGTTGGCCAGGTGCTGTGGCTCACGCCTGTAATCCCAGCACCTTGGGAGGCCGAGGCAGGCGGACCATGAGGGTAAGAGATCAAGACCATCCTGGCCAACGTAGTGAAACCCCGCGTCTACTAAAAATACAAAAATTAGGGCGGGCACAGTAGCTCACACCTGTAATCCCGACACATTGGAAAGCCGAGGTGGGCAGAACATGAGGTCAGGAGTTCGAGACCAGCCTGACCAACATGGTGAAACCCCGTCTCTACTGAAAATACAAAAATTAGCCGGGTGTGATGGTGTGCAGTAATTCCAGCTACTCAGGAGGCTGAGGCAGGAGAATCACTTGAACCTGGGAGGCGAAGGTTGCAGTGAGCCGAGATCGTGCTACTGCACTCCAGCCTGGGCAACAGAGCAAGACTCCATCTCAAAGAAAAAAATAAATAAAAGTACAAAAATTATCTGGGCGTGGTGGCATGCGCCTGTAGTCCCAGCTATTCGGGAGGTTGAGGCAGGAGAATCGCTTGAACCTCGGAGGCGGAGTTTTCAGTGAGCTGAGATCGTGCCACTGCACTCCAGCCTGGCAACAGAGTGAGACTCCGTCTCAAAAAAAGAAAAAAAAATGCTGAGTGTTGACCAGGAACCTACTAATCAGTTGTGAATTCAGACAAGTATTACCAAGTTCTAACTTGGAATGTTAGAAGTTAGGTCTGCCTAAGCTCATTTGTTCATTGAATAAATCCTGATGACCAGCTGTGAATGTTTCTAACCCTGTGTTTAAACCCCAAGAATTAGCAACAATAATGGTACTGAGATCTATCAGGTGATTCCTGGAGCTTTCATCCAGTGCCCGTGGAGTTTATCCTCCATGTTTCTCTCTTTTTTTTTTTTTTTTTTTTGAGTGCAGTGGCACGATCTCAGCTCACTGCAAGCTCCGCCTCCCGGGTTCAAGTGATTCTCGAGCCTCAGCCTCCCGAGTAGCTGGGATTACAGGCGTGTGCCACCATACCTGGCTAATTTTTGTATTTTTATAGAAATGGGGTTTCACCATGTTGGCCTGGCTGGTCTCAAACTCCTGACTTCAGGTGATCCGCCAGTCTCAGCCTCCCAAAGTGCTGGAATTACAGGCGTGAGCTGCCGCTCCGGGCCTGTTCCTCCACATTTCTGGACTCATGCAGATAGCAGCCCCTCTCCTATCTCAAGGATGATTATGCTTCTAGTGTCTGTTGTCCTTAGTCATGCTACTCTTTTCTCTCTGGGCTGCTGTTGTGTCTTCATAAAATGAGTAACCTAGACACGCAAGCATGTGATGTCCCTTGCTGCTCTACCTTGCATCATACAATTCTGTTTATAGAAGCATTCTGGGGGAGCAGTGAAAGGAGAACAGCTAGTTTTTTGTTTTGTTTTGTTGTATTTTGTTTTGTTTTTTGAGACAGAGTCTCACTCTGTTACCTAGGCTGGAGTGCAGTGGTGTGATCTCAGCTCACTGCAACCTCCGCCTTCCGTGTTCAAGCGATTCTCCTGCCTCAGCCTCCCAAGTAGCTGGGACTACAGGCATGCGCCACCACGCCTAGCTAAGTTTTGTATTTTTAGTAGAGACGGGGTTTCCCTATGTTGGCCAGGCTGGTCTTGAACTCCTGACCTCATGATCCGCCCTCCTTGTCCTCCCAACGTGCCGGGATTATAGGCATGAGCCACTGCGCCTGGCCAAGAACAACTAGATTTAAGATTTGAAGGACTCCCCCCAGGTAGGGACTCCTCAGAAACTGTCATCTTTTTTTTTTTTTTTTTTGAGACAGAGTTTCACTCTTGTCGCCCAGGCCAGAGTGCAGTGGCACAATCTCGGCTCATTGCAACCTCTCTGCCTCCTTAGTTCAAGTGATTGTCCTGCTTCAGCCTCCCAAGAAGCTGGGATTACAGGCACCCACCACCATGCCCAGCTAATTTTTGTATTTTTAGTAGAGACAGGGTTTCACCATGTTGGCCAGGCTGCTCTGGAACTCCTGAGCTCAAATGATTCGCCCGCCTCAGCCTCCCAAAGTGCTGGGATTGCAGGCGTGAGCCACTGCGCCCAGCCAGAAATTGTGATCTTTATGCTAGTTATTCTAAACATCATGAGAAAGTTTGGCCAGCAATGCATTTCTGGCCTCAATTGCCTTCTGTGAGGTCAGGTGCTAGGAATCAAATTTTTCTGAAGGTGTCTCTTTTTTTTTGAGACAGAGTCTCGCTCTTGTTGCCCAGGCTAGAGTGCAATGGCGTAATCTTGGCTCACTGCACTTCGCCTCCCGGGTTCAAGCAATTCTTCTGCCTCAGCCTCCTAGTGTAGCTGGAATTACAGGCATGTGCCACCACGCCCAGCTAATTTTGTATTTTTAGTAGAGACCTGAGGTGATCCGCCCGCTTCGGCCTCCCAAAATGCTGGGATTACAGGCGTGAGCCACTGCGCCCAGTTGAAGGTGTCTCTTATGTGTGAATTTTTTTTTTTTTGAGACAGTCTTACTCTGTTGCCCAGGCTGGAGTGTGCAGTGGCGTGATCTTGGCTCACTGCAACCTCCTCCGCCTCCCGGGTTCAAGCAATTCTCCCGCCTCCACCTCCCGAGTAGCTGGGATTACAGGCATGCGCCACCACGCCCAGCTAATTTTTGTATTTTTAGTAGAGATGGGGTTTCACCATGTTGGCCAGGATGGTCTCGAATCCCTGACGTCAAGTGATCCACCCATTTCGGCCTCCCAAAGTGCTGGGATTACAGGTGTGAGCCACCGCGCCCAGCCACTTACAACATTTCTAACCCTCCCTCTCACTTCTTCCCAACCAGAATCCTTGATCTTGTGGGCATTTCTTTCTGTTCTATAAAACCATTTATCTGGCATGTCTTTCAGTACACAAAGTTAGGCGTGCCCAGCCCATTTGTACACCACAGGGCAGGAGGCTAGCCAGGCTACAGTATGAGACCAGAGGATTGGCACTACCCACTAGGAAAACCAGCAGGACTCTTCACCAGTCAGTCTATGCTGATAGGCAGACAAATGCACATTTGACAGGCAGCTATTGGGGAAGGCTGCTGAAACAGAAGATACCAGCCAAATCCCCTGTAGCCTTCTTGGCCATGGGCCTACCCCTTCCTCCCTCTGCAGAACTGCACTGAGCCAGGGGACAAAGGTCACTGTGTACTCTGCTATAAGCCAGGATCCAGCAATACCCTTTCTGGCTAGGTCCTCCAACTCCCGGAAGGAGGGGAGGTGTGTGCAGTTGTTTTTTGTCTGCTAAACAGATAAAAAGGAGCTAAAATCTAGACCCACCAGATAAGCAAACCAGCACTTTAGAGTATAACATCCAGTGATGGTCAAACTGTTCACTTTCATTCTGAAACTGCTGGCGTGGGCACGAGTGGACAGCTGCAGTACACACTCCCATGTCTGCTGTGAGCTGAGTCTTGGCCTGTGGCCAGGTAGGGAGAAGGCCTTTGGGACGGGTAAGCCTGGGACGCGGGACATGCTGGAAGCACGCGTGAGTGGCAGTACTGCATTTTGCCACTTTGGCCAGCAGGGGCCGGGCTGTCCTGGAGCTCCCAGCATCCTGCCCCAGAACTGTGCAGCCGGCCCCAAGCCCAGGGTGACAAATGAGGCTGCGCGCTGGCTCAGGGCCCCCGCTGACCTTCCAAGTCTCAGCCCAGACCCCACACGAGGGGTTGTTCTCCAGGAAGCTCCAGCCTTGGTGGCACTGGGTCCCTGAGCTCTTTTCCAACCAGAGCATAGCTGGGTGGAAGAGCATGTGACCCTCAGACTCTGAGCTTGGGGCGCTGCACCTCCCTCGGGACTCAAGATGGTTCCACCTGGCTGACAGCTCCTGTCTCAGTCTAGCCAGACAAAAACGGGTTGGGACCCTCATCCTGGGCCTCCGCTTGCAGCTGTGTACGAAGATGGCAGGCTTATGGGAGGATGTCCACTCCCACTGACCCTGGCATTGCCTGAGTCCCTTGCCTACCTGGGCTGGGCCAAGACCCAACTGCAATCAATTGTCTGGGGTCCACTCGCTGCTGTGGTCTCTGCCTTTGTGCTCACCTCAAGGTTTGTATCTCTGGCTTACAGCAAAAGCAGCCCCCACCCCTAACGCAGAGCTGGCCTCACAACTGAAAACCGGGAAGGCCCTCACTTGGCACTGGGGAACTAGTTCAAGGGCCAGGTGCATGCAAGGGCATATTAAGAGTGCAGGGGTGGGGCCCACTGACACTGGGCGGGCTTCTAGCACAATGGGAATACCTCAGCTGGCCCCTCCAGCTTTGTCCTGCCTGGACGTGCTGGGGACAGGGTGTGTGTGTCCAGGATATACTAGGAACCCTCCCAACCCTGGCCTTGTGGGATCCTTTTCTTGGTAATTTTCCTGTCTTTTGTTCTGGAAAAAAAAAATCTAGGAATTATTTGCCACCAACCCCTCTCTGCATGGCCCACGTCCCAGGGCTGTGGGTGCAGCTGAGGGTCATCAGAGACCTTAGCCCCACCTCTGCCCGAGTGGGACCATTGTGTTCCCAACTCCGAGCTGAGCTGCCTGTCCAGTTCTTCAGCGCTGGAGGCCCTGGGCTGACTCCAGGCAGGAGGGAGTGGGGGTGAGCAAGAACAGCCAGCGGGTTTAAGGAATGGGCAGGAAAAGGAACCTGGAGTGCAGAAGCACCCCTCTACCTCCTCATCAGACTCTTGCCCCCTCCACCTTTGGAGGTCCTCTTTGGGGATCAGAGGCCCATCTCTGCCAGGGGCCTGAAGACCTACATCCTGGAGGTGAGGTCTGTGCTCAGCATCTCACCTGTACCCTTCATCTCCAAAACCATTGCAGTGCTTGCTGCCTGGCCCTAGAGCCCTGTCCTCCAACCTCTCGCACCTCTGCCTCCCTCAGCAATGACTTGCCATGGGTCAGAAACTCCGGTCTCCCTCTTTGCTCCCCACCATCCTCCTCTAGCTCCTGCCCCATTCTGAAACTTGCCTGTGGTTGCCATTACCCTTCCTCACCTCCCATTCTTGCCACAGCCCATGGCACAGTCCCCAGTGACTTCCGCTGACAAAACCAGTGCACATACTAGCTCTCTGGAATCCCAGCAAAATTCACTGGGATTGACTTCTCCCTCCTGCTTCAAGGACCACATTCTCAGGAATCATTCAGCCCTCCTGGTTTTCCTTCCAGCTCTTATGATCATCCTCATCTCTGTTGCCACCTTTAACTACACATAGTTAAATGTTGGAGTGACCCAAGACTGTACTCTGGGCTCTTCTCCCTCCCTCCCTCCTTAGGGAATTTTGTCAGGAACAGTGTGGCTTTGAGTGTTATCACCATGCTGCTCTCTCTGAATTTATACTTCCAGCTGGGACACTTCACCCTGAACTAGTTGTCCCACTGCTTGACATCTCCACTAAGGCTATGAAACAGCTGTCCCAAATATTGTCTTTTTTTTTTTTTTTCTTGAGATGGAGTCTCGCTGTGTTGCTCAGGCTGGAGTGCAGTGGCACGAGCTCGGCTCACTGCAACCTCCACCTCCCAGGTTCAATGGATTCTCCTACCTCAGCCTCCTGAATAGCTGGGATTACAGGTGCAGGCCACCACGTCCTGCTAATTTTGTATTTTTAGTAGAGACAGGACTTCACCATGTTGGCCAGTCTGGTCTGGAACTCCTGATCTCATGTGATCCGCCCGCCTTGGCCTCCCAAAGTGCTGGGATTGCAGGCATGAGCCACCACACCCGGCCCATCCTCTTATTTTTCATCAGTACTCCCTCTCCAGTTGTACCACCCTTCTGTCCTGAAGAAGTCTCCAACTGCCATCACCTCTAATCTGTCCACTCTCAGATCCCAACTCTTCTTTAAAATCCCTCCAGTGCTTTCCCCTCCTTGGACTTAATACTTGGCTTTAGTCCCAGTCTTAATTACCCTCTAGGATTAACAGCCAGAGTCTTATTTTTGAAATGTGACTTTTGCCACATTAGCCCTCGGCTGAGTGCTCATGTAACTTCCTTCCAGCCTTGCAAAGGCGTAAATGGTCCAGGCCAAGGCCTATCTACTGTCCCTTCACTGCAACCACTGGGAACCTTATGCAAATTTTGCTTTGCTTTTGGTTTTGTTTGTTTTTTGAGACAGAGTCTTGCTTTGTCACCCAGGCTAGAGTGCAATGGCACAGTCTCAGCTCACTGCAACCTCCATCTCCCAGATTTAAGCGATTCTCCTGCCTCAGCCTCTCGAGTAGCTGGCACTACAGGTGTGTGCCACCACACCCAGCTAATTTTTTGTATTTTTAGTAGAGACGGGGTTTCACCATTTTGGCCAGGCTGTTCTTGAACTCCTGTCCTAGTGACTCGCCTGCCTCAGCCTCCCAAAGTGCTGGGATTACAGGTGTGAGCCACCATGCCCAGCAGGTTTTGTTTTTTTAATTTAATTTTTTAAAGTGTAGGATATAACAAATACATAAAAGTACATAAAACAAAGATGTTTTGCTCAATTATTTTTCACAGACCAAACAGAAACCCAACACAGATGAAAAACATTCCCAGTGCCCTGCAGCACCCCCTTGTGGCCCACCAGTCACCCCTCCCTACCCTATCCTGAGTTTTAAGATAAGGAGGTCATCACTTCCTTGATTTTCTTAATCTTTCTGTCACCTAAGGATGCCTCTCTAAAGAATTTCTTCGTTCCTCCAGCTAAATATATACCTATAATTAATTGCATAAGAGAGAACCCATCATAACTGCTGTCCTTTAAATCTTTTATCTTTTCCTCTTTTCCTTTCCCTCCCTTCTATCACCATTTTCTGCAACCCATGTTTACAAACTGTATGTTCCCTACTTTTCTCCTGGCTTATATAATTATAAAAGCATACACACGGCCAGGTGCAAGTGGCTCACGCCTGTAATCCCAGCACTTTGGGAGGCTGAGGCAGGTGGATCACCTGAGGTCAGGAGTTAAAGACCAGCCTGCCCAACATGGCGAAACCCTGTCTCTACTAAAAATACAAAAAATTAGCTGCGCATGGTGGCAGGCGCCTGTAATCCCAGCTTCTTGGGAGGCTGAAGCAGGACAATCACTTGAACTCAGGAGGCAGAGAGGTTGCAATGAGCCGAGATTGTGCCACTGCACTCCAGCCTGGGTGACAAGAGCGAAACTCCATCTAAAAATTAAATAAATAATGTTTTTAAAATACAAAAAATTAGCTGGATATGGTGGTGCATGCCTGTAGTCCCAGCTACTCGGGAGGCTGAGGCACAAGAATCGCTTGAAACTGGGAGGCGGAGGTTGCAGTGAGCTAAGAGAGATCACGCCATTGCACTCCAGCCAGGGAGACATCATGAGACTCTGTCTCAAAAAAAAAAAAGCATACACATATTCACACAAAGTGGTTTGTCTTTGTTGTACACATTTAGGTTATTTTGTACATACTTTTCTGCATCTCACTTTTCTTACTCATTCCAACTTTGTGGCAGGCCCTCCAAATGAAGTGGCATTATCCCAGTTCCTTCTTTTTGATGATAATATAAAACCTGTCCACAAATATTTTTATACTCTTCCCACAAAAAGTGGAATCTAAGCTCCCTCTCCTTAAATATGGGCCAGCTTCAGTGACTGCTTCTATTGAATAGAATGGGGCAGAAATTATACTGTGTGATATCTGAATCTAGGTTAGAAAAGTTGATAGAACTAAAACAGGATCCAGATACAGTGACTCACACCTGTAATCCCAGTACTTTGGGAGGCCAAGGTGGGAAGATCACTTGAGCCCCGAAGTTCAAGACCAGCCTGGGCAACATATAGACCCAGTCTCTATTTAAAAATAAAAATAAAAAAAGAACTTAGGTAGGAGGTGGGTACTTGACTCCAGAGGTGGGGCTCGGACGCTGCACTAGATTGAGGACTAGCTAAAACAGGGCCTGGGGAGGAAGAGGCTTTCAATCAGACATACCCACCAACGTGCTTTCAATTTACCATTGCCATGGCAACACCCAGGACTTACTGCCTCTTTCCGTGGCAATGATCCAATGACCCAAAAGTTACTACCTCTTCCCTAGAGATTTCTGCTTAAACAGCTCCTTAATCTGCATGCAATTAAAAGTGGATATAAATATGACTGCAAAACTGCCCTGAGCTGCTACTCTCTGCCCAAGGGATAGCCCTGCTCTGCAGGAGCAGTCACAGAGCCCTAACACCGCCTCTTCAACAAAGCTGTTTTCTTTCTTTTTTTTTTTTTTTATTGATCATTCTTGGGTGTTTCTCGCAGAGGGGGATTTGGCAGGGTCATAGGACAATAGTGGAGGGAAGGTCAGCAGATAAACAAGTGAACAAAGGTCTCTGGTTTTCCTAGGCAGAGGACCCTGCGGCCTTCCGCAGTGTTTGTGTCCCTGCCTACTTGAGACTAGGGAGTGGTGATGACTCTTAACGAGCATGCTGTCTCCAAGCATCTGTTTAACAAAGCACATCTTGCACCGCCCTTAATCCATTTAACCCTGAGTGGACACAGCACATGTTTCAGAGAGCACAGGGTTGGGGGTAAGGTCACAGATCTACAGGATCCCAAGGCAGAAGAACTTTTCTTAGTACAGAACAAAATGAAAAGTCTCCCATGTCTACTTCTTTCTACACAGACACGGCAACCATCCGATTTCTCAATCTTTTCCCCACCTTTCCCCCCTTTCTATTCCACAAAACCGCCATTGTCATCATGGCCCGTTCTCAATGAGCTGTCGGGCACACCTCCCAGACGGGGTGGTGGCCGGGCAGAGGGGCTCCTCACTTCCCAGAAGGGGTGGCCGGGCAGAGGCGCCCCTCACCTCCCAGACGGGGCGGCTGGCCGGGCGGGGGGGCTCCTCACTTCCCAGTAGGGGCGGCCGGGCAGAGGCGCCCCTCACCTCCCAGACGGGGCGGCTGGCCAGGCGGGGGGCTGACCCCCCCACCTCCCTCCCAGATGGGGCGGCTGGCCGGGCAGGGGGCTGACCCCCCCACCTCCCTCCAGGATGGGGCGGCTGGCCGGGCGGGGGGTTGACCCCCCCACCTCCCTCCCGGACGGGGTGGCTGGCCGGGCAGAGGGGCTCCTCACTTCCCAGTAGGGGCGGCTGGGCAGAGGCGCCCCTCACCTCCCGGATGGGGCGGCTGGCCGGGCGGGGGGCTGACCCCCCCACCTCCCTCCCAGACGGGGCGGCTGGCCTGGCGGGGGCTGACCCCCACCTCCCTCCCGGACGGGGCGGCTGGCCGGGCGGGGGGCTGACCCCCCCACCTCCCTCCCGGACGGGGTGGCTGCTGGGCGGAGACACTCCTCACTTCCCAGACGGGGTGGCTGCCGGGCGGAGAGGCTCCTCACTTCTCAGACGGGGCGGCTGCCAGGCGGAGGGGCTCCTCACTTCTCAGACGGGGCGGTTGCCAGGCGGAGGGTCTCCTCACTTCTCAGACGGGGCGGCCGGACAGAGACGCTCCTCACCTCCCAGACGGGGTCACGGCCAGGCAGAGGCGCTCCTCACATCCCAGACGGGGCGGCGGGGCAGAGACGCTCCCCACATCTCAGACGATGGGCGGCCGGGCAGAGACGCTCCTCACTTCCTAGATGGGATGGCGGCCGGGAAGAGGCGCTCCTCACTTCCTAGATGGGATGGCGGCCAGGCAGAGACACTCCTCACTTTCCAGACTGGGCAGCCGGGCAGAGGGGCTCCTCACCTCCCAGACGATGGGCGGCCAGGCAGAGACGCTCCTCACTTCCCAGACGGGGTGGCGGCCAGGCAGAGGCTGTAATCTGGGCACTTTGGGAGGCCAAGGCAGGCGGCTGGGAGGTGGAGGTTGTGGCGAGCCGAGATCACGCCACTGCACTCCAGCCTGGGCACCATTGAGCACTGAGTGAACCAGACTCCGTCTGCAATCCCGGCACCTCGGGAGGCCGAGGCTGGCGGATCACTCGTGGTTAGGAGCTGGAGACCAGCCCAGCCAACACAGCGAAACCCAGTCTCCACCAAAAAAATACGAAAACCAGTCAGGCGTGGCGGCGCGCGCCTGCAATCGCAGGCACTGGGCAGGCTGAGGCAGGAGAATCAGGCAGGGAGGTTGCAGTGAGCCGAGATGGCAGCAGTACAGTCCAGCTTTGGCTTGGCATCAGAGGGAGACCGTGGAAAGAGAGGGAGAGGGAGACCGTGGGGAGAGGGAGAGGGAGAGGGAGAGGGTGAGGGTGAGGGTGAGGGTGAGGGTGTTTTCTTCTACTTCTGGCTTGCCCTTGAATTCTTTCCTGGGCAAAGCCAAGAACCCTCATGGGCTAAGCTCCACTTTAGGGCTCACCAGCCCTGTATCAGAACTTCCACTTTACTTGCTCTCACTTAGTATAATCATCCTTGGAATCTATCTACCATGTTGTGAGGAAGTCCAGGAGAGGCCACATGCAGGTTTTCAGCCCTGGCTAAATTCTCAGATGACAGCCAGCCTCAAATGGCAGACTTCAAGTGAGGAGCCTTCAGATGATTCCAACCCCAGCCTGCAAGCTTCCCCAGCTAATGCATCAGAGAAAAGTTATCTCCATTGAATCTTGCTCAAATGGCAGATTTGTGAGCAAAATAAGTTGTTATAAGCCACCAAATTTGAGGTAATTTGTTACACAATGTAGTAGCCATAACACTTTAGAGGTCCCAAAATGTCTTTAACTATGCCCTTGTGGATGGGCCATCACTTTGCAGGCTTTTTCTCCCACTACATGTGATATAGCAATAAATATCCCTGACTATATTGTTCATATCTCAGTGCTTTTTTTTTTCTTTTTTGAGACGGAGTCTTGCTGTGTCGCCCAGGCTGGAGTGCAGTGGCGCAGTCTCAGCTCACTGCAAGCTCCGCCTCCCGGGTTCACCCCATTCTCCTGCCTCAGCCTCCCAAGTAGCTGGGACTACAGGCGCCCACCACCACGCCTGGCTAATTTTTTGTATTTTTAGTAAAGATGAGGTTTCACCGTGTTAGCTAGGATGGTCTCGATCTCCTGACATCGTGATCCGCCCACCTTGGCCTCCCAAAGTGCTGGGATTACAGTCGTGAGCCACTGCACCCGGCCATCTCAGTGCTTTTATTTCTATAAGTGAGAATCCCAAGATTGGAATTACAGGACCCAGAAGTATATGCATTTTTATTTTACTGGAGTTTGCCAAATTGCTTTCCAAAAAGGCTGTAGCCAGTCTTACCTCTGTCAACAATGTTTGGAAGCATCCTTTTTCTCACATCCCTGAAAGCAAGAGTTGGTGCAGCTCTGTTTTTTTTTGTTTGTTTGTTTTTTGTTTTTTGTTTTTGAGACAGAGTCTTGCTCTGCCACCCACCCAGGCTGCAGGCTGGAGTGCAGTGGTGCGATCTCGGCTCATTGTAACCTCTACCTCCTGGGTTCAAGCAATTCTCCTGCCTCAGCCTCCTGAGTAGCTGGGACTACAGGCGTACACCACCACGCCCAGCTAATTTTTGTAGTTTTAGTAGAGACGGGGTTTCACCATGTTGGCCAGGCTGATCACGAACTCCTGACCTCAGGCAATCCACCCGCCTCAGCCTCCCAAAGTGCTGGGATTACAGGCGTAAGCTACCACGCCCAGCCTGGTGCAGCTCTTTTTGATTTTTGCTAGTCTGTTGGTAATAAAGCAACTTATATATTATGTCATATATATATGTGTGTCATATATACATATATATATAGAGAGAGAGAGAGAGAAAGATAGTCTTGCTCTGTCACCCAGGCTGGAGTCTAGAGGCATGATCTTGGCTCACTGCAACCTCTGCCTCCCGGGTTCAAGCAATTCTTGTGCCTCAGCCCAGTAGCTGAGATTACAGGCATGTGCCACCACAAAGCTATTTTTTTTTTTTTTTGAGAGGGAGTCTTGCACTGTCACCCAGGCTGGAGTGCAGTGGCGCGATCTCCACTCAATGCAACCTCTGTCCCCTGGATTCAAGCAATTCTCCTGCTGCAGCCTCCCGAGTAGCTGGGATTACAAGTGCCTGCCACCATGCCTGGCTAATTTTTTGTATTTTTAGTAGAGACAGGGTTTCACTATGTTGACCAGGCTGGTCTTGAACTCCTGACCTCATGATCCACCTGCCTTGGCCTCCCAAAGTGCTGGGAATACAGGCGTGAGCCACTGTGCCCAGCCAATTTTTGTAATTTTTACAGTTTTTTTCCCTCTTTTTGTGGAGAATGGTGTCTCGCTATATTGCCCAGGCAAGTCTTGAACCCCAGGGCTCAAGCTATCCTCCCGCCTCTGCCTCCCTAAGAGTTGGGATTACAGGCGTGAGCCACCATGCCAAGCTGTATTTTTTAGTAGAGCCAGGGTTTTGCCATGTTGGCCAGGCTGCACTCACACTCCAGGCCTAGTGATCCACCCGCCTTGGCCTCCCAAAATGCCTGGCAACTGTTATTCTTTTGTTTTTTAAGACAGAGTCTCGCTCTGTCGCCCAGGCTGGAGTGCAGTGGTGTGATCTTGGCTCACTGCAACCTCCTCCTCCCAAGTTCAAGCAATTCTCCTGCCTCAGCCTCCCGAGTAGCTGGGATTAAAGGTGCGCGCCACCACACCCGGCTAATTTTTTTTTTTTTTTGTATTTTTAGTAGAGACAGGATTTCACCGTGTTAGCCAGGATGGTCTTGATCTCCTGACCTCGTGATCTGCCCACCTCGGCGTCCGAAAGTGCTGGGAATACTGGGATTACTGGGATTACAGGCATGAGCCACCAAGCCTGGCCTTTTTTTTTTTTTTTTTGAGACGGAGTTTTGCTCTTGTTGTCCAGGCTGAAGTGCAATGGCATGATCTCGGGTCACTGCAACCGGGTTCAAGCGATTCTCCTGCCTCAGCCTCCTGAGTAGCTGGGACTACAGGCATGCACCACCATACCTGGCTAATTTTGTATTTTTAGTAGAAATGGGGTTTCTCCATGTTGGTCAGGCTGGTTGCGAACTCCCGACCTCAGGTGATCTGGCCGCCTCAGCCTCCCAAAGTGCTGGGGTTACAGGCGTGAGCCCCTGCACCCGGCCCTGTTACTCTTCTCTTTTTTTTTTTTTTTTTTTTTGAGACAGTGTCTCACTCTGTCACCCAGGCTGGAGTGCAGTGGCATGATCTCAGCTCACTGCAACCTCCATCTCCTGGGTGTCAGGCCTCTCAGCCCAAGCCTACAGGTATACATCCAGATGGCCTGAGGCAACCAAAAAGTACAAAAGAAGTGAAACAGCCAGCTCCTGTCTTTCTTTTCTTTTTTTTTTTTTTTTAAATGAGACAGAGTCTTGTTCTGTCGCCCAAGCTGGAGTGCAGTGACGTGATCTTGGCTCACTGCAAGCTCCACCTCCTGGGTTTACGCCATTCTCCTGCCTCAGCCTCCTGAGTAGCTGGGACTACAGGCGCCCGTCACCACACCTGGCAAATTTTTTGCATTTTTAGTAGAGACAGGGTTTCACCATGTTAGCCAGGATGGTCTCGATCTCCTGACCTCGTGATCTGCCCACCTCGGCCTCCCAAAGTGCTGGGATTACAGGTGTGAGCCACCGCACCCAGCCTCCAGCTTCTGTCTTAACTGATTAACCAACCTTATGACATTCCATTATGACTTGTTTCTGCCCTGTCCCAACTGATCGATAGATCGACCTCGTGACATTCTTCTGGACAATGAGACTTATGATCTCCCCACCATGCACTTTGTGATCCCCACCCCTGCCCGCAAGAGAAAAACCCCCTTTAATTGTAACTTTCCACTGCTTACCCCAGTCCTATAAAACTGCCCCATCCCTAACTCCCTTTGCTGACTCCTTTCTCAGACTCAGTCCACTTGCACCCAAGTGAATAAATAGCCTTGTTGCTCACACAAAGCCTTTTGGTGGTCTCTTCACATGGACACGTGTGACATTTTGGTGCCGTGACTCGGATCAGGGTACCTCCCTTGGGAGATCAATCCCCTGTCCTCCTGCTCTTTGCTCCATGAGAAGGATCCACCTACGACCTCCAGTCCTCAAACCAACCAGCCCAAGGAACATCTCACCGATTTTAAATCGGGTAAGCAGACTCTTTTTACCCTCTTCTCCAACCTCTCTCGCTATCCCTCAACTTCTTTCTCCTTTCAATTTCTGCGCTACCCTTCAATCTCTCCCTTCCCTCAATTTCAGTTCATTTCCTTTTCTGGTAGAAACAGAGGAGATGTGTTTTATCTGTGAACCCAAAACTCCGGCACTGGTCAAGGACTCGGGAAGACAGTCTTCCCTTGTTGTCTAGGTGTCTAATCACAGCGGGGATGCCTGCCTGATTATTCACCCACGTTTCAGAGGTGTCTGATCACCACGGGGATGCCTGCCTTGATCCTTCACCTTGGTGGCAAGTACCACCTCCTCTGGGTGGCAAGTACCACCCCCCCACCCCCCGAAGTGTCTCTACCCTCTCTTTTCTCTAGGCTTGCCTCCTTCACTATGGGCAACCTTCCACCCTCCATTCCTCCTTCTTCCCCCTTAGCCTGTGTTCTCAAGAACTTAAAACCTCTTCAACTCTCGCCTGACCTAAAACCTAAGTGTCTTATTTTCTTCTGCAACATGGCTTGGCCCAAATACAAACTTGATAATGGCTCTAAATGGCAAAAAAAAAAAAAAAAAAAAAAAAAAAAAAAAAAAAAAAAACCACGGCACTTTTGATTTCTCCATCCTACAAGATCTAGATAATTTTTGTCAAAAAATGGGCAAATGGTCTGAGGTGCCTTACATCCAGGCATTTTTCACACTTTGTTCCCTCCCTGGTCTCTGCTCCCAATGTGACTCGTCCCAAATCTTTCTTCTTTTTCTCCTGTCTGTTCCTTCAGTCTCCACCCCAAGCTCTTGAGTCCTTTCAATCTTTCTTTTCTACCTACCCATCTGACCTCTCCCCTCCTCCCCAGACTTCTCCTCTTCAGGTCGCTCTCCGCCAGTCTGAATCAGGCTCAAATTCTTCCTCAGCCTCTGCTCCTCCACCCTACAACCCTTCTATCACCTCCCCTCCTGATACCTGGTCTGGCTTACAGTTTCATTCTGTGACTAGCTCTTCCCCACCTGCCCAACAATTTCCTCTTAGAGAGGTGGCTGGAGCTGAAGGCATAGTCAGGGTACATGTGCCTTTTTCTCTATCAGACCTTTCCCAAATCAGCCAGCTTTTAGGCTCTTTCTCATCAGACCTCACTAAATATATACAGGAATTCCGATATCTAACTCTGTCGTACAATTTAACCTGGAGTGACTTAAATGTCATCCTAACTTCTACCCTCTCCCCACATGAACAGGAAAGAGTTTTTTCTCTAGCCCAGTCTCATGCTGACAACTGCTGGTGTCATGAGCCAGACCTCCAAGAAGGCAGTAGAGCAGTTCTCTAAGCGGATCCCCAATGAAACTATCAGGCAGATTCCCCAGGTATAGCTAGGCAAGATTACATGGTTTCCTGCCTAGTTGAAGGGCTTAAAAAGGCAGCATACAAAGCTGTTAATTACGATAAACTTAAAAAAAAAACCTACCCAAGGTAAAGACGAAAACCCAGCCCAGTTCATGGCTCATTTGGCAGCAACCCTGAGACACTTTACAGCCCTAGACCCTGAAGGGTCAGAAGGCCGTCTCATTCTCAATATACATTTTATCACCCAGTCAGCTCCTGACATGAAAAAAAAAAAAAAAAAAAGCTTCAAAAATTGGAATCTGGCCCTCAAACCCCACAACAGGAATTAATCAATCTCACCTTCAAGGTGTACAGTAATAGAGAGCAGGCAGCCAGACGGCAACACATTTCTGAGTTACGATTACTTGCCTCTGCTGTGAGACAAAATCCAGCCGCACCTCCAGCACATAAGAACTTCAAAATGCCTAAACCACAGTGGTCAGGCATTCCTACAGGACCTCCTCCATCAGGATCTTGCTTCAAATGCCAGAAATCTGGCCACTGGGCCAAGGAGTGCCCACAGCCTGGGATTACTCCCAAGCCGTGTCCCATCTGTGCAGGGACCAACTGGAAATCAGACTGCCCATCTTGCCTGGCAGCCACTCCTAGAGTCCCTAAAGCTCTGGGCCAAGGCTCTCTGACTGACTCCTTCCCAGATCTGCTCGGCTTAGCGGCTGAAAACTGATGCTGCCTGATCACTTCAGAAGCCCCCTGGACCATCACGGATGCCGAGCTTCGGGTAACTCTCACAGTGAAGGCTAAGTCCATCCCCTGTTTAATCGATACAAGGGCTACCCACTCCACGTTACCTTCTTCTCAAGGGCCTGTTTCCCTTGCCCCCATAACTGTTGTGGGTATTGATGGCCAAGCTTCAAAACCCCTTAAACTCCCCCACTCTGGTGCCAACGTGGACAACATTCTTTTATGCACTCCTTTTTATTTATTTCCACCTGCCCACTTTCCTTATTATGTCAAGACATTCTAACTAAATTATCTACTTCCCTGACTATTCCTGGGCTAGAGCCACACCTCATTGCTGCCCTTTTCCCCAATTCAAAGCCTCCTTCACATCCTCCCCTTGTGTCTCCTTACCTTAATCCACAAGTATAAGATACCTCTACTCCTACCTTGGTGACCAATCATGCACCCCTTATGATCCCATTAAAACCTAATCACCCTTACCCCACTCAATGCCAATATCCCATCTCACAGCAGGCTTTAAAAAAGTTAAAGCCTGTTATCACTCACCTGCTACAGCATGGGCTTCTAAAGCCTATAAACTCTCCTTACAATTCCCCCATTTTACCTGTCCAAAAACCAGACAAGTCTTACAGGTTAGCTCAGGATCTGCACCTTATCAACAAAATTGTTTTGCCTATCCACGCTGTGGTGCCCAACCCATACATTCTTTTGTCCTCAATACCTTCCTCCACAACGCACTATTCCGTTCTTGATCTTAGAAACACTTTTTCACTATTCCCCTGCACCCCTCGTCCCAGGCCCTCTTTGCTTTTACCTGGACTGACCCTGACACCCATCAGCCTCAGCAACTTACCTGGGCTATACTGCCGCAAGGCTTCAGGGACAGCCCCCATTACTTCAGTCAAGCCCAAATTTCTTCCTCACCCAATTACCTATCTTGGCATAATTTTTCATAAAAACACACATGGTGTTTATGTCTGGTGATTATGTCTGGCTAATCTCCCAAACCCCAACCCCTTCTATAAAACAACAACTTTTTTCCTTTCTGGGCATGGTTGGATACTTTCACCTTTGGATACGTGGTTTTGCCATCCTAACAAAACCATTATATAAACTCACAAAGAAAAACCTAGCTGACCCCATAGATCCTAAATCCTTTCCCCACTCCTGTTTCCATTCCTTAAAGACAGCTCTAGAGACTGCTCCCACACTAGCTCTGCCTGACCCATCCCAACCCTTTTCATTACACACAGCTGAAGTGCAGGGCTGTGCAGTCAAAATTCTTACACAAGGACTGGGACTGCACCCTGTGGGCTTTTTGTCCAAACAAATTGACCTTACTATTTTAAGCTGGCCATCATGCCTCTGTGCGGTGGCTGCCACCACCCTAATAGTTTTACAGGCCCTCAAATTCACAAACTATGGTCAACTCACTCTCTACAGTTCTCATAACTTCCAAAATCTATTTTCTTCCTCACACCTGACGCATATACTTTCTGCTCCCTGGCTCCTTCAGCTATACTCACTCTTTGTTGAGTCTCCCACAATTACCATTGTTCCTGGTCTGGACTTCAATCTGGCCTCCCACATTATTCCGGATACCACTCCGACCCCCATGACTGTATCTCTCTGATCCACCTGACATTCACTCCATTTACCCATATTTCCTTCTTTCCTGTTCCTCACCCTGATCATACTCGGTTTATTGATGGCAGTTCCACCAGGCCTAATTGCCACTCACCAGCAAAGGCAGGCTATGCTATAGTATCTTCCACATCTATCATTGAGGCTACCACTCTGCCCAGCTCCACTACCTCTCAGCAATCTGAACTCATTGCCTTAACTCGGGCCCTCACTCTTGCAAAAGGACTACACGTCAATATTTATACTGACTCTAAATATGCCTTCCATATCCTGCACCACCATTGCTGTTATATGGGCTGAAAGAGGTTTCCTCACTACGCAAGGGTCCTCCATCATTAACGCCTCTTTAATAAAAACTCTTCTCAAGGCTGCTTTACTTCCAAAGAGTCATTCACTGCAAGGGCCATCAAAAGGCATCAGATCCCATCGCTCAAGGCAACAGTTATGCTGATAAGACAGCTAAACAAGCAGCTAGCATTCTAACTTCTGTCCTTCGTGGCCAGTTTTTCTTCCTCTTATCAGTCACTCCCACCTACTCTCCCACTAAAACTTCCACCTGTCAGTCTCTTCCCACACAAGGCAAGTGGTTCTTAGACCAAGAAGAATATCTCCTTCCAGCCTCACAGGCCCATTCTATTCTGTCATCATTTCATAACCTCTTTAATGTAGGTTACAAGCCGCTAGCCCATCTCTTTTGTTTTTGTTTTTGTTTTTGAGACAGAGTCTCGCTCTGTTGGCTAGGCTGGAGTGCAGTGACACGATCTTGGCTCACTGCAAGCTCCGCCTCCCGGGTTCACGCCATTCTCCCGCCTCTGCCTCCCCAGTAGCTGGGAGTACAGGCACCCACCACCACGCTCAGCTAATTTTTTTGTGTTTTTAGTAGAGATGGGGTTTCACCATGTTAGCCAGGACGGTCTCAATCTCCTGACCTTGTGATCTGCCCACCTCGGCCTCCCAAAGTGCTGGGATTACAGGTGTGAGCCACCACGCCCGGCCCTAGCCCGTCTCTTAAAACCTCTTATTTTGTTTCCATTGTGGAAATCTATCCTCAAAAAAGTCACTTCTCAGTGTTCTATCTCCTGTTCTACTACTCCTCAGGGATTGTTCAGGCCCCCTCCCTTCCCTACACATCAAGCTCAGGGATTTGCCCCTGCCCAGGACTGGCAAATTGACTTACTCACATGCCCTGAGTCAAAAAACTAAAATACCTCTTGGTCTGGGTAGACACTTTCACTGGATGGGTAGAGGCCTTTCCCACAGGGTCTGAAAAGGCCACCGCGGTCATTTCTTCCCTTCTGTCAGACATAATTCCTCAGTTTGGCCTTTCCATCTCTATACAGTCCGATAACAGACTGGCCTTTATTAGTCATATCACCCAAGCAGTTTCTCAGACTCTTGATATTCAGCAAAACCTTCACACCCCTTACCGTCCTCAATCTTCAGGAAAGGTAAAATGGACTAATGGTATTTTTTTTTTTTTTGAGACAGAGTCTTGTTCTGTCTCCCAGGCTGGAGTGCAGTGGCCCAGTCTCTGCTCACTGCAAGCTCTGCCTCCCAGGTTCACACCATTCTCCTGCCTCAGCCTCCCATGTAGCTGGGACTACAGGTGCCCGCCACCACACCTGGCTAATTTTTTGTATTTTTTTTAGTAGAGACAGGGTTTCACCATGTTAGCCAGGATGGTCTTGATCTCCTGACCTCATGATCCGCCCGCCTCGGCCTCCCAAAGTGCTGGGATTACAGGTGTGAGCCACCGCACCTGGCCAGACTAATGGTATTTTAAAGACACACCTCACTAAGCTCATCCTTCAACTTAAAAAGGACTGGACAGTATTTTTACCTGTTGCCCTTCTCAGAATTAGAGCCTGTTCTCGAGATGCTACAGGGCACAGTCCATTTAAACTTTTATATGGACGTACTTTCTTGTTCAGCCCCAGCCTCGTCCCAGACACCAGCCCTCTAGGTGACTATCTTCCAGTCCTCAAGCAGGCTAGACAGGAAATTCGCCAGGCTGCTAATCTTCTCTTGCCTACTCCAGATTCCCAGACATATAAAGACACCCTAGCTGGACGATCAGTTCTTATTAAAAATCTGACCCCTCAAACTCTACAACCTCGATGGACTGGACCCTACTTAGTCATCTATAGCACCCCAACTGCCATCCGCCTGCAGGACCCTCCCCATTGGGTTCACCATTCCAGAATAAAGCTGTGTCTGTCAGCCAGCCAGCCTGATCTCTCTTCTTCCTCCTGGAAGTCGGAAGTACTCTCCCCTACTTCCCTTAAACTCACTCGCATTTCTGAAAAACAGTAATAACCCTTATGAGCCTAATACATCCCTTCATTCTTTTAAGTCTATTCATCCTTACCCTACTTTTTGCAACAGGGCTATACGCAGTCACCCCCACTACTTGGACTATGCCCCAAAAACTTGTCATCCCTACTATCTTCTGTGTAGTCATACTCCTATTCACCATTCTCAACTACTCATAAATGCCCTGCCCTTGTTTACACTGCCAGTTTACACTTTTCCTCCAAACCATCATAACTGATATCTCCTGGTTTTATCTCAAACTGCCACCCTTAAATCTCTCTTGAAGTAAATAAAAGATCTTCAGTGGCAAGGTACACTCCAATACTTTCACCCTGATGAAGTCCTATTCTCTCCATAGTTTTGTCGTTGCTATATTGCTTACTTTGATGACCATTCCTTGCCTTCTGATGAGTTTCAACGTCTTTTCATGTTGTGAGGTTCTGTCCATTGCCTCTTAATACCCTTTTCTCCTTCTTTGCTAACAAACCTCAATTTTGTCCAGGAGGGTAAGTGTCCAGTCCCAAGTAATAGACAAATCCTGACCCATTCTCTGACTTCTCAGCCTCCTTGTGAGCCTGAGAAGCCTGAGTCACTGGTCAATGAACAATAAATGGAAGTCTGCTGGGGCTTCTGGGAAAGCATTTGCTTACCTGATAAAGGGGATAGATGTGGCTGGTGCCAGCCTACCTCCTACTTTGAATACTGATATGATGTTTGGAAAGGATGCAGCTATCTTTCAATGCAAGGGCCATAAGCCTGAGGACAGAATCCAACACATCAAGGATGATGGTGGAAGTATCCAAATAGCCTGAGTTATATGCAACAGAAACAAATGGTGTGTCCACCAAAAGACATGTAAAAGAACATTTGGCCACGCACGGTGGCTCACGCCTGTAATCCCACCACTTTGGGAGGCTGAGGTGGGTGGATCACCTGAGGTCAGGAGTATGAGACCAGCCTAACCAACATGGTGAAACCCTGTCTCTACATAAAATACAAAAATTAGTGGTGGTGCACGCCTGTAGTCCCAGCTACTCAGGAGGCTGAGGCAGGAGAATCGGTTGAACTTGGGAAGAGGAGGTTGCAGTGAGCCGAGATCATGCCACTGCACTCCAGCCTGGGCGACAGAGAAGACTCTGTCTCAAAAACAAAAACAAAAACAAAAACAAAAACAATATTTTATATTTTTGTTCTTAAATATTTGAAATTAAATATTTTTCTCATTTTTATTCATTTCTAGGGGCCAATTTGTAGCAAATGCTATTATTTTTAATGTATTTTTCTTGTATTTATCACCTTAACATTTTATCTTATTAATT
Organism: Homo sapiens; assembly: GCF_000001405.40. Lineage (NCBI taxonomy): Eukaryota > Metazoa > Chordata > Mammalia > Primates > Hominidae > Homo > Homo sapiens. Next base: position 48,722,287 of record NC_000003.12, on the reverse strand, counting down.
GTAATAATTTTCAAGAAAGTCCTTTGGATTTTCTAGATTTGTAACCACGGCATTAACTAAAGAGATAGTTTAATGTCTTTCTCTCCAATATTTATAACATGCCATTTTCTTTTCTTATTATATTCGTTAGGATTCTTTTTTTCCCTCCAAAGCCAAATGCTTTAGAAATATTTGCTAGAATTCTAAGGCAATGTGTTATAATAGTGTTGCCATCATCCCTGTCTAGTTCCTGATTTAAAAAAATGTTTTGCATATCTGGTGTACCTGAACTTATTATTATATCGTTTATGTATAGTTTATATCTGTTTCTTTTTTCTTTTCTTTTTTTTGGAGACAGAGTCTTGCTTTGTCACCTAGGAGTGCAGTGGTGTGATCTCAGCTCACTGCAACCTCCACCTCCTGGGTTCAAGTAATTCTCGTGCCTCAGCCACCCAAGTAGCTAGGACTATAGGCATGCACCACCACGCTCGGCTAATTTTGTATTTTTGGTAGAGATGGGCTTTCACCATGTTGGCCAGGCTTGTCTTGAACTCCTGGTCTCAAGTGATCTGCCCACCTTGGCCTCTCAAAATGGTGGGATTACAGGTGTGAGCCACAGTGCCTGGCCATGTCTGTTTCATAAATTGTCTGTTTCTATGTTAGACAGTGGCCCTGTTTATTTTGCTCAATGCCTATCACCTTAAATCCTACCTTTTCTCATGTCATGTACTCCTGTTCTCTTCTAGTTTGTGCTGGCCTGATCTCTCTGCCCACTCCTTTATTTTTCAGCCTTTTCTGTTTGTGTGGTCTCAAATATCCTATAAATAGCATGTGGCTGGGTTTTGTCTCTCTAATCCAGTCTCTATGCCTTTAAAGGGAGTTCAGGATTTATTTACTGTGATAAAGATGTTTAGTTTTGCTCATTCCATAAATTCCTTTTTTTTTTTTAAAGACACAGGATCTCGCTATGTTGCCCAGGCTGGACTTCAGGTCCTGGGCTCAAGTGATCCTCCTGCCTCAGCCTCCAGAGTAGCTGGGATTAAAGGTGACAGCCATAGTGCCCAGCCCCATAATTTAGGTTTATTATTATTATTATTATTATTGTTATTATTTTGAGATGGAGTCTCGCTCTGTTGCCCAGGCTGGAGTGCAGTGGCACGATCTCAGCTCACTGCAAGCTCTGCCTCCCAGGTTCACACCATTCTCCTGCCTCAGCCTCCTGAATAGCTGGGACTACAGGCGCCCGCCACCACGCCCAGCTAATTTTTTTGTATTTTTTTAGTAGAGACCGGGTTTCACCGTGTTAGCCAGGATGGTCTCGATCTCCTGACCTCGTGATCCGACCGCCTCGGCCTCCCAAAGTGTTGGGCTCACAGGCGTGTGCAACCACACCTGGCCTAGGTTTATTATTTTTTACTTTGTAGTTTTATATTTTTATTTAGTTGACCTATATGAAACTACTGTTTTTGTAGGTTTAAACAGTTAAATATTAGCAGTTTCACAGGGTCAACCTAATATTTTCCTCTTTCTCTTTGCTGTCTTTGATTAAACTGTCATTCATTTAATGTTTCCCCTTGGTAATTTGGACATTCTACTATTTTTTCCTCATTCCATTTATGGTTATTGTTCCTCTCCAGGCATGACAACTGTCCTTTAGCTGGGTCTAGGTGGGCAGATAGTGCACCTGTGTTACGGGTAAGAGTTTGAGGCCAGCTGGCCCTTCTTCCTTGGTATGTAATTTGTTTTATCTATCTAGAAGCTTGTATAATGGTCTCTTTCTCCTTGGAGTTTAAGAATTTTACTGTAGTCTTTCTCTTTCATCCTGCTTGGGAATGTGGCCAACCCCTCCCATCTACACACAGCTTTTTCTTTTTTCTTTTCTCTTTCTTTTTTTTTTTTGAGAGGGAGTCTTGCTCTGTCACCCAGGCTGTAGTGCAGTAGCGTGATCTTGGCTCACTGCAACCTCTATCTCCTGGGTTCAAGTGATTCTCCTGTCTCAGCTTCCGGAATAGCTGGGACTACAGGTGCACTGAGACTACACCACGCTACACCTGGGACTACAGGTGTAGCTGGGACTACACCACGCCCGGCTGATTTTTGTATTTTTTAGTAGAGACAGGGTTTCATCATGGTGGCCGGGCTGGTTTCAAACTCCTAACCTCAAGTGATCTGCCTGCCTCAGCCTCCCAAAGTGCTGGGATTACAAGTGTGAGCCACTGCACCCGGCTGACACAGAGTTTTCTTCATGTCATGAAAGTTTTCTTCTGTAGTTTGACTAGCTGGTGCCTCCATTTCAGCTGTCCCTTTTTCTCCTTTTAGGACTCCTGCTGTCTGCACATCAGAATTCTTGGACTTGCCCCCCAGATCTGTGGTCTATTCCTTCATCGTTTTCAGCTCTGTGCATCTTTCCCTTAAGTTCTGAGCTATTTCTTCCATTAGACCCAAGTGGCTTTTTCATATTCCCTCAAAATATCAAACTTCTTCTTTCCTCGGGGTCTTTGTACTTGCTGTGCTTTTGTCAGAAATGGCTTCCTCTAGATCTTTCCATGCTCAGCCAGTGCCTTTGGGCTGATCTTAGCTCAGATGTTCCCTTCTCAGATCTACCTCTCCTGCTGCCTTAGACATAAACACCATACTCTGCACTTTTGCTTGGTTCCTTTTCTCCATTGTAGTCACTCTGCCTATAATTATGTTATTTGTTCTTTTACTGTCTGTTGCCTCTCACCCACCTCCGGACAAATAAATCATTTGAATTCTTGCTGTGTTTATTCACGCTGCATCCCTGGTGTCTAATCTAAGTCAGACCTTGATAAGCACTTGTGAAAGGAATGGAAGAGTGAATTAATGCTAGGGCGGCCCCAAGGTGGTAACTGCTATGAAGCGGCCGGGTACGGTGCCTAATGCCTGTTATCCCAGCACTTTGGGAGGTCAAGGAGTGTGTATCACTTGAGGCCAAGAGTTTGAGACCAGCCTGGCCTGGATAACATGGTGAAACCCCGTCTCTATTGAAGAATAGAAAAATTAGCCGGGTGTGGTGGCACACGCCTGTAATCCCAGCTACTTGGGAGGCTGAGGCATGAGAATCGCTTCAACCCTGGAAGCGGAGGTTGCAATGTCATAGCACTGCAGCCTGGGTGACAGAGCAAGATTATGTCTCAAAAAAAAAAAATTCTGAGAAGGTGGTAACTGCTATGGAAACATATAGAGCCAGGATGAGGGGATAAAGGTGGTACTGAGTGCTGGGGGCAGAGTGGGGCAGGTTACAGTCTGAAATGAGGGGCTCTGAGAGCTGGGGTGCAGCTCTTTGGAAATCTGTGCAATCCAGGCATGGGAACAACCATAACTCATACACTGTGCAGGAGAGTGCATGGGGTGTGATGTGTGAGGAACACTGGGAGATTGAGCAGCAAGGCCAAAAGCTGGCCGGGGAGATACAGTCGGGGGGGTGATAGGGAATTATGAAGGTCCTGATGTCTCTGGTTTTCCCTTGGGGAGGAAGTACTCCAGGGTTCTGAGCAGGGAATGGGAGGATCTGACTCATGTATTCACAGGCTGATGTGTGCAGAACAGACTGAAGGCATCAGGGGCAGCAAGAGGAGACCAGGAGGCAGCTGTGACATTGCACTCAAGAGAAATGGTGGCAGTTTGGACTCAGTGAAAGGTATGGAGGTGGCAAGAAGTGATTTCATTCTGGGTAGATGATGCTGATGGAGACAGCAGACCTTCCTGGTGCACTGAATATAGATGGGAAAGAGAGTAGTCAAGGGGTACTTTGAGGTGTTTGACTTGAGCAATAAGAAGGGCTGAGATGCTATCACTCAATTTGGGGAAAGTGGGGTGAAGTAGGTTTGGCGGATGAGCCAGTGTTAGGGTAGCACAAGTTGCGTTTGAGATGCCAGCAACTGGAAGTCAGAGTGCAGATGTCTAGTTGACAGTGGGACTAGTGAATCTGCCACTCAGGAAGGGTCTGGACTGGACAAACACTTTTAGGAGTGATTGACATGTAGGTGGCATTTGAAGTCATGAGCCTGGATAAGATTTTGGAAGAGTGAGTGTAGACAAAGAGAAAACACACAGATGAGAAACTGGTGAGACTGGAGGAAACCAGGAGGACATGGAGCCCTGGAAACCACATGCTAAGGTGAGAGGAGCTGCTCACAGAAGTCTCTCCTATCCACTGTTATAAGGTCAGGGATATTTATTTATTTTCCTTTTTTGTTCACTGCTGTATTTCCAATACCGAGTGTAAGTGCTTAATAAATACTTGTTGAATTAAAAAGTGTATGAGTGAATTTACACCTTTGCAAATGCCCAGTACACAGGGCTGCAACATTGTTCTCCTTTACAGAAAGAGCAGAGATCAGGTAGGAGGCTCTGCCCATTCTCAGTGGCACTAACCCTCTCCTTTGCCTTTCACAGCTATGCTGACATTCACTCAGGTGAGAGCCCTTCTGTCCAACACAGGCCCAAGACAAATGAGCCTCAGACAAGCCCTGTGGTGTGGTGCTTGGTGGGAGCTGGGTTGGGCACTGGGTCATCCACCAGTCCCCAGAAAACTCTATGGCCACTTCTCTGTCCACCCTTCCATATCTAATAATCTGTCTGTCTGTATCTATAACCATTTCTTTGTCCACCGTCTACAGGCACTCTTTTGTCCCTCTTTCCGTCTATTCACATCCAGTCTTCTGTCCATCTGCTAGAGTGACCAACTTCCCAGTTTGTAGTGGACTGTCTCTGTGTTAGCATTGAAATTCCTGCATCCTGCGAAATCGCTCACTACTGAACAAACCAAGACTGTTGGTCAATCCATCTGTTTCCCAGGTATCCTGCTGTCCATCGGCCCGCAGCTAGTCTATCCACCCAACCGCCCGTCAGACCTCCGGCCCACCCTCCCAGACGGAGGACAATGCTCCGCCCTCTCTGGCCCCGCCCCCAGTCACCGCCTTTTCCGGAAGCTGCTGCAGCGAATCCTGGCACCCTAGCAACAGCGCCTTTCAGGCTGTCCAGTCCGCGTGCGCAGCTCCTAGGACGAGCCAATAGTGAGGGGCACCGGGAGCGAGGTGCAGGGGGCGGGGCTCGGCCTGGCCGCAGCCATTTTGGTGCGAGAGAAACAATAGGACGGAAACGCCGAGGAACCCGGCTGAGGCGGCAGGTAAAGCTCGCGTCCTATGGCCCTAGTGCCCGAGGAGCTTTGAGGGAGATTTTTTCAGGCTACTGGGAAACGGGATCTCTGATCATTGGAGTCTCCCAGGTTATTTGGGAAAGACTTCTTCCGTGGTCATTGTGGGGGAAATCTCCCGGGGTCCCTGTGGATTCGATTTCCCTGGGTCATTTGGGAGGAGGGTTTTTCTTCTGATCATTGGGGGAGGGATTTCCGTGGTTTTGGGGGTCCAGCATCCTCCCCGGTCATTGGAGGGGGTCTCCCGGGTTTGGGGGAGGGCAGGATCTTTCCTGGTCATTGAGATCTCCCCGGGTCTTGGGAAGCGCAAGATCTACGGTGTCATTGAGGGGTCTCCCCAGGTCATTGGCGGCCACGATCTCCCCAGATATTTGGCGGGTGGAGGGGTCTTCCCGGATCTTTGGATAGGGAGTCAGCTCAGCGCCTCAGGTACTGTTACCTGGGGTCGGCAGATGTGCAGCCATTTTGAGTGTTGAATGCCATTTGGGCCCGTCAGATGGTGTTCGATGAGGGAATCTACACACTTAACCTTATTATAGAAAAAATGCCTTTAAATGGATAAGAGGACACCTTTATAGTGATATTTCCACTCTTTACGTTTGATTACAGACCGCTTTTGTCTTTTGCATCCTAATGGCTTATTTCATTTTAGGATTGTATTCGTTCTCATATATCAACTAAGCTACACTAGCAGAAAAGTGAGTGAAAATAAAATGTAGAAACCAGTAAAATCCAGTGCTCTTAAATACCAGGGAAAACAGAACTAGTCACTGCTTGGAATTAAACATTTCCGTAGCAGAATGTACACAGAACAAAAAATCATCTTGAATAGTTTTAAGAAAAAGTACTGGCACTTTGGAACGTGGTAACAAAAATGTTGTAGATCATCGGTTCTATGATATTTTTAATAGAGGACCATGATTACAGTAATTTTGTTGAATTCTAGTGTTTAAAATGTTTGCTGTATTTGCAGTTGTAGCCAGGTAATATTTTAAGTGAACTAAGATGCTTATTTATATAGGTTGTTGCTGTGGGGTTTGTATAATTGCATCGTGTAACTTGGGTGTTAAGTATTTAAAGAGAAGCTTCAGGGTGTTGTTTTAACTTTAGCCACTATCAGAGTTAGAAAGGGCCAAATGAATACTTTATCACATTTGACATAATAGGCAAATTGATGGCCTAGTAACTTTTTTTTTTTTTGAGAAAAAGTTAAACTGTTAACTGTCATTTAAAATTTTTTTTCTATTTTCTGTGGTCTTGTCTGACATTGTCATTTCGATAGATTTACCTGCTTTGTGACTTTAGAATTCACAGGCATTGTTAGAAATCAAATGGAGAATCACTTGAGCCCAGCAGTTCAAGATCAACCTGGGCAACATAGCAACACCCTGTCTCTACAAAAAAAAAAAAAAAAAGAGAGAGAGAGAAAGAAATGAAATGGATAAGAACACTGACTAGAGTTAATACAATTGTAGAAACTAGCTTTTTGTTTGTTTGGTTTGTTTTTTATGCAGGGCCTGGGTAGGGAGGGAGCAAGGCAGGGACCTGGGAGATCTAGAAATCAGTGTAACAGATATAATAGATTTCTTTTGTGTTTCAAAGCTTCCTAGGTGACAGACAGGTACACTGTATGCTAGCCCTGTATCTGTCTGAGCAGTGGAATGTGCCAGGAAAGAAGGAGCAACCACTGACTGATGAACCTTTGCCAGTCTCCCTTCCAAGAGGGATGCCAGAGCCTTCTGTAAGCTCCTGAGATGTCACTGGTATCTAGGCAACAGGGATGAGCCTGAACCTCCCTGAGGCCAGCTTACTGAGGTGAAAATTTTCCATTGTTTGGCTCATAAAGAGGATGCACTGGGGAAGAATTTTCCCTTTAAGTGAAGTTATTTCACCTAGTGGGATAATCTTGGGTAACAAATTGAACACACTCTTATACATTAGAAAGTAAGCAGATGATTATTCTCATGTTATTACATTTTAAAGCATGTTTTTGTTTTTTTAAATTATGTTTTTGCCTATTTGTGTACCATATAATAAAAGTAATAAGAAGTAGTTGTGTTTTACAGTATATTCTGGTGGCAAGGAAATGTCCTTCTCTCCAAAAATTGAGTTTAGAGCCCACTTCAGGATTTGGAGAAGTCAATTTGCCGAGATGATGCACAGTTGATTTGGGTCTGTCATCCATAACCAGCTTCAGTAGTTACTAATTCCTGGCCAATCTTGTTTCATCTACACTGTGCCTATCCCCATCACTGCCCTACTTTTTTTTTTTTTTTTTTTTTGAGACGGAGTCTCTCTCTGTCGCCCAGGCTGAAGTGCAGTGGTGCGATCTCGGCTCACTGCAAGCTCCGCCTTCCGGGTTCACGCCATTCTCCTGCCTCAGCCTGCCTCAGCCTCCGCGCCTGGCCTGCCCTACCTTTTAAAGAAAGAAAGGGCCAGGGCCAGGCTTGGTGGCTCATGCATGTAATCCCAGCACTTTGGGAGGCCAAGGCGGTTGGATCATGAGGTCAGGAGTTCAAGACCAGCCTGGCCAACCTGGTGAAACCCCGTCTCTACTAAAAATACAAAAACTAGCCAGCCTCTGTGGCAGGTGCCTGGAATCCCAGCTACTCAGGAGGCTGAAGCAAGAGAATCGTTTGAACCCAGGGGGTGGAGATTGCAGTGAGCCAAAATCACACCACTGCACTCCCGCCTGGGCGACAGAGTGAGACTCCATCTCAAAAAAACACACACACACACACACAAAAAAAAGGAAAAAGAAAGGGCCGAGCGTGGTGGCTCACGCCAGTAACACCAACGCTTCGGGAGGCCGAGGTGGGCAGATCACTTGAGGTCAGGAGTTTGAGACCAGTCTGGCCAACATGGTGAAACCCTGTCTCTACTAAAAATACAAAAATTAGCTGGGTGTGGTGGCAGGATCCTCTGTCTCAAAAAAACAAAACTAAACAAATTTCTGGGATATGCTCCCTTTAAGATTCAGGGGTTTTTTGTTTTGTTTTGTTTTGTTTTTAATGAGACGGAGTCTCGCTCTGTCACCCAGGCTGGAGTGCAGTGGCCAGATCTCAGCTCACTACAACCTTCGCCTCTCAGGTTCAACCGATTCTCCTGCCTCAGCCTCCCTAGTAGCTGGGACTACAGGCATGTGCCACCGCACCTGGCTAATTTTTGTATTTTTAGTAGAGACGGGGTTTCACCATGTTGGCCAGGCTGGCCTCGAACTCCTGACCTTAGGTGATCCACCCACCTCGGCCTCCCAAAGTGTTGGGATTACAGGCGTGAGCCACTGCACCGCACCTGGCCTTTTTCTTTCTTTTTTGTATTACTATTTTTTTTTTTTTTTTGAAAAAATGTCACTCTGTCACCCAGGCTGGAGTGCAGTGGTGTGATCTCGGCTCACTGCAACCTCAGCCTCCCGAGTAGCTGGGATTACAGGCGCGTGGCACCACGCCCGGCTAATTAATGTTGTTTGCTTTCTCTATGTATCCACCTATCTTACTTGAGACACTCCTATGTGTTTTCGAAATTGAGTGTCTAATCCCAAACCTAAGGAAGAGTAAAACTTCTTTTAATGGAATAAAACATGTTAGTTACCAAGAAGCAGACATCTGGCTCTAGTGTTGCTTTTGCACTTAGTTTGTGAGAATGTGCCCAGTTGGAACCTGGGCTAGATCTCCTAAGTCTGGGTTTGTGGAAGGCTGCCACGTTGCCTGCTCTGGCCCTGGGGTGCTGTGGCCCAAGTTCCCCAGGCCATATTACTCTACCTTAAAACCCTACCTGTTAGAAGAGCCCACCTGTTATGGCTCCTTGCCTTGAACCTTGTCTTGCTCTTTTAGTTGGGGCTGCTTCGGGGCCAACAGGCCTTCGTAACTGAAGCTGCACACTCAAATGAGATGCCCCATGGGCCGTGTGAGCTTGTCTCAGCTTTCATGGGGATTGCAAAAATCTCGCATCCCCCTTCAGTATTTGTTTTATAAGAATAGTAGGTTATTTTTGCTTTGCAAGTATGAAACTAACATTGGATATGGCTTTTTGGTATAACTACTCACCTGCCCATTCAGATTTTTATGTGCCCTAGTGTCTTAGATTTATATATTTATTATTATTATTGTTGTTTTTGGAGACGGAGTCTCACTCTGTTGCCCAGGTTGGAGTGCAGTGGCGCGATCTCGGCTCATTGCAACCTCTGCCTCCTGGGTTTAAGCGATTGTCTTGCCTCAGCCTCCTAAGTAGCTGGGCCTACAGGCATCTGCCACCACGCCTGGGTAATTGTATTTTTGTAGTGATGGGTTTTCACCATGTTGTCCAGGCTGGTCTCGAACTCCTGACCTCAAGTGATCCGCCCACTCTGGCCTTCCAAAGTGCTGGGATTACAGGTGTGAGCCACTGCGCCCGGCCTGCACATACAAATTTTAAATAAAGACAGTCTCACTCAGTTGCCCAGGCTGGAAGGCAGTGCAGCGATCATAGCTCGCTATGGCCTCAACCTCTTGGGGCCATAAGTGATCCTCTTGCCTCAGGCTCCCAAGCAGTTGGGGCTACAGGCACATGTCACTGGGCGCAGCTCATTTTAAAAATTTTATTGTAGGCCGGGCATGGTGGCTCATGCCTGTAATCCCAGCACTTTGGGAGGTGAAGGCAGGCGGATCATGAGGTCAGGAGATTGAGACCATCCTGGCTAACACGGTGAAACCCTGTCTCTACTAAAAAAAAATACAAAAAATTAGCCGGGTGTGGTGGTGGGTGCCTGTAGTCCCAGCTACTCGGGAGGCTGAGGCAGGAGAATGGTGTGAACCTGGGAAGCGGAGCTTGCAGTGAGCCGAGATCGCGCCACTGCACTCTAGCCTGGGAGACAGAGCAAGACTCTGTCTCAAAAAAAAAAAAAAAAAATTTTTTTTTTGTAGAGACAGGGTCTCGCTTTTTTTTACCCAGGCTGGTCTTGAACTCCTGGCATTAAGCAATCCTCCTGCTTCAGCATCCACAAGCGCCAGGATTACAGGTGTGAGCCACTGCATTTGGCAAAGATCCCTTTTCTACATGGTATTGCTGAGGCTGCAGCCACATTTGTTTGGGGATTAACCTAACTCCAAGCCTGCCCACTTTCACTCTGATGCCCATTTGTTTAGATGTGCTTTAAACTTGGTGTCTGTGGACTGTGCCATGGTTCCTTCCTCCTCATCAGCAGGGGGTGGTGGTAAGTTCAGTTTGCGTGCTTTTATGGGGTGCCCTGTGGAGTTATATGCTTGGCTCTGGTGCTGAAGAGTCATCATATTTCTTGAGAACTTGCCTAGTTACTCAAGGAAGAAAGAGGAGGGCTGATTGTAGTATACTTGACCGAGGAATGTATGTTTTTATGAGCTTGAACAACCTGACAAGAAAAACAATAACAAATAACTTGTTAAACCATCTTTTTGCACGTTGCTGAGATTATGATCTTCCTAAATTAGTTAATTCTTATTAAACATTTTCAATTTTTCATCTATTATGAATGGAAGTTTTACCTGTAAGGCAGTAAAAGGTGTCATTCCTTGAACAGTATCTGTTCTTCCAGGCAAGTGCCTCTAAAGGAGAGAGAGCCCAGTTGATTACAAACCCACTACTGAAGGGCTTGGGTTTTTCTTGCTTTGTGTTTGTATCTGAGCATGAGGATAAAAGTGTCTGTCTCTTCCTCAGGTCTTTGGGCTGCCTCTGCCCTTCGTAGATTCTCTGCTGGGCCTTTGGAACTAACACAGCAACTTCCAGGGTCTCATGTTGAAGACTTTATGGGTTAGTCAGAATGCTGCATTTACACTGGGAAGGCCAGAGGAGGACTGTAAATCCAGGATACAAGGTCCTGGGGGATTTGGGAGGGTAGAATTTACAGGGGTGCCAGTTGGCAGCTGACAGGTTTAGATTCTGGGGCTTAAAAACTAATAGATGTGTGGCCTGGTTCAGTGGTTCATGCCCGTAATCCTGGCACTTCAGGAGGCTGAGGTAGGCGGATCATTTAATCCCAGGAGTTCGACACCAGCCTGGGCAACGTGGCGAAACCTTGTCTCTACTAAAAATAACAAAAAATTAGCTCGACATGGTGGCATGTGCCTGTAGTCCCAGCTACTTGGGAGGCTGAGATGGGAGAATTACTTGAACCCAGGAAGGCAAGGCTGCAGTGAGCTGTGATTACACCAACTGCGCTTCAGCCTGGGAGACGTGAGTGAGACCCTGTGTTAAAAAAACAAAAACAAGGCCAGATGCGGTGGCTCACGCCTGTAATCCCAGCACTTTGGGCGGCCGAGGCGGATGGATCACGAGGTCAGGAGATCGAGACCATCCTGGCTAACACGGTGAAACCCTGTCTCTACTAAAAATACAAAAAATTAGCCGGGCGTGGTGGTGGCCACCTGTAGTCCCAGCTGCTCGGAAGGCTGAGGCAAGAGAATGGCGTGAACCCGGGAGGCAGAGCTTGCAGTGAGCCGAGATCCCGCCACTGCACTCCAGCCTGGGCGACAGAGTGAGACTCCGTCTCAAAAAAAAAACTAAACTAATGAACATGAACAGCAGGACTGGGGCAGGTGAGGCCTGGGAAAGGTAAGGGACAGGACCCCTAGGATGATTTATCTCACGCTCAAAGACCGTTTTTACTTTGGAAAATAACTTAAGCTCCTTGTAATGAGCGAGAGAAGAGTAAGATGTTAAAACTGGAAGTACCTTGTTGACCTTCACTGCTGGTCCTGAAATGCAATCTTATTTTTACTTTTTTTAGAGACAGGGTCTCACTCTGTCACCCAGGCTAGAGTGCAGTGGCACAATCTCATAGCTCACAGTAACCTCAACCTTCTGGGCTAAAGTGATCCTCCTGCCTCAGCCTTCTGAGTAGCTAGGACTACAGGCGCATGCCACCAAGCCTGGCTAATTTTTAAAACATTTTTTGTGAAGACAGGGTCTCACTGTGTTGCCCAGGCTGGTCTCAAACTTCTGAGCTCTAGCAATCCTCCCGCCTCAGCTTCCCAAACTGCTGAGATTATAGGTGTGAGCCTCCGTGCCTGGCCTCAAATGCGTGCGATCTTGATTGACTGAATCCACTGCTTTCCTCACAAACTGGGTGATTCTGAAGAGATCAGTGTGACCTTTGCTTTGGAACTGTGAATGCAATTGAACTTGATTTCTGTAACAAAAATTTTAAAATATTTTTCTGGATCTTATTTTGGAGAGCTAACTCAGGACTTCTGAAGCATAATTGGCAGGTGTCTCTTTATTAGGACATAGTGCTGTGACTGGTGCAGTCTTTTTTTTTTAATTAATTAATTTTTTTTTTTTGAGATGGAGTCTCGCTCTCTTGCCCAGGCTGGAGTGCAGTGGTGCGATCTCGGCTCACTGCAAGCTCCGCCTCCTAGGTTCAAGTGATTCTCCTGCCTCAGCCTCCCCAGTAGCTGAGACTACAGGCACCTGCCACCACGCCCGGCTAATTTTTTTATTTTTAGTAGAGACGGGGTTTCACCATGTTAGCCAGGATGGTCTCGATCTCCTGACCTCGTGATCTGCCTGCCTTGGCCTCCCAAAGTGCTGGGATTACAGGCGTGAGCCACCGCGCCCAGCCTGACTGGTGTAGTCTTAAGACTTTTCTCAGAATCGTATCTCATTTTTTTCTGGGCTGGTCTGGAAGAACACTGACTGCACTCAGGCCAAGTGGGTTGGGTGATACAAGCTGCCAGATTGCTGCCACGAACCTGGAGTAGTTTGCAGACCCTTGCGAGGAGTATTTGTCTAAGCGAGATGTTGAAAGGACCCAGAGGAAATTGTCAGAGTTCCCTTGGTCGCAGGAACTAGTGCTGCATAGGGTACACTTTTGTTCCTGCTCCAGCAAATGCAGCACTCAGGTGCTTGCCTGGGCAGGTCCGGGATGCCCTGCCTCTGTGGCTGCCCATTGGGACTGAATCACTGTTGGCATCCCTTATTTCAGAGGATGAATTCATGTGTCATTTGGGTTTGGCAGTGAGCTAAGAGCTAAATGGGGTAAACATTGCCCACTGGCAGGAAACATATAATCTTGTCTGAAGCTAATGGACCGTTACTTTTTTGGTTGTTTGAGACAGTGTCTCGCTCTGTCACCGGGCTGGAGTATGGTGGTACAATCTCTGCTCACTATAACCTTGAGCTTTGCAGCCTCAAGTGATCCCTCCACCTCTGCCTCCCGAGTAGCTGGGACAACAGGCATGTACCACCACACCTGGCTGGTTATTTTTTGTAGAGACAAGGTCTCACTATTTTGCCAGGATTGTTCTCAAACTCCTGGGCTCAAACAGTCATCCTGCCTTGGCCTCCAAAGTGCTAGGATTACACGTGTGTGAGCCACCACACGGGCCCTATGGAACCATTACTTATTGGCATATGAAAGAACCATGACTCAAGGATTGCAAAAATCCCTCATAGATTGAGACCTGTAAGCAATTTTGGCTTTAGTCTGAGAGAGTTGCTTCTCTGTGTTCCTGTTGAGTTAGTTTCTTACAATGTGGTGGGAGACTGGAGACTGAGAATTGTTCTTGAAAAAGGGGTAACTGGCTTTTACAACAGAACTGAAAATTCCTGGTATGTGTATAGAATACATTCAGCTATTTGTAAGAAAATTTGGCCAGTTGACTCATGCCTTGTAATCCTAGCACTTGGAGAGACTAAGGCGGAAGGATCACTTGAGGCCAGGAGTTTGAGGCCAGCCTGGGCAACATAGTGAGCCCCCATCTCAAAATAAAGTTTGATATATTGATAAAGGGGACATATGAGACCTTAGAATCAATCATTGTTTTAGCGAGAAGCTTTTAAAATTGCTTAAATTCTTTATAATTCTAGCAGGTTATTCTGATAAACATATTTCTTTTTTATTATTTATTTATGTATTATTATTATTATTTTTTGAGACAGGGTCTCGCTCTGTCACCCAGGCTGGAGTACAGTCATGTGATCACGGCTCACTGCAGCCTTGACCTCCCAGGCTCCAGTGACCCTTCCATCTCAGCCTCCCAAGTAGCTGGGACCACAGGTATGCGCCATTGCACCTGGCTATTTTTTTTTAATTTTTATTTGGTAGAGACAGGGTGTCCCCATCTTGCCCAGGCTGGTGATACACATATTTCTCGGTAGACTGAAAGTTCCTTCTTCCTGTTCCCTTTACCTTGGAGCCCTCTAGTCTGTCATTCCAGAAACCTGGTCAGACGAGGCAGAGAGATAGGGCAGCTAGTTGTGCTGGTGGTTCTAGAAAGGAGAAGCAGCTGAGAGGCTACTGTGTCCCTTATGGAAAACCTGAGATTTGTCCAGATTTTTGGAACAATCTGCTGTTTTGGGGGAAGAAGCTACATTATTGTATGACTTTCATGTAATCACTCCAGTTAAAATCTGTGGTTTCTTCATTAAAACCAGAATGAGCCTGGGTGCAGTGGCTCACACCTGTAATCCCAGCACTTTGGGAGGCCAAGGGGGGCGGATCACCTGAGGCTGGGAGTTTGAGACCAGCCTGTCCAACATGGAAAAACGCTGTCTTTACTAAAAAATATATAAAAATTAGCCGGGCGTGGTGGCGCATGCCTGTAATCCCAGCTACTTGGAAGTCTGAGGCAGGAGAATCCCTTGAACCTGGGAGGCAGAGGTTGTGGTGAGCCGAGATCAGGCCATTGCACTCCAGCCTGGGCAACAAGAGCGAAACTCCATCTCAAAAGATAAAATAAAACCAGAATGAGATGCTATTGAGGGCTCTGACCTTCTAGCACCTTGTATACATCTTAAGGACAGTGCGTGTTGTGGTGTTGTGGTTGTTATTCTCACTTGGAGTGAAGCTCTGAGTACGAAGGGTGGGCCGGATCAGTGTTTGTTTCTAGGTGGATTTAAAACCATCAAGAGCCAGGCAGCCATCTGTGTTTTCCTGTTTCAATCTTGAATCCTCCTCTTCCCCCAGTATTTTCTCTCTCAGTTATAAAGGTAATGTGTGCTCAGAGTTGGAGGATATTATAAGTTTGAAACATTCAGAAAACTGAAAAGCGGGCAATCATGATCTTACCACCTAGTATAGGGCAGGTTTTGTGGTGTCTGAAGCTTATATAAAATAATATAAATATATGTAACATAAATACATAATTTGTAATTATACATGTAATTATAAATGCCATCTTTAAACAAAATAATGTACAATTATGATAACAAAATTAGGTAAGAAAGTGAATGTTTGTTTAGATTGAAAAAAATCACAAAAAGTTACACATTTAAAAATGCAGAAGAAAGTTCTATAGTACTTACCTCCCTACATTTTGGGGCAGCATTTTGACCACCGCTTTCTTTCTTTTTTATTTTTTTGGGGACAGGGTCTCATTTTGTCACCCAGGTTCACTGCAGCCTCAGCCTCCCAGGTTCAAGCTATTCTCCTGCTTCAGCCCCCCAAGTAGCTGGGACTATGGGCCCGTGCCACTACGCCCAGCTAGTTTTTGTATTTTTAGTGGAGATGGGGTTTTGCCATGTTGCTCAGGCTGGTCTTGAACTCTTGAGCTTAAGTGATCTGCCTCCCAAAGTGCTACTTTTACAAGCCTGAGCCACCGCACCTGGCCTGACCACCTCTTTCTATAATAGCAATATTACAACTGTCTGTAGAGAGAACAGAAGGGTCGCCATAGTCACTCCTCAAGGGTAATTGATCCTATCTTTTATTTCTTTATTTGGTTGTTTGACATAGGATCTCACTCAGTCATGCAGGCTGAAGCTCAGTGGTATGATTAGAGATCACTGCAGCCTCAGACTCCTGGGCTCAAGAGATCCTCCTGCCTCAGCCTCCTGAGTAGCTAGGGCTACAGATGTGCACTACCACAACTTGCTAATTTTTTTGTAGAGATAGGGTCTTGCTGTGTTGCCGAGGCTGGTCTTGAACTTTTGGCCTCAAGTGATCCTACTGTCTTGGCCTCTTTTTTTTTGAGATGGAGTTTCACTCTTGTAGCTCAGGCTGGAGTGCAATGGCGTAGTCTCGGCTCACTGCAACCTCCGCCTCCCGGGTTCAAGTGATTCTCCTGCCTCAGCCTCCAGAGTAGCTTGGAATATAGGCGCCCACCACCATGCACGGCTAATTTTTTGTATTTTTAGTAGAGACAGGGTTTCACCATGTTGGGCAGTGTGGTCTCAAACTCCTGACTTCAGGTGATCCACCTGCCTTGGCCTCCCAAAGTGCTGGGATTACAGGCGTGAGCCACTATGCCTGTCCTTCTGTTTTTTTTTATTTTATTTTATTTTATTATTTTTTATTTTTTTATTTTTTTTATTTTTTATTTTTTATTTTTATTTTTTGGTAGAGAGGGGTTTTTGCCATGTTGCCTAGGCTGGTCTCGAACTCCTGGGCTCAATCGATCCACCTACCTCAGCCTCTCAAAATGTTGGGATAACAGGCGTGAGCCACCACGCTTGGCCAAGCTGTAGTATATCCTTGAATAATTCTTTTAGAGAAGGCTTGTGAATAGCCTTTTTTTTTTTTTTAATAGACAGTGTCCTGCTCTGTCATCCAGGCTGGAGTGCAGTGGCATGATCATACCTCACAGAATTCTGGAACTCCTGCACTCCAGTGATCCTCCCACCTCAGTCTCCCCACCATGCCTGACTAATTAAAAAATTATTTAGAGACTGGCTGTCACTGTGCAGCTTGCCCAGTCTGGTCTCGATCTCTTGACCTCGTGATCCGCCCGCCTCGGCCTCCCAAAGTGCTGGGATTACAGATGTGAGCCACCGCGCCCGGCCCCATCTTCCTTCTTATAACTTAAAAGTTTATCAAAAGTGAGGCCTGGTGCAGTGGCTCATGCCTGTAATCCCAGCACTTTGGGAGGCTGACGCGGGCAGATCACTTGAGGCCAGTAGTTTGAGACCATCTTGACCAACACACTGAACCCAGTCTCTACTGGGTGGGGTGATTCACGCCTGTAATCCCAGCACTTTGGGAGGCTGAGGCAGCGGATCACGAGGTCAAGAGATTGAGACCATCCTGGCTAACACGGTGAAACCGCATCTCTACTAAAAAAATACAAAAAATTAGCCGGGTGTGGTGGCAGACGCCTGTAGACCCAGCTACTCGGGAGGCTGAGGCAGGAGAATGGCGTGAACCTGGGAGGCGGAGCTTGCAGTGAGCTGAGAATGCGCCACTGCACTCCAGCCTGGGCGACAGAGTGAGACTCCGTCTCAAAAAAAAAAATTAGAAAAATTAGCCGGGCACAGTGGCGCGTGCTTGTAATCTCAGCTACTCGGGAGGCTGAGGCATGAGAATCACTTGAACCTGGGAGGCAGAGGTTGCCGTGAGGTGAGATCATGCACTCTAGCCTGGGCAACAGAGCAAGACTCTCAGAGAAAAAAAAAAAGTGTATCATAAACGGCCCGGTGCGGTGGCACACGCCTCTAATCCCAGCACTTTGGGAGGCCAAGGCAGGAGGATCACTTGAACTCAAGAGTTCAAGACCAGCCTGAGCAACATAGCAAAACCCCGTCTCTACACAGAAATACAAAAATTAGCCAGATATGGTGGCGTGTGCCTATAGCTGTCCCAGCAACTTGGGAAGCTGAGGTGGGAGGATCACTTGAGCCTGGGTGGACAAGGCTGTGGTGAGCTGAGATTACGCCACTGCACTGCAGCCTTAACAATGGAGACCCTGTCTCAAAAAAAAAAAAAAGTGTATCATAAGCATTTTCTCCTGGTTAAAAAATATAAAATTGGTAAGAAAGCTCTTCATGCTATCCTAATAGTCCGTCATACAATTGAATGAAAAAAATATTTTTGTTTCATTCATCTCCTATTGCTGGATGTGGAGGCGAATGTGTTCATCATCAAGGATGATAGATGTCCTGATTTTATGGAGCAGTGGACTTGATTTTTATGGAGTTTTCCTGAGGTTGATGGTAGTTTGATGCCATGTACCCAGACAGGTCAATTTGGTGTTCCCCACAAGACATCCTTTCAGAGTCAGACATTGACTGTTTCCTTCCTGGCTTTATTTTACTAAAAATGCTTTTTAGTTTTTTATTGTTTGTTTTTTTCTTTTCTTTTCTTTTCTTTTTTGAGATAGAGTCTCACTCTGTTGCCAGGCTAGAGTGCAGTGGCGCAATCTCCGGTCACTGCAGCCTCTGCCTCCTGGGTTCAAGCAATTCTCCTACCTCAGCCTCCCAAGTAGCTGGGATCACAGGCATGTGCCACCATGCCTGGCTAATTTTTGTATTTTTTAGTAGAGACCGGGTTTCACCACGTTGGCTAGGCTGGTCTTGAACTCCTGGCCTCAAGTGATCTGCCCGCCTCTGCCTCCCAAAGTGCTGGGATTACAGGCATGAGCCACTGCTCCTGGCTGATAGTTTTTATTTTAAAAAATATTTTTATATTTATTTCCTCATCTCCATGGTTAGCAAGAGATATTTTTGTTTTGTTTTGTTTTGTTTTTTGAGACAGAGTCTAGCTCTGTGTCCCAGGCTGGAGTGCAGTGGTGCAATCTTGGCTCACTGCAAGCTCTGCTTCCCGGGTTCACGCCATTCTCCTGCCTCAGCCTCCTGAGTTGCTGGGACTATAGGCCCCTGCCACCATGCCTGGCTAATTTTTTTTTTTTTTTTTTTGTATTTTTAGTAGAGATGGGGTTTCACCGTGTTAGCCAGGTTGGTCTTGATCTCCTGACCTCGTGATCCACCCGCCTGGGCCTCCCAAAGTGCTGGGATTACAGGCGTGAGCCACCGTGCCTGGCCGAGATAATTATTTTTTAGTGACGATTTAGCAACCTGAAAACCTTGGGTCTTTGGGATATGACCTCAGTATCAACACAGAATATTTGAATGCTGGTTAATATATTTGTTTTAAACTGTGATAGAATTGAAATCTTGTAGCCACATTTTGAAAGTTTATTCTTCATTAACTAGTCTTTTCTCACCTGATTTTCTACAAGAGAGAATTTTCCAAAAGGTTAGTTGTCGTTACATTAAGAACTTGGGTTTTGTTTGACATGAAATGTTTCTACACCAGCAGGTCTCAGATGAATGTTCAGGCGTGGGTCCTTAATTTATACTCCCCAGTTAATGCAGACTTATAAGGTGGAAAATAATAAATGCAAAGTAAACTAATATTAGCCAGTGCTTGGAATGCATTTTGTAAAGTGTGCAGCAGGCCACATTTTAATAATTGTACTCACCATATGATTGGTGTGGATTTGGATGATGATTGCAGTGGGTGCCTTATGAGTTCTCTGCTGATCTGTATGCGTTAGGTATTCATGACACAGTAGTGATTTGAGGCACATTTTGTGGAGTGCCTACTTTATGCTGGTGCTCTTGTAGATCCTGGAGATTCAGCAGTGAATACTGCAGTCAAAAATCTGACCTTATGGAACTTGTTTTCAAGTGGAAATTGGGTGGGAGGAGACAATTAACAAGACAAGTAAGAAACGTAGAGTATGTCAGACGGTGATAAGTGCTGAGGAGAAAATAAAGCAGGGGTGCCCCAGGGAGTGGCACTCACTTTTAGATAGAGTGGCTGAAGATCCCATTAAAGAGATGACATTTGCTTAGCTAGCTGTGGTGGTGCACGCCTGTAGTCAGAGCTGCTCAGGAGGCTGAGGTGAGAGGATCACTTGAGCCCAGGAGTTTGAGGCTGCAGTGAGCCGTGATTACGCCACTGCACTTTTAGCCTGGGCAACAGAGCAAGACTCTATCTCAAAAAAAAAAAGGGGGGGTGACATTTGCACAAAGGGCTGAAGGAGGTTGAGAGAGTGAGCCAAGGGGGATATCTGGGGGAAGAACATATCAAGCAAAGGGAATAGCAAGTACAAAGGCCCTGAGGTACATGTGTATCAGGCATATTTGAGAAATAAGGAAGCCAGTATAATTGGGCCACATTTGATGTTGATATTTTTTCCTCTATGGATGCTTTATTTTATTTTTTTTTGACATGGAGTCTCGCTCTTTTGCCCAGGCTGGAGTACAGTGGTGCAGTCTTGGTTCACTGCAACCTCTGCCTCCTGGGTTCAAGCAATTCTCCTGCCTCAGCTTCCCAAGTAGCTGGGATTACAGGTGTCCACCACCATGTCCAGCTCATTTTTTAAAAATTTATTTATTTTAGTAGAGGTCAAGGCTGACCTTAGCATGAGTGATTCAAGATACTCAAAGTGAGGCAGATGAGTCCAAATAGAATGGATGCAAAAGGAAATTTCAGCCAATGAGTTTGTATGTAGAAACTATTGGACAATGAGTAGGATTTATTTTTATTTATTTATTTTTTTAGACGAAGTCTCGCTCTGTTGCCCAGGCTGGAGTACAGTAGTGCGATCTCAGCTCACTGCAACCTCCGCCTCCCGTGCTCAAGCGATTCTTGTGCCTCAGCCTCCCAAGCAGGTGGGACTACAGGCGCCTGCCACCACGCCTAGCTAATTTTTTGTATTATTAGTAGAGACGGGGTTTCATCATGTTGGCCAGGCTAGTCTCGAACTCCTGACCTCAAGTGATCACCTGCCTCGGCCTCCCAAAGTGCTGGAATTACAGGTATGAGTCAGCGCACCCAGCAGGATCTTTTTAAGTATAATCTTTTTTTTTTTTTTTTTTTTTTTTTTTTGAGACGGAGTCTTGCTCTTGTCGCCCAGGCTGGAGTGCACTGGCACGATCTCGGCTCACTGTAGCCTCCACCTCCTGGGTTCAAGTGATTCTCCTGCCTCAGCCTCCCGAGTAGCTGGGATTACAGGCGCCTGCCACCACGCCCAGCTACTTTTTGTATTTTTAGTAGAGACAGGGTTTCGCCATGTTGGTCAGGCTGGCCTCGAACTTCTGAGCTCAGGCAATCCGCCCGCCTCAGCCTCCCAGGGTGCTAGGACTATAGGCATGAGCCACCACTCCTGGCCAGCATAATCTTTTCTGATTATTAAAATAATACATACTTATGGGCCAGGCGCAGTGGCCTGTAATTTTTTGTATTGTTAGTAGAGATGGGGTTTCACCATGTTGACCAGGCTGGTTTCAAACTCCTGACCTCAAGTAATCCACCCGCCTCGGCCTCCCAAAGTGCCAGGACTACAGGCGTGAGCCACCGCGCCCAGCCACGTTGTCATTCCACTTAGTTAAACACCTAGGAGTGGGATTGCTATGTATATAATAAGTATATGTTTAACTTTATAAGAAACTGCCAGACTGTTTTCCAAAGTGGCTTTGCATTGCTACCAGCAATGTATGAGGCATTGCATAATTAACCCTGGCTTGTATATGAATGTGTACCAGGCAGATGCTGGGTGGTGGCTCTGGAACACACAGGAGGTATGGGTGGTAAGGGTTGTTTTTCCACCATCAGTATAGTGTGCCTTATGCCACCCCTCTGTGACTGCCTGACCCTGGGGCTTTTCTTAAGCCAGAGTAAGTAGCCCCAGTGGATCCCATTTTGTAGCCTCTTTAACTAAATTCTGGATGAGTGAACTAAGGACCCAGGGGCTTTCATGAGTCATAGCCATTTTATTTGCATTACTTTAAAAGTTAAGAATATTAAGGCATTGTTTCCAACAGATCCTTAAACCAATTTGATAGATTTGGGGGAGGGACTGAGTGGGAAAACTGTATGCTGTGCTAGGATGGATGTTCTGTGTTTCTTACCTGTTCATAGTTTCATGGACAAATGTGAGGCAATGTGGAAAGCTAAAATAGATGCTAAATCTGAAGCCAGTATTTTGCAGTTATTTCCTGTCTTTCTAGGTACTGGGCCCACACATTGCATGGGCTTTATCGTAACCATTAATTTTCCAGCCTTCCAGGGAAACAGCTTTAGACCTTAGAGATCACACTGCTCAAAAAGAGAGAGAGAGAAACAGGTGACATGGAGATTGGTGCTTTGGGGCTTTTCTTTCTTCTGGTGTAGTTGAGGCTCCTAGGGAGGAAGCTGATTTGCTTTGTAATCTTTGGAAAATTGATCCTTCATTTCCTTGCAGAGATAGGGGCTGTGAGGGACCCTAGAACAGAAGTGCCACTTCTTTGCAACTCCAAATGTGAGAAGTATGTTTTACAGTAAAACCATACTTATGTTCATATTGAGAGATTGAACATAATTAAAACAAAAGGATCAAAAAGCAAGACTTACTATGTGCAATGCATTGATATTTTGTTTATTATTATTTTATAGAGTTGAGGTCTCACTACATAGCCCAGGCTAGTCTCGAATTCCTGAACTCAAGCAATCTTCCCATCTTGGCCTCCCAAAGTGCTAGGATTACAAGGAGTGAGCCACTGTACCCAGCCATATTTTGTTGTATTCTGTTTAATTTTTTTAAAAAACTACTAGTTACCACTCACTAACTTGCTTACACAACCCACAGAGTAGAGATCTACTCTAAGCCTCTCTTTTCCCATTTTACAGACCGTAAAACGAACCCAAAGGGAGCCATGGACTTGGAGTCTTTCTCCACGCTATTGAGTAGCAGAACTGGTACTAAAATGTGGCTCCACCTCACTACAGGATGGTCAATTGTTTCCCTAATTCTGCCTCACATTTGGAAGTTTCTTATCAGACTTGGCTCAGGCAAGGATGAGCCTGATTTTTCCTATCTTTCTACCCAAAATGATGATGATTTTCCCAAGAGCAGCAACCTATGGACCGCCAGAGATGGATGCAAGAGGAAGGGTGATAAGGTGGCACATCATGCCCAGCAGCTAATTAACACTCTGGAGAAGAGAAGTTGGAGACCCTCACTGGGCCTTTTGGCCTCCAGCTACGTTTTTTTTGTTGTTGTTTTTTGTTTTTTTTTTGAGATGGAGTTTTGCTCTTGTTGCCCAGGCTGGAGTGCAGTGGCTCACTGTAACCTCTGCCCCCCAGATTCAAGCGATTCTCCTGCCTCAGCCTCCCGAGTAGCTGGGATTACAGGCATGCGCCACCACACCCAGCTGATTTTGTATTTTTAGTAGAGACAGCATTTCTCTATGTTGGTCAGGCTGGTCTCGAACTCCAGACCTCAGGTGATTCCACCCGCTTAGGCCTCCCAGAGTGCTGGAATTATAGGTGTGAGCCACCACGCCCGGCCCCAGCTATGCTCTTGAGCCACACTCTAGAGACGCCATGAAGGACTGTTTTTGTTTATTTTCGTTGGAGGTGGGGATGGGTAAGACATACCTACACAGAGTTATTTTTCTACGTAACTGAGTACATTTAAGGAATCCTGAGCAGAGTTGATAAGGGATTTGCATTGTTGTTAGCATTGCTGTGATAGCAAAAGACAGGGTCTTACTCTGTCACCCAGTCTGGAGTGCAGTGGCTCAGTCATGGCTCACTGCAGCCTCAATGTCCTGGGCTCAAGTGATCCTCTTGTTTCAGCCTCCTGAATAGCTGGGACTCCAGGCATGCACCACTACACCTAGCTGAGTTTTTTAAAAATTTTGGGCTGGGCACGGTGGCTCATGCCCATAATCCCAGCACTTTGGGAGGCCAAGGCGGGCAGATCAATTAAGGTCAGGATTTCGAGACCAGCCTGGCCAACATGGCGAAACCCCATCTCTACTAAAAATACAAAAAAATTAGCCAGGCGTGGTGGCGTGCGCCTATAGTCCTCAGCTTCTCGGGAGGCTGAGGCACGAGAATCGCTTGAACCTGAGCGGCAGAGGTTGCAGTGAGCCAAGGTCGCGCCACTGCACTCCAGCCTGGGCAACAGAGCAAGACTCCATCTCAATTAAAAAACAAAAAAATTGTAGAGATGGGGCTTACTATGTTGTCAACTCCTAGTCTCAAGTGATCTCCTACCTTGGTCTCCCAAAGTGCTGGGATTATAGGCATGAGCCACCATACCTGGCCTGGATTGTGTTTCTAAAGCCTGGCCCATGAGGAGCATCTTGTGCTTTAACAATTCATAATTATGGTACCTGACATGTGCTTTAGTACTGGTCGGCGGACCATGAATCAGTAGCTTCTTTTGGTATTACTCTTATTCAAAAGGTCTTTTCAGTAGACTAGTGTCAACCAGTCTGCATAGACCTAGAGAAAAGGCTTGTGTGGCCAGACTTCTCAGAGCTCCATCTTCTGGATAGAGCCTGGAATGGTTAGAATGTACTCATATTTACAGTTCCATTGCCTGTGTTGAGTTTCTGGACTCTTCTCAATACGTGCCTTCCTGGAGGCTTTTGTGGTGATGAGAAGGTAGTGCCAAGTAATCAGAACCTTAGGTTTAGATTCTCTGCTCTTTGCATATGGGAAAACTTACTGATTCCTAGCCATTGAGTTCAGTTGAGGCCCATAGTCGGGTACTCTCTAAAAGGAAGAGATTAACACCAGTTTAAACTCTTTAAAAGAGGCTGCTTTATAAATAGAAAATATTAGTTAGGCGTGGTGGCATGCACCTGTAGTCCTAGCTGCTTGGGAGGCTGAGACAGGCAGATCCCTTGAGCCCAGGAGTTTGAGGGTGTTTTGAGCTATGATCGTGTCATTGCACTCCAGCCTGGGCGACAGAGTGAGACCCTGTTGACTTTTTTTTAAGAAAACAGTAAAACGTTTAATTTTTTTAAGAAAAAATTAAAAATTGGCCAAGTGCAGTAGCTCACATCCATAGTCCCAGCACTTTGGGAGGCCAGGGTGAGCAGATCACCTGAGGTTAGGAGTTCAAGACCAGTCTGGCCAACATGGTGAAACCCTGTCTCTACTAAAAATACAAAAAAAAAAAAAAAAAAAAAAAATAGCCAGGCATGGTGGGTGCCTGTAGTCCCAGCTACTTGGGAGGTTGTGGCAGGAGAATCGCATGAGACTGGGAGGCAGAGGTTGCAGTGAACTGAGATCACACTTCAGCCTGGGCGACAGAGCAAGACTCCATCTAAAAAAAAAAACAAAACAAAATGAAAAAACAACTGGCCGGGCGCGGTGGCTCACGCCTGTAATCCAGCACTTTGGGATGCTGAGGTGGGCGGATCACGAGGTCAGGAGATCAAGACCATCCTGGCTAACATGGTGAAACCCCGTCTCTACTAAAAATACAAAAAATTAGCCGGGTGTGGTGGCGGGCGCCTGTAGTCCCAGCTACTCAGGAGGCTGAGGCAGGAGAATGACGTGAACCTGGGAGGCGGAGCTTGCAGTGAGCCGAGATCTCGCCACTGCACTCCAGTCTGGGTGACAGAGCGAGACTCCATCTCCAAAAAAAAAAAAAAAAGTAAAAATTCAGCTGGGCAGTGCCAGATATCATGTGCCCTAGAGGCAGCTGTATGGGGTTCACTTGGGAGAAGTGGCTTATTGTCTCTGGCCCTGGGTGAATTTCCTAACCATCTCTAATCACCTTCATTGTTTGCAACAGGGATAGTAGTGTCTACCTCAAAGAAAGTGTCAGGACCAAATGACATAAGAAATTCCTGTCATGAGCCTGATACATAATAGGTGCTTTCCCCACATTAGAGGACAGAGGGCACATCTCTTCCAGATCCATCCTCACTCCTCTCTCAGTTAGAGTCATGGGAACTGAAGGAGTTCCCAGTAAAATCCCTGTACAGATACTGAAATGTAACTCAAGCCCTGTAAGTAATGCTAGTAGAGACTGTCTAATTTGTAAATTAGACAAAACAGATAATGAGTGTGAGATGGCCTGAACTGGTTAACAGGGTGCATCCAAAAATGTGCTTCGTTGATGCGGCATCCAGTGCATGGCTGAGTGAGTGGATGCGAGCTCTGATTGCCCCAAGAGCATAACTTTGGTTTAAAGGTGTGTACCAGCTTTTGGTGATCAGGATAGAACTGATAAAAATAGTGACCTAGAACACTGTGTATCTTTTTAAATGGAGTTAACCAGCCTTGATCAGTTGTTTTTAGATACAGATGTTAATCATTAAAGCTAGACCCAAGCTCCATTGCTAACAAGGTTAATGGGGCTCGTCTTTGGCCTTGGGCAGGAGCAGTGTGGGTAGACAACCTGGACAAGTAAATAATGAGTCTTACTAGATAATGAGTAAGCAGGTTTTCCCTGTATTTAAATGCATTTTATAAAAATATAATTAATGGGGCTGGGTGCGGTCGCTCACACCTGTAATCCCAGCACTTTGGGAGACCGAATGGGCAGATCATGAGGTCAAGAGATCAAGACCATGCCAGCCAACGTGGTGAAACCCCGTCTCTACTAAAAATACAAAAATTAGCTGGGTGTGGTGGTGTGCACCTGTAATCCCAGCTACTCGGGAGGCTGAGGCAGGAAAATGGCTTGAACCCTGAGAGGCGGAGGTTGCAGTGAGTCGAGATTGTGCCACTGCACTCCCGCCTGGCGATAGAGTGAGACTCCATCTCAAAAAAAAATTATATATATTAAAAAATTATATATATATATTTATTTTATATATATAATATATATTATATATAATATATAAAATTAATGGGAGACCTGGGCATCATCCACTTAAAGCTTGACACTCTTATTAGAAAATGGTAAGATTTAATCCAAATATTAGGCTTGAAATTGTGATTTCACCTCACCATGGCATCAGTTTTGCCTGCGGCAGTGGCTTTCTAACACCGTAGTGGGACCTCTGCCTTTTTAGGGCCCCTGAACCCATTCCCTGCCTGTCTGCATCTAACCCCGCCCCATGAGCTCATAGTGTTTTTGTTTTTCTGCCGGAGAAGGCGGGGGCCAAGGTGGGTGGCATGGGCGGAGTCCCGCAAGAACTCAGACTGTTTGTCTTTGTCTTTCTGCTGAAGGAGCAGGGTGAGCAGCTCTAAGGCACTTCCCACGCTACTTCGAACCCCCATGTCATCATTTTGTTTGCTTCCAGCAGAGCATCCTGGCCAGAACAAGCCAAGGAGCCAAGACGAGAGGGACACACGGACAAACAACAGACAGAAGACGTACTGGCCGCTGGACTCCGCTGCCTCCCCCATCTCCCCGCCATCTGCGCCCGGAGGATGAGCCCAGCCTTCAGGGCCATGGATGTGGAGCCCCGCGCCAAAGGCGTCCTTCTGGAGCCCTTTGTCCACCAGGTCGGGGGGCACTCATGCGTGCTCCGCTTCAATGAGACAACCCTGTGCAAGCCCCTGGTCCCAAGGGAACATCAGTTCTACGAGACCCTCCCTGCTGAGATGCGCAAATTCACTCCCCAGTACAAAGGTAAGTCCCAGCTGCTGGAGGGGTTGCCACACTGGCGAGGAGATGTGAGAGATCGTGGCCATGGAAGGCCCTGGCAGCCATCCCTGGAGCCCTCACTCCCTCCCACTCTGTGCTTTCCCTCCCTCTCCTCCTTCTCCTCCTCCTGGCCCTCAGCCCAGCATCTCACACCCTCAGTTTTCAATCCCTGGTAAGATTGCTCAATTCTGTTTTGTTGTGTGGATTTGAGTTTGATTTTGGTAGAAGTGTAGTTGTGTTTTATGTTCAGGTGTCTCTTGATCACAGTAACCCATAGTCCCCCACTGGGGGGACGGTGGGGGAAGACTTTGGGAGGATTTTACCCAGAATACTTGCCGCCTGCTTTTTGTCCTCCAGGAAACCAGAAGCCCGGGTAATTAGGTAGGCCGGGGAGCAGCGTTGAGTCAGATGGAATGCAGGAGTGGGAGGCCTGTGCTGATTAGCCCAAGCCCTTTGCTGTTACAGAATGTCCCCAAAATTGCTATATGAAAGCAACCCTTCGATTCACATATGATAATTTTTTATTTCTTTTTATAATGTATTTTATAGGGGACATCAGCAGCCACCAGCATGGTGGGGTCTTTGTTGGGGAGTGGGGGAGTCTTTTGTAAATCAAGTAAGAATCCATTAAAGAAATTAATTTTAAATGTGCATTACCTGGTTACATAAAGGACTCTAGAACAACTTAGGTTCTTTTGGGACTGTTGAAACATTGTCTTTAAGGACAGAATGTACTGGGTGCCTTTCTCTGTACTCTGAATATGCATGTGTATTGCGGTGGGGATGGGGGAGTTGGGGGCCCTCACTTGGTCCTTCTCTGTTGTTTTTTTCCAGGACAAAGCCAAAGGCCCCTTGTTAGCTGGCCATCCCTGCCCCATTTTTTCCCCTGGTCCTTTCCCCTGTGGCCACAGGGAAGTGTGGCCTGAATACCCCACCCCGGCTCCTCTGCACCCAGAGCTGGGGGCCACCTCAGAAGTGTCATCTCTCTCTGAGCACGCATTCCCCTGCAGCAGTCGAGGACTGAGCAGATTGAGTGATGCTGGGGCAGAGAGGCCTGGGAGGAAAGGTGTTCAGCCAGTCGTTTGTAAGGCGCTCGTCGGCACCTGCTGAAACGCCCCCACCTGACAGCCCCATCCTCAAAGACTGTCTTAATTACTCATGGCAGGTTCTAGAGACTTAAGGGGAAAAGCTGCTTTCAAGGCCACCACATGTCTGTGCTCCCCAACCAGCTCTATCTGCCTTGTGTTCATTTTGTTATTTTGTGACGTGAGACTGCAAAGACCAATAAAAACATATTTTATAAGAACAAAAGGCCTGGGTGCCTACCCGTGTGGGGGCACTGTGGGAAGCCTTTGCTAGGGTGTCTTGTGCTGTGTGGTTTGTTTTGTTTGCCCCTTTATTTTGCTTTGCTTACCCAGTCTTCCCTTACTCTTGGATGCTTCTTAACCCTCAGGCAAACCTGTGTTCCCCCTGTATTCAGGCTCTGCTTTAAAGCAAGCCATGAGGCTGTTGGAGTTTCTGTTTAGGGCATTAAAAATTCCCGCAAACTATAAAGAGCAATGTTTTCAGTCTTTTAGGATTAGAAGAATTACATAAAAATTAATAAACATTTTCAATGATGGAAAAATGTGTCTTGTAATTCTTTGGCTCTTGCCTCGTTGAGTACATCAGAGAGGAAGACTCTCAGCCATGTTTGCTCCCTAATTGCTTGTCTTGTATGGTGTCATCTTTTCTAGCTGTTTTGATATTTGTTAAGTTTGCAGATGAGTTTGGGGCCTCTGGCAACATAGAGACTAAGGAACTGGGTAAGAAAAAAACAAATGTTACAATCATGTTACTTACAACGCTTCTTCCTGCTAAATTAAAAGTTCTTTCTGCTCCTCACCCCCTTCCAGGTGTGGTATCTGTGCGCTTTGAAGAAGATGAAGACAGGAACTTGTGTCTAATAGCATATCCATTGAAAGGGGACCATGGAATTGTGGACATTGTAGATAATTCAGACTGTGAACCAAAAAGTAAGCTCCTAAGGTGGACAACAAACAAAAAACATCATGTCTTAGAAACAGAAAAGACCCCTAAGGACTGGGTGCGTCAGCACCGTAAAGAGGAGAAAATGAAGAGGTGAGTGTAGACAGAGGGCAACTCTGGGCTATGTGGGAGGGGAAGTGTTGGGGGTTTTGGTTACAGCCCAGTTCCCTGGAGCTAAGGACTGAAGTGGATTTAGTAGGTACCTTGTCATTCAGTGGCTAATTCCCACATGGCATACTCAGCCTCTCTTTGTTTAATTGACTCTGGTTAGATCATGCCAGTTTGGGCAAACAGCTGCACTGGCAGCTGTAAGAGATTCACTCACTCTTCTATGACTGCTCTGTGCTAGGCTGTGTTCTGGAGATGTAGCAGTGACTAAGAGAGGAGCCATCCTTTTACCTCAGGTTGTTCACCAGTGGTGGGGGATGAAATGAGCAGTTGGGCATCCCTGAAACTCAGCAATCCCCCTAAGCAGGGCCATCCTACCCTTGCACCTTGGCAAAGCTTGTGAAAATATAAATAGTATATATAAAGTAAAGTACATGTAATGTAGCTAAGTAGGTTGACGTAGTCCCATGGAATTTCAGTTCCTATTTTCCCAGTTGCCAGCTTTTGGAGTCAGGGGAACCTGGTTGTACTGGAGGCTAGGTGGTACCACTGCCTAGAAGAGGGCAGTGAAGGCTCTCCACATACAGGGCTGGGGAGCAGGGGCTGATCTTGGATCTTAGGTTCTTTTTGCTGTAGAAAATAGTGGTTGACTGGTCCCTTAATTTTATTTTCTAAAATCAACTTTCTTGAGGTATACATGTGGTAAAATGCACCCATTTGGAGTGTTCAGAGAGTTTTGGCAGATGTTTACACGGTAAGCCACCACCACATCAAGAAGTCACTTTTCATTACTGTAGAAAGTTTCTGGCCGGGTGCGGTGGCTCATGCCTGTAATCCCAGCACTTCAGGACGCCAGGGCGGGCGGATCACCTGAGGTCAGGAGTTCGAGACCAGCCTGACCAATATGATGAAACCCTGTCTCTCCTAAAAATACAAAAATTAGCCCGGTGTGGTGGCATGCGCCTGTAGTCCCAGCTGAGACAGGAGAATCTCTAGAACCGGGAGGCGTAGGTTGCAGTGAGCTGAGATCGCACCATTGCACCTGGGCAATAAGAGCGAAACTCCATCTCAAAAAAAGAAAAAAAAGAAAGTTTCTGGATTTTATTTATTTATTTATTTATTTATTTATTTATTTTTTGAGTCTTTCTTGTTCTGTTGCCCAGGCTCTGGAGTGCAGTGGCACGATCTTCTAGGCTCACTGCAACCTCTGCCTCCCAGGTTCAAGTGATTCTCCTGCCTCAGCCTCCCGAGCACACCACCACGCCTGGCTAATTTTTGTATTTTTAGTAGAGACAGGGTTTCACCCTGTTGGCCAGGCTGGTCTCCAACTCCTGATCTCAAGTGATCTGCCCATCTCGGCCTCCCAAAGTGCTGGGATTACAGGCATGAGCCACCATGCCCGGCCTTCTGAATTCTGATAAGACATACTGATTTATTGGTCCTTATCTCTTTATAGCCATAAGTTAGAAGAAGAATTTGAGTGGCTAAAGAAATCTGAAGTCTTGTACTACACTGTAGAGAAGAAGGGGAATATAAGTTCCCAGCTTAAACACTATAACCCTTGGAGCATGAAATGTCACCAGCAACAGTTACAGAGAATGAAGGAGAATGCAAAGCATCGGAACCAGTACAGTATCCTTTGTTCACGGGCATCTCTGCATTTGAGGGTAAGAGGAGAGGAAATGAGGAAGTCCCTTGGAGCTTGGAGAGAGAAGTTAGGTTTTTATAGTCATGGTTGAGTTTCTCCTACCTGGGTTATTCCAGGACCTGTATGATAATTATGGGCAAATAATCACTTCCCTCAGGGCAGCTACTGGCCTAGGAGTGCAGATGATGAGGAGTGGGGTATAATGGGTTTCTGGGAGGTGAGGGGTGCCTCATGAAGGGGCCAGCTTGCATCAGGTGGGCTTTAGCCTAGGTAACCTAGAGGAAGAGGGCAAGGAGCTGCTCCCTGTTTTCAGACTTTTCAGAAGTCTGAAAACATTGCTCACCTGCCAAGGGCTGGGGTGTTTGGGTGAGGAGACTGACCTGATCAGTCCTGGTTCACCAGACCACCACTGGGACATGAGCTGTGCATAAGGAAATATTTGTTTTCTTTTCTCTTTTCTTTTTTTCCTCTCTCTCTCTTTTTTTTCTTTTTTTTTTTTTTTTGAGACAGAGTCTTGCTCGTCCCCCAGGCTAGAGTGCAGTGGTGTGATCTCAGCTCACTGCAACCTCCGTCTCCCAGGTTCAAGCGATTCTCATGCCTCAGCCACCCAAGTAGTTGGGATTACAGGCATCCGCTACCACGCCTGGCTCATTTTTGTATTTTTAGTGGAGACAGGGTTTCACCATGTTGGCCAGGCTGATCCAAACTCCTGACCTCAGGTGATCCACCTGCTTTGGCCTCCCAAAGTGCTGGGATAACTGGCATGAACCACCACGCCCAGCCCTCTTCCTCCCTGCCCCTCCCCTCCCCTCCCCTTTGTAGAGGTAAGGTCTCACTGTGTTGCCCAGGCTGGTCTCAAACTCCGGGGCTCAAGTGATCCTCCTGCCTCAGCCTCCCAAAATGTTGGGATAACAGGCGTGAGCCACCACGCCTAGCCTTTTATCTATTTTTTGGTCTCTTAAAAATGTAAAAACCATTCCTAGCTTATAGGCCATAAACAGCAAGCACTGGGCCATAGTTTACCAGTTTCTGCTGTTGGGAGCACTGATTCCTTGAATGGGAAATAATGAGTCAATGGTCTGTGCACCAGAGACACTCATTATTTCTGGTTATTGTTTCTAGACCTTTTTAGTGCACACAGCTGAGAAGCAGACGTTTAAAGAGCAAAGTATTTTCATGAGTTTATACTGATATTTCCAGTTCACATTTAAGGCTACAGGATTTACTGAACTTTCTTGATGTTCTACTTGTAATTGAGGACTTTGTTTTTGGACCCTAGTCCTACACTTAGCTAAGAGTTCAGAAGATGGCATGTGTGTCTCCCAGGCAGGAAGAGCCTAGGCCTCTGTTGAGTCCGGGTGCAGGCTGCTTCCACGTCAGTTCCCTGACAAGAAGTAAAGGTGTCTCTTAGCTTTATAGTCAGCTCTGGACTCCCTGTGTCGGGGATGGCAGGACTAATGGAGTCTCCTGTGGGTTCAGGCTTCTCTGGGTCACTGCATCAAGGCACTGTACCTTGAGAGTGCCAAGGACCCATGCAGTAGCACTTCCTTTTGGGGGTATTATTCTTAACTACTCAGAATTTATCTTACTGGAAAACCTGACTTCCCGCTACGAGGTGCCTTGTGTCCTTGACCTCAAGATGGGCACACGACAACATGGTGATGATGCTTCAGAGGAGAAGGCAGCCAACCAGATCCGAAAATGTCAGCAGAGCACATCTGCAGTCATTGGTGTGCGTGTGTGTGGCATGCAGGTGAGGGGGATGCTAGGGCTGGCTAGGGCATCCAGTGGCTGTCACTTCCCCACCCTGGTATAGTCCTGTTTGCTCAAAAGATTCCAGGCCAGGTGCAGTGGCTCACACCTGTAATCCCAGCACTTTGGGGGTCAAGGTGGGTGGATCACCTGAGGTCAGGAGTTAGAGACCAGCCCAGGCAACATGGCGAAACCCTGTCTCTGCTAAAAATACAAAAATTGGCTGGGCGTGGTGGTGCACGGCTGTAATACCAGCTACTTGGGAGGCTGAGGCATGAAAACAGCTTGAACCCAGGAGGCAGAGGTTGCAGTGAGCTGAGATCACGCCATTGCACTCCAGCCTGGGCGACGGCGAGACTGTCTCAAAATAAAAAGGTTCCAGATTTGACCCTACATGAGTCTGTTGCTTTTTGGTTAAAAAAGAAAGCATGCATGCCTGCATGATCCTCTCTCAGATTGGTCTGGTTGGCTGAGTCCAGAATCTGTGGATAGTAGTAGGGAGGAAGGCAAAAGGGTTTGGTCCTCTCCAGTGACCCAGATGTTGAGGTGGGGTGCTGGGGCACAATGACCAAACCCAGGTTGGATGGCTGCATCCCAGGTGGGGGCTGATCAGAGAGCATAGTGGACAGTGGCTCATGTGCAACTGGTGTACTTTATCTGATCTGGGCTGTCACATGCCGCCACCACCACACCACCCCACCCCCGCCCGGGGTCCAGGGTTTGAGATGGCCCTCAGCCCCTGACTTGCTGGTCTCTCTCCTACAGGTGTACCAAGCAGGCAGTGGGCAGCTCATGTTCATGAACAAGTACCATGGACGGAAGCTATCGGTGCAGGGCTTCAAGGAGGCACTTTTCCAGTTCTTCCACAATGGGCGGTACCTGCGCCGTGAACTCCTGGGCCCTGTGCTCAAGAAGCTGACTGAGCTCAAGGCAGTGTTGGAGCGACAGGAGTCCTACCGCTTCTACTCAAGCTCCCTGCTGGTCATTTATGATGGCAAGGAGCGGCCCGAAGTGGTCCTGGACTCAGATGCTGAGGATTTGGAGGACCTGTCAGAGGAATCAGCTGATGAGTCTGCTGGTGCCTATGCCTACAAACCCATCGGCGCCAGCTCTGTAGATGTGCGCATGATCGACTTTGCACACACCACCTGCAGGCTGTATGGCGAGGACACCGTGGTGCATGAGGGCCAGGATGCTGGCTATATCTTCGGGCTCCAGAGCCTGATAGACATTGTCACAGAGATAAGTGAGGAGAGTGGGGAGTGAGCTTGCTAGCTGCTCCAGTACTTGAGAGCGACTCTGTGTCCCAGGCACAGCTGTGCTGCGTCAGGGAGGAAGCCAGTATGGCCAGGTGGTGGCTCCTGCAGCCTGGAGCTGATGTGCAGTGGCCTCTGTGAGCCCCAGCCTGAGCCAGTCCCAGCTGTGCTTGGAGTCTTTATTTATTTTAACTATTTCTTCAACATTCCACATTTGATGATGATACCTCTTTCTTCCCTGAGTGTATATGTTCTAATACAAATCTTTTTGTTTATTGTATATAGTGCTCCTGTCATTCTTTCCAAGAGCAGGCAGTCCCCCTCCCAAGCCTCACCACATGCTGTGACCACCTCCCTGGCTCAGTATTCTCCTGGCTGCCACCCCCACTCCATGGATCCTAAAGTCAGCACAACCTCTTGGCATGGTGTACAGTCTCCAACCCAGCATCCTGAAGGTTACCCAGAAAGGATCCCCAAGTTACATACCTTCTGGCGTCTGTGCTGGCTAAGTGTCTCAGCACCTCTATCCAAAAACCACATGACGCTTGACACAGGTCTTCTCATGGGCCGTATGCAGCTTAAGCCAATTAGATAGCAGGTGATCCAAACCTTGGGTCCAGCTTTTAATCCCTCCTATGCCACTGGCAGCAGCTAATTGGCTGGCTATTGTGATAGATGTCCTGGAAGCAATACTAGGGTCTCTAGCCTCGGGTCTGGTCCATTGGCAGCCATGGACTGTGTTGTAAAGGGGCCCAGGTGATGGAGGGTACCATAAAAAGGCGTGTTTGGGCAGGTAGGGTGGTCCTCTTGGCCACACCACCTGTCACCACTCCTGCCCAGCCCTAGTCCCCATTGCAATTTCACCAGTCTTATTCTTCAGGCAGTCCCAGACAGCACAGACCCCGAGATTCTGCCCTGCCCCAGGAGGGCTTCTGGGAGGAGGAAGGGCCAAGAGAGGTCTTGAACTGAAGAGCCAGACCTGGTGCAGAGAAGGCAGGGTCTGGATGTCAGTTTCTAGCAGTTCTACCCCTCACCTGAACCTCACACTAGGCCTATGTACTTTAGGCCTAAAAATAGGCAACTGGGTCAGACAGACACCCATAATCCCAACACTGGGAGGACTGCTTGAGTCCGGGAATTTGAGACTAGCCAGAGCAACATAGCAAGACCTTGTCTCTACTAAAAAAAAAAAAAAAAAAAAAAAAAAAAAAAGCTGAGTGTGGTGGTGCATGCCTGTAGTCCCAGAGACAGTAGGCTTGAGCCTGGAAGATCAAGGCTGCAATGAGCTTGATCATCCCACTGCACTCCAGCCTGGACGACAGAGCAAGACCCTGTCTCAAAAAATAAATACAGATAAAAATAGAAAACTTGCACACACTGGCCTGTACACGCCTCCTGCTTCCTGGGCTCGGGCTTCCTGTGGAGCGTAGCTGGACCATTCTCAGCCACAGTCTCTCCAGGACCCTGAGGGCCTCTTCCCTGGGTCTTCCAGGCACTCTTATTACACGGATTTCATATATCTGGAGATCTGGGCTGACTGGAAAGCTGGGTGGATCAAATAGGCTCTTAAGGCCACCGTGGTACCCCACTCCCTCTTTCAGCCCTCCTCTATGCTCTCAGAAAGGGGCATCGCAAATCTTAAGTCCTATAAAGACAATAAAACACAGCAAGATGATAGCGATTGATGGGGGTGGGAGCTTGACGGACAAATACTATAGGAGAGGGAAGGGAAAATTGTCCCAGGTAGAGGGAACAGAATATGCAAAGGCCCAATATAGAGAAAACCAGCCATAGCTGAAGAGAGAGGAGGAGTAGGGGTGGGGAGCAAAGATGGGAGGGCTTTAGACAGGGAATAGCCCCGCCTGGTTTCTGCTTTTGTGGCCCCCTTCTCCCCACACTTGCTCCCCACTGGCCACCACCGGCACTCGGTGAAGACAGGTGGTGAGGCCTAGACACACCGAGAGCCGGGCCCCGCGGGGGCTTCCAAGTGTCGGATCAGCAAGATCATCCTTTCGAGGTCGCCGTCCTTGCAATTAGTAGATGGGACCCACTGCCCCAGGGCGGTAGGGGCGCACCCGCTACGAGCGGAGCGCGCTTTCACCGGGAGGTAGGACGGGACGCAGCGCTCGGACTTAAGCGGGGAAAGGGAGCAGAGGGCTGGACGGGTGAAACTGAGGCCGGGGTGAGGAGTGAGGGTGCGGTGTCCGGGGATGAGGGGCCTGGAGCCGGGAGGGACCAGAGGAGACAGCGAGCTGTCGACCCCAGCCCCGCCGCACCTCTTGGGGCCGCGCGGGGGCGCTGCTCTCCGATGCGTGGAACGATACAGCCCGGGGCGGGGCTTCGGCGGGCGGGCGCGCGCGCGCCTGCGTAGTGTGTCACGGGGCGGGACAACCGCGGCGCGGCTCGGCGCTCCCGGCCTGGCGTTGTGGCGCCGCAGCCCTTGCCACCTTCCCTGCACCTGCCCTGCCCGGCCTCATGTACCGCGCGCTGTACGCGTTCCGCTCGGCGGAGCCCAACGCGCTGGCGTTCGCCGCGGGCGAGACCTTCCTGGTGCTAGAGCGAAGCAGCGCGCACTGGTGGCTGGCCGCGCGGGCGCGCAGTGGTGAGACGGGCTACGTGCCGCCAGCCTACCTGCGCCGCCTGCAGGTGAGTGCGCCCCTTCCCGCCCGGCCTCCGCGCCCCTGGGGCAGGACCCCTTCACAGCCCCGCGGAACCGACCCAGGGACCCCACCCTCTCCGGGACCCGAGGCCAGGACCTCTATCAGACAGGGAGTTTGAGAACCTGACCCTGAGACCCCCGGACCCACGGGGACTGAGACCCCAAGTGTCAGCATCACCCACAAAAGACCAGGCCCTTGACAGACCAACTCCCGATCGACCAAAAGCCTAACTCTGGGACTGAGACTCCTCAGGACCCCAGACCCTTCAGTATCGAGTCCGCCATCTGAATGGCGACCCTGAGCCCCACCGAATCCTGGCCAATTATTCAAATCCCTGAGACCCCAGATCCTTAATATGCCCCTTCTCTGGATTCCTAGGACCCCACAACCAACCTCCCTCCCTCCCTCCCTCCCTCCCTCCCTCCCTCCCTTCCTTCTTCCCCCAACCCCGCGCCTTGCCCCCCGTTGGAGCCACCACTGAGACCTGGACCACCTTGGACACCACCTGTTTCCCTAGCCATTCTCCAGGTCCTCAACCCCCCAACTTGGACCCTAGAGCCATAGACACCTCCATCCCCTATGTAACACCCAAGCTTTGGTACTTCAGTGTCTTTCACTAGCCTGTGTTCAGCCACCCTCTAAGCTCTTCTTAAGTCTCTACCAACCTTATTTGAACCAAGGACCCATGCCCCTGCTGACACTGTCTGCTCCACTCCCCAACCCTGACTTCTCAAACTTTCTTGCTTTGAAAATGGGTTCCATCCCTACTTGTTCCCAGCCTGGAGTGGGGACTGCTCACATTGTGATGAAGTGAGTTCTTATAGCTTCTCCTGGTCTGATCGTGGCCCCATTTCCTTCCAGTGGAAGCTGCAGTCCCAGTTCCTGTTTCCCTAAGAGTAGCCCTGCTGCGGGGGTTGGGGTGCGTATCTCCAGCTGGTCTATTCTGACCACAGGGGGAAGAAGGGCCCAGAGCTGCCGGGCCTGTGCCAGACACCCCCGCCCCGTCCTAGTCCTTATCCTTTAGGAAACATCCTGTCCCAGCCCAGTTCAGGACAGAAATAACGGGATAAATTTGGAAGTGTCATCTGGTCTTACCAGGAAGGATGGGCCCTGGGGGCCTAGGGGCTTCCTCATAGACCCTTGGCGTGATCCCATCTAGGAGTGCCAGGGGTGGGAGTGGGGGCCGTGGACACCATGGCTGCTGTGTGTCAGACCCAACCTTTTTGGGAATGGGGTCTCATTGAAGGCCTCTGAGGAAAAGTCCTGTCTCTTCCCCTACTGGGCATAGGTCAAGGGCCTGTGAGTCCCCTGCCGCCAGCCAGGACCAGTGGGGCAAGGTGTTTGGGGAGGGCAGAGAGGCTACCATCTTCTCTGTCACTGTCTGTTTCTTTCTGCGTGTCTCTTTCTGTCTGGATTGCTGCGACTCTGTGCCTCTCTGCCTGTGTCGTTCCGACTCCACATGTGTGTGTTTTTGTTTCTTCCTCCGGCTCCCCCCACACTCTGGCTTTGGCTCTGTTTCTTTCTGCGTTGTTTCCCTCTGTCTGCCTCTCCGTTCCTCTCTGAGCTCCTCTCTTTCCCCATTCCTTTCTTTCTCTCTCTCTCTGTGTGTGTGTGTGTGTGTGTGTGTGTGTGTGTGTGTGTGTCTTCATGTCTTTCTATCCCCCTGTCTCCTCTCCCTGCACTCTGGCACACCTCATACCACCTGGAGGGCTTTGCTGACCTCTGTGCCCACCTGTCTGTGCCCATCAGGGAAGCTTCTCAAACCCATGGTGGAATGAGTTCATCTCAGCTCCGGGACTCCTATGTAGCCTGATGGACTACGTGTGCCAGGGCCAGGGGAGGGCTGGGGGTAGCTGGTTTGATAGCTGCTACCCTACACTCCCCATGTCAGATAGGCAGAGTAGACTGGATCCCTGGAATGTTGGGGATGGCAGTACAGAGCCTGGAACAGGGGCTAGGCCCCTCTCTCATGTTTATCCTTTGCCACAAACACAGAACTGCTTCCCAGGGTGGGTTTGGAAGCTTACTGAGACATCTTGTGGGGATGAGGGCCAGCAGCAGGGTTGGGGAGGGCAAGTCCCTTTGACCCATTCTCAGCTCCCAGGGCTTACAGAGGGCCCTTACAAGGACAGGGCTGTTCTGGGGTATGACCTTGGTTTTGTGAAAGATCAGCAAGATGCAGAGTGATGTATTAAGGATTCCAGATACTGGAGACTTCCTGTTTGGCATCTCAACCTGGGCTCTGAGCCAAGACCAGGGATAGACGAGGTATGCGCTCCTGGCTGCAAGCTGGGAGCCCCTGGGCTATGTTTTTGCTTTAGACCTCTGATTTTCAGAAACATCTTAGCCAAGAGCCTTGCTGTGGGGTAAAATCCTGATCAGGACCTAATATGTAATGTGGCAGCATGGGGGTCACCCTGTGCCTCAGCTCCCTGAGTGATACAGTTTGAGAACCCCATTCCATATTCTGGTTCAACTTTTTGTGCTATGTCTAGCATTCCAGGCTTTCGCTATATTGGTTCTCTGCCCTGGGTTCTATCTCGGGCTGGGCCTGGGCTGAGCACCTCCGTTTGGCCTTCAGGTCTAACTGCTGTCCCCTGCCCCCCCCAGGGCCTGGAGCAGGATGTCCTCCAGGCCATTGACCGGGCCATCGAGGCTGTACACAACACAGCCATGCGGGATGGTGGCAAGTACAGCCTGGAACAGCGTGGAGTCCTCCAGTGAGTGTTGAGGGGAGTGAAGTGGGACCTCCCGGTGAGCATGGTGGGGTGGGGTTCTTCAATGAGTGTCATGGGGCAGGTGGGCCTGGGAAATGCGAGGGTTGGCAAGGGTGGTGGGGGAATGGCACCTCCCAGTGAGCAAGGTGGGGTCGGGTCCTTCAGTGAGCACCAGGGGTGTGCAGAGCGCAGGACTGAGGATAGTATGGGGTACTGTAGGCTGGGGTGGAGCATGGAGGAGATGGGGATGTCTGAGGGGCCTGGGCTATGGGGTCCCAGCATCCCACAGGGGCATATGAGGACTTTGAGCTGTGAGATGCAACCCCCCAATAGTCTTCCTGTCCTTCCATCAGGAAGCTGATCCACCACCGGAAAGAGACCCTGTCACGCAGAGGCCCTTCAGCCTCCAGTGTTGCAGTTATGACCTCATCAACCAGTGACCACCACTTGGATGCTGCTGCAGCCAGGCAGCCCAATGGGGTGTGTCGAGCTGGGTTCGAGCGGCAGCACAGCCTACCCAGTTCTGAGCATCTTGGGGCAGATGGAGGCCTCTACCAGGTGTGTGGGGAGGACATCGTGGAGAAGGGAGGTGGGTGGAACTTGAGGCTTCATCCAGAGGCTCAAGGGGTCCACTCAGGAGTGATGCGGCCCAGAGCCATAGTCCTGCCCACAGCCAGGGCTCAGGGCCCGAGCCTCGCTGACGCTCTAGATGTCAGTCTGTCCTCCAAGATCCTACTTCCATCTTCCAGATCCCACTTCCATCTTCCCAGATCCCACCACAGCCTCGCCGAGCAGCACCCACCACACCGCCCCCACCAGTGAAGCGCCGAGACCGCGAGGCCCTGATGGCCTCTGGGAGTGGTAAGAAGGCAGGGTTAGGGGAATTCAGGTGGAGGCACCCTATGCTTGGAATGGTTGTGCTGCCTGTGTCAGGGAAATGGAGGCTCTAAGCTGGGGAAGAGGACAGGACTCCCATTTTGGGGCAATTAGGGGCTCTGGGCTTTGTGAGGAGGCAGTGCCTAGCAGAGAAACTAGGCCCTGTGTTAGGGGACAGGGGATCTGGGCTGTGAAGGGTATGGTTTTCCAGGGGGCTGCCCTGGCCCAGCTTCTACTCACTGCTCGCAGGTGGCCACAACACCATGCCCTCCGGGGGTAACTCTGTGTCCAGCGGCTCCTCAGTCAGCAGCACCTCCCTGGACACGCTCTATACCAGCTCCAGCCCATCTGAACCAGGCTCCAGCTGCTCACCCACACCCCCACCTGTGCCCCGCCGAGGCACCCACACCACCGTGTCCCAAGTCCAGCCCCCTCCCTCCAAGGCATCAGCACCTGAACCCCCTGCAGAAGAAGAAGTGGCAACTGGTACAACCTCAGCCTCTGATGACCTGGAAGCCCTGGGTACACTGAGCCTGGGGACCACAGAGGAGAAGGCAGCAGCTGAGGCGGCTGTGCCCAGGACCATTGGGGCCGAGCTGATGGAGCTGGTGCGGAGAAACACTGGCCTGAGCCACGAATTATGCCGGGTGGCCATCGGCATCATAGTGGGTCACATCCAGGCCTCGGTGCCGGCCAGCTCACCAGTCATGGAGCAGGTCCTCCTCTCACTCGTAGAGGGCAAGGTGAGGGTGGGCGGCACAGCAGGGCCACCCTGCTACCCACCCTGTTCCCACCGTCACACACTTGTCCAGCCTGTACATTACAGGTATTTCTCAAGCTCTGGCTCTGAGCTCTTACTGTGCTGGGCACTGGGGACGTTGAGCTGATTTCTGAAGCAGAAAGGAAGGACAAGCATTCCAGGCAGATGCGCAGCCTGGACAAGGGCCACAAGGCAGGACTGAGCCTGGCTTGTGGGAGGAAGTGGAACAAGGCCTGCAGGACTGGAACACAGGGAGTGAGGGAGTGGGTGCTGTAGGAGGAGGTGAGACCTGGGGCAGGTGACAGATAAGACGACATGCGGGTGGCCAAGAGTTCTGTCTGGCTGCAGGGAAGGAATGGACACGGCGTGGGTGAGGGTAGTGCCTTGCTGACCTTGGCAGTAAGAGACATGGGTGCTGGGAGAGCTGGGATGGAGTCCTAGGTGCTGACATGGATGAGAGGGAGTGAGGTGTGTGGGCATCATGGGATGGGTGGGATCCTTGGCACTCATGAGCAGGATGGGGGCAGTGAGCCCAGCATACATGATGGGGGTCAGACAGACCAAAGGTCCCTCTTTAGTGCTCCATGGTTCCTGTTACACTTCTGGTTTGGGTGTTGGGGAGTGGGCCAATGGGCTTGGCTGTGCTGGGCACAACAGCTAGTGCCTGGTCAGCAGGGTTCAAGGAAAATGTGGCAAGTTGGTAGATGACAGGCCTGTGCCATTTTGTGTGGAATGGGAGAGTGAGGTCTCAGAGTCACATTCTGGCAGTGACAGAGTTCATGGCCCTCCTAGTTGGGGGTGTTTATCCAGGTCTGGGATGAGAGGCGAGCTG
Organism: Homo sapiens; assembly: GCF_000001405.40. Taxonomy (NCBI): domain Eukaryota; kingdom Metazoa; phylum Chordata; class Mammalia; order Primates; family Hominidae; genus Homo; species Homo sapiens. The sequence goes on along the minus strand of NC_000003.12, from coordinate 48,680,437 downwards.
TTGAAAACCCCCTACAGATGAGTCTCCCGTTGACTCCTGTCCTGGGAGGTCATCAAGACTGGAGTTGAGCCTCCTGTCCAGTGTGGGCCAGGAGGGACTTGAGTTCATGGAGTAAAAGTCCACAGATGGACTCTCCAGGCCTTGGAGGCTCCCTGGAGATGGTGAGGGCAGGGAGTGTGCTGAGTCATGCCTTGCCCTCTCCCTCTAGGACCTCAGCATGGCCCTGCCCTCAGGGCAGGTCTGCCACGACCAGCAGAGGCTGGAGGTGATCTTTGCAGACCTGGCTCGCCGGAAGGACGACGCCCAGCAGCGCAGTTGGGCACTATATGAGGATGAGGGTGTCATCCGCTGCTACCTAGAGGAGCTGCTGCATATTCTGGTAAGGGTGGGGTCCCACACACATACCCCACATGGGGAACAGTGGCCCCCACCCTGTAGCATCCCTCACAGTGCTAGGAGTCTCCCCTACACATATGTGCTCAGCCCTCTCTTGTGCGGCTGCACAGCTCCGCTCATGGTGGCTGATGCTCTCACTTCCTCATTTCTGTAGACTGATGCAGACCCTGAAGTTTGCAAGAAAATGTGCAAGAGAAACGAGTTCGAGTCTGTCCTGGCCTTGGTGGCCTATTACCAAATGGTATGTGCAGGATGGAGGGGAGGGGTAATGGAGAGACCTAGATAGTGGGGGAGTTCCAGGCACTGAGCACGCAGGGTTCCCTGCCAGGAACACCGAGCATCACTGCGGCTGCTGCTCCTCAAGTGCTTTGGCGCCATGTGCAGCCTGGATGCAGCCATCATCTCCACGCTTGTGTCATCCGTGCTGCCTGTAGAGCTGGCGAGGGACATGCAGACAGACACGCAGGGTGAGGCTGGAGGGCGGGGTAGGAGGGAACTTCCTGCTATCTGGAGGGTGTTCCTGCCATCTGCTGGGGTTTCCTGCCATCTTTGGGGACTCTGACTGCCTGCCTTGTCCCCCCCAGACCACCAGAAACTCTGTTACTCTGCCCTCATCCTGGCCATGGTCTTCTCCATGGGAGAGGCAGTGCCCTATGCACACTATGGTAAGAATGCAGTAACCGACCAGCTGATCACAGGTCCTAAGCCAGGGCCCATTGCCCGAGGGCCTGGGACCTGCTGACTACACAGCCTAGCAGGGAGAGGCTATCCCCAAGGCTCACAGAAAGCCAGGAAGGGTGGGTGGTGCGGGGGTCGGAGGGGAATGGGGCTGCAGACTTCTGTGCGCCCCTCTCCCAGAGCACCTGGGCACGCCTTTCGCCCAGTTCCTACTGAACATCGTCGAGGATGGGCTGCCCTTGGACACCACAGAGCAGCTGCCGGACCTCTGCGTGAACCTGCTTCTGGCTCTCAACCTGCACCTGCCAGGTGGGGTGGGGCCTGGCTGGGCGGTGGCTGAGCACATGGTGGCTCTCAGGCTCAGCACCCTGTCTATACCCATGTCCTTCCTTAGCTGCTGACCAGAATGTCATCATGGCTGCCCTGAGCAAACACGCCAATGTCAAGATCTTCTCCGAGAAGCTGTTGTTGCTCCTGAACAGAGGGGGTGAGGGCCCGGGAATCTGCGCGGGTACCACTTCCATGCCCTGTGACTCCATGACCCCTGCAATGACTCCCGTAACCCCCTGGGGTGACTCTGGGATCCCCACAAGGTCCACCCTGACCGCTATGACCCCTGCCTCCTAGATGACCCTGTGCGCATCTTCAAACATGAGCCACAGCCACCACACTCTGTCCTCAAGTTCCTGCAGGACGTGTTTGGCAGCCCGGCCACAGCTGCCATCTTCTACCACACAGACATGATGGCTCTCATTGACATCACTGTGCGGCACATCGCAGACCTGTCACCAGGAGACAAGGTGCCTGGAGGTGGCTGCAGCAGCGGGGGTCACTGTGTGGAAACTGAAACAAAATGGTGGGGGGCATGACATTGAGTGGAGATGAGGGGGCAAGGCCACTGCTGGAGCCAGGTAAGTGTAGGAGGCCATGATAGGTGCACCAAGACCCAAAGGAGCCAGCCATGAGGTGATCTGGAGGTGGTGGGGCTGGAGGAGGCTGGAGAGGAGGGAGTGGAGGGAGATGAGGCATGGAGGATGGAGTTTACACAAAGCCTCGGAGGCTGCTGCAAGAGGTTGTGATCTCAGGACCGGGGAATGTGATGTGATTAACATCCCACATGGAATCAACTGCATGCCAGCAGAGTGGAAGCCAGCCAGGGAGGAAGCAGCCTCAGTGGTCCAGGTGGCATGGATGGGGTGGGGATGGGATAGGTCGTGGCAGTGGCAGTGGCGAGAAGAGGCCAGCTGTGGAGTGTTTAGTAAGTGGATCTGGCAGGGCTTGCCACTTGATTTATCTTGAGCAGCTAGATGGATGAAGTGCTGATTTTTGAAGTTGGGGAGGCTGGGAGAACTTCTTGGGGGAAAATAGAGAGTCGTGTTTTGAATGTGTCAAGAATGAGGAGATATCTGCTAGACACCCAGGTACCGAGGGCATCAGGGAGGCAGTGGGGAATGAGTTGAGACTAGAGAGACATTTCGGAGTGGTCTATGCAGAGATACGATGGGAAGCCTGTGACAATGTGATTGCCTCAGAAATGAGATAGATAGGCAGGTCAGCGGGAAGTTCGGGCTGCAGCCCTGGGCACAGCTGAAACAACTAGGGAGAAACCCAGGAAGAGAACCAAGAAAGCAGGAGCCCAAAGCCACATGTTTAGAGGAAGACGATCAGCCATCTCTATACCGTTAGGAGCCTGAGCGAGACTGGGGTTGGCCATTGGATTCACCACACAGAGGTCAGTGGTGCCTGACAAGCAGTGTCAGTGGGGTGCAAGGAGGAGAGTCTGAATGAAAGTTTGAGAGAGCTTGAAGTTATTGGGGAGTAGAAATGAGGGGAGGGTTGGAAGCAGTAAATGGAGACAACTCTTGTGAATTTTCTATTAAGGGGAAGAGAAAAATGGAAGGGAGGTTGCTGGAGAGAGATGACATGGGGATAGGGAGAGTGTTTTTTTGGGGGTTTTTTGTTGTTGTTGTTTGTTTGTTTGTTTGTCTCCCACTGTTGCCAAGGCTGGAGTGTAGTGGCACGATCGTGGCTCACTGTAACCTCCGCCTCCTGGTTTCAAGTGATTCTCCTGCCTCAGCCTCCCAAGTTGCTGGGATTACAGTCACCCACTACCACACCCAGCTAATTTTTATATTTTAGCAGAGACAGGGTTTCGCCATGTTGGCCAGGCTGGTCTTGAACTCCTGACCTCATGCAATCCACCTGCCTCAGCCTCCCAAAGTGTTGGGATTACAGGTGTGAGCCACCGTGCCTGGCCAGGGAGAGTGTTTTGAAGATGGGGGATGTTGGCCAGGCGCGGTGGCTCATGCTTGTAATCCCAGCACTTTGGGAGGCTGAGGTGGGTGGATCACTTGAGGTCAGGAATTCGAGACCAGCCTGGTCAAAGTGGTCTCTACTAAAAATACAAAATACGAAAAATACAAAAATTAGCTGGGTATGGTGGTGGGAGCCTGTAATCCCACCTACTTGGGAGGCTGAGGCAGGAGAATTGCTTGAACCCGGGAGGTGGAGGTTGCTGTGAGCCAAGATCACACCACTGCACTCCAGCTTGGGTGACAGATGGGGGATGTTGGCCAGGTGCAGTGGCTCACGCCTATAATCCCAGCACTTTGGGAGGCCGAAGTGGGAGGATCACTTGAGTCCATGAGTTCAAGATCAGCCTGGGCAACATAGTGAGACCTCTGTATAACCTGATGGACCACAGTAGAAAATAAAATTAGCTGGGCATGGTGGTATGCACCTGTAATTCCAACTACTTTGGAGGCTGAAGTGGGAAGATTACTTGAGCCCAGGAGGTCAAGGCTGCATTGAGCCATGATTGTGTCATTGCACTCCAGCCTGGGCAACAAAGCCAGACCTTGTCTCTTTAAAAAACAAAAACAAAAATGGTACGGATGATGGTGCATGTTCTGAGCCGGAGGGAATGATCCAGCAAGCACAGAGAGATGGATGATGTGTTGGAGATGGTGAGCCACCACAGGAGTCAAGTGGATGGGGCAGGAGGGGAGAGTTCAGGTCCAGGCCCACATGGACAGGAGCTAGGGCTGCTCATTCTGGTAGGGACAGGTGAGATGTGGGTACTGAGGGGAAAGACGGGTTTCTGCAAGATTACTTCTGTATTCTCTATGAAGCACAAGGCCAGCTGACAAGGTAGGTAGGTTTCAAAGACAGAGAAGGTGGACATTATTACTACTCTAAGGGAGAGTGACACAGCAGAGAAAAGCAGTGGGAGGCTCAGGCAGTGCTGTGTGTCCGTTTGAGGTTTGCGGTGGTGAATGACATTCAGGCCTGCACATGGCTCTGCATTTGTCTATAGCTTAGACGCTGGTGTTTGATGTGCAGGCACCTCAGTATGACTCCCAGGGCTGGGACTTAGCAGGGTGTGCTGCCTAAAGGAGGTTTTGGTATTATTTCTCTAATTAAAGGTAAAAAGAGAAATGAGGGATGTTGAGGGAAGCAGACATCAGGTCAGTGGACTGGGGGTCTCTGTGAGAACAAGCTGTCAAGTCATAAGGGCTGGCCGGGCGTGGTGGTTCACGCCTGTAATCCCAGCACTTTGGGAGGCCGAGGTGGGTGGATCACTTGAAGTCTGGAGTTTGAAACCAGCCTGGCCAACATGGCGAAACCCCGTCTCTTCTTAAAAAAAATACAAAAATTAGCCAGGCATTTTGGCACATGCCTGTAATCCCAGCTATTTGGGAGGCTGAGGCAGGAGAATCACTTGAATCCAGGAGTCAGAGGTTGCAGTGAGCCAAGATCATGCCACTGCACTCCAGCCTGGGTGACAGCACGAGACCCTGTCTCAAAAAAAAAAATGATATATATATATATATATCATATATATATATATATATGATATATATATATAGATCATAAGGGCTGTTGGAACTGGTTCAGCCAGAGGTGTTGGGAGTATAGGTTGGAGGAGAGGCTGTTGGAGATGAATTTGGGGCATATGTAGGAGGTAGGATGGCCAGGTCTTAGACATGGCTTGGATATGAGGTATGTGGGAGACAAGAAGCAAAGAGGACACCATATTTCAGGCCTGTGCTTTTGAATCGGCAACAGTGCTCTTTCTAAAGGTAAGAACATGAGAAAACCTTCAACTCTGGGAGGATGGGAAAGATCATGAGTTTGGTGGTAGATATGTGGATTTGAGGTCTGTCACATGTGCAGGAGATGTCAAGTGGGCAGTTGAATATTCTTGTCTGGAGCTCACAGGGGAGTTCTAGGTAAGAGGTATGAGAGTGGTTCACTATTTGAAGCTGTGAATGTGCACGAGGTCTTCCAGGGTAAGAGAGGATAGGGTGAGAAGCAGAGGGCCTCTGACTGATAGACAGAGGCACCTTGAGAGACCCAGCTTCAAAGGATGGGCAGGACTTCCCTGGGCAGGCCACATACTTGGGGCTGTCTGTGGCTGGGATGATTCGTTTATTCGCTTACTCAAAAACTATTGAAGACCAATTCTGTGCCAGGTATATTGTGGGTGCTGGGGATGCAGCCCTGATGTTCAGGTCCACAGCCCTGGGGTCTGTGGGACAGTGGGGTCCTGTCCCTGTCCAGTGGTGGTTGCAGTACCTCCCTGGGGTCCCTGAGCTGGCCTGCTCTTCCCACAGCTGCGCATGGAGTACCTCTCCCTGATGCATGCTATAGTCCGCACCACACCCTACCTGCAGCACCGCCACCGGCTACCCGACCTGCAGGCCATACTGCGACGCATCCTGAATGAGGAGGAGACCTCACCCCAGTGCCAGATGGACCGCATGATTGTCCGAGAGATGTGCAAGGAATTCCTGGTGCTGGGGGAGGCTCCCAGCTAGCACCTTGCTGTCCTCCCTTCCCTGCAGCTCCAGTCAGTGTGCAGGGGACTCAGGGGCTTGGCCCTAAGAATGTTTTGCACTGACAGTGGGAGGGGATAAGGTGGCAGAAGGAACCTGAGCAGGACCCCCACCTGAAGTAGAACTTAAGAGAGGGGCCAAGTGTAGGATTGGGGACCATGGTCTGGGAGCTGTTCTGGGGCAGGGGGAATATGCAAGCTAAAGCCCCTCTATACCCTGGTAGGCTTCCTCTTCAGCATGCCCCCCTCTTCACCCCACACCCATGTGTACACTCAGAGTCCTGCTGCCGCTCCAGGCTGGACCAGACCCCCATCCCCACCCCTCCTGGTCTGTATCCTGGGCCTCAGCAAGCCATGCCCCTGGGGTGAGGGGAGGCATCTCCCACCAGCTCTATTCTTTGCCTTAGCTTTGCAGTGAGTGCTGCTCATGTCCTCCCCTCCACCCGCACATGGGGGTCGCTGCCCTTCACTCCTACCCCCAGAGGCCTTGGCCAAGCTGCTGCTTTGAAAGCGGGATCTTGGAGACAGGCCATCCATCCTGGAGCCTCATGGAACAGGATGATGGCACTGAGAAAGCCAATGACCGAATCTCTTTTCTCTGTAAAAATGTAGACTGAAAAGCCATGTGTATTTTCCTATGTGCTGTAGCTCTCCTTTGGAAATAAATCACAGGCATCTGGAAACAGGCTTCCCTGTATGATCTTGGGAGACAGTGGGAGAGGATGGGCAGAAGTACTGGGGCCTCAGGACCCCATCACTGCAGCTTGCACTGACTTCTCCAGCCTGAGGAGGTGATGGACCCTGACAGGCCTGGCCTTCAAGGCCCTTTGAGCCCTGTTCTAGCCTCTCTTCCCTGAGCTCCACTTTTCCTGAGCCCCAGCCATAGCCAAGTGCCCCTCAGCAGCCCATTCGCAGGTGTCTGCATCTCCAGGCTTCACTTACACACTTACATCTTTCTTTTTCTCCTTTTTTTTTTTTTTGAGACAGTCTCACTCTGTTACCCAGGCTCACTGTAGCCTTGACCTCCCAGGCTCAAGTGATCCTCCTGCCTCAGCCTCCTGAGTAGCTGAAACTACAGTAGCCACCATGCCCAGCTAATTTAATTTTTTTTTTTTTTTTTGGTAGAGACAGGGTCCTACTATGTTGCTCAAGCAGGTCTCAAACACCTCAGTTCCGGTGATCCTCCTGCCTTGGCCTCCCAAAGTACGGGGATTATAGGCGTGACCCATCGCACCGGCCCGCTTACATCTTTCACTTACATCTTTTGCTTTGCTTTGAATACCGCTACTCTCTCCCCTGTTGAAACCCTATTGTCCTTCATAGTTGTTCTCAAATGAAGCAGGCCCCTACCTACCCCCAGCCCTGGCCTCTGAATGCTTGGGCCTGTCCAGCCCTATTTTCTTCCCCCATTTGTCCTTGTTTCCAGCAAGATCACCTCATCTTGCAACCTCAGCAGAGATCTGGTAATCATGGTAGGGCAGAAGGAGGGTCTTAACAAGCATGGGGTTACGTTTCCATTAGTGTTTTAGAGGAACTAAGGGCCAAAATTTGGCAAAAACTTCACTCTTGCAGACTCTCAAGTTAGCAAAGAAGTTCTCACCATAAGTTTGGGAGCAGAGTCAGAAACCCACAGGCAGACACCAGTCAGAAGTGTTGTTTCTGTTTTCTAGATTGAGTCTCACTATCTTTTCAAGGCTGATGTCCAACTCCTGTGCTCAAGCAGTCCTCCCACTTCAGCTTCCCGAGTAGCTGGGACTACAGGCACACACCACTATATAGGCTTCACACACAAGTGGTTTTCATCAGTTCCCTTTATTTTTTACCCAAACTCTTCATTCATCAGATGTTTCCACACATCAGCAATCACTGACACTGACTTCTGGTCATGACTTTTTCTTTCTTATTGGGGTGCTGAAAACAGAGGGCAGTTATCCTCCCAAAAAGAAGGTAAAGCAGCACAGGGAGGCAAGGGCTAGGGATGGGGCCCCCCAGCAAGAGGCTCTCAGAAGTTGAAGCAGCAACATTCCATAGGAAACCCATGGGAGGAAAGTATGGGGTCCTGGTGGGGGATGCCCTGCTCACCGCTTACTGTCAGAAGGCCAGGTGCACAAACTCACTGGGACCTGAGGAGGGGTTGACAGTGTTTGGCCCCCAGTAAAGCTCTGTGGGACACAACCTGGTTACTAACTTTTTTTTTTTTTCTTTTTGAGACGGAGTTTTGCTCTTGTCACCCAGGCTGGAATGCAATGGTGTGATCTCGGCTCACTGCAACCTCTACCTCCCAGGTTCAAGCGATGATTCCTCTGCCTCAGCTTCCCGAATAGCTGGGATTACAGGTGCCCACCACCACATCCAGCTAATTTTTGTATTTTTAGTAGAGACGGGGTTTCACCATGTTGGTCAGGCTGGTCTCGAACTCCTGATCTCAGACGATCCACCTGTCTCAGGCTCCCAAAGTGCTGGGATTACAGGTGTGAGCCACCGCGCCCAGCCCCCGCTTTTTTTTTTTTTTTTTTTTTTCAGATGGAATCGTGTTCTGTCACCCAGGCTGGAGTGCAGTGGTGTGATCTTGGCTCACTGCAACCCTTAACCTCCTGGGTTCAAGCAATTCTTCCTGCCTCAGCCTCCCCAGTAGCTGGTATTACAGGCGCCTGCCACCACACCCGGCTAATTCCTGTATTTTCAGTACAGATGGGATTTCGCCATGTTGGCCCGGCTGGTCTTGAACTCCTGACCTCAGGTGACCCACTCACCTCCGCCTCCCAAAATGCTGGGATTACACGCATAAGCCACCACGCCTGGCCTGGTTACTACTTTTAACCCTGGAGACATTCTGCCTCCTTTTCATATCCAAAGTCAATGACACTGACTTCCAGTCACAACTCCTTTCTCACTGGGGTGCGGAAGGCAGGGAAGTATTCTTATGAGATAGTGTATTTCAGTAAAAAGCACAGGTCCTCAGGAAGCTGAGGCAGGGACATCGGACAGCCTTTGTGACTTGCTGTGTTTCCTGTCATGATGCACACACAAACCCTGTGGGAACGGCAGGACTGTGCTGTGCCATCTGTCCCAGTGCTGGCACCTAGGTCAAACAAGGTATGGCCCCATGGCAGAAGCCTCTGCTCACTTCTGCAGGAGTGCCCAAGGTGGGCCCTGGCACCTGTTTGTAAGAGAAGCAGAAGCCCCAGCTGATGAAGTTACATACATGCTGACTCCTGGTAGCAAGCGTGCTCTGAGGGGACTCCAGGACCTCTTCAGCAAACACCCTTGTGGTGGCCTCACAACACAAAATTACAACCAAAGGCAGATTATGATTAGTCAGAGAAGTCCTCTTGGGGAGGGAACTGTCTTTGATAGAACACGTCTATGGCTGCGTGGAAGGTTGGTAGATGTGATATGTGGGTAGGCAGTAGGAAGGGCAATGAGACAGAGCATTAAGCCACCCCAAGAAAGGGGAGTGTTTGGGTAGAGTTGAGAAGAACTCAAATTTTGGGGGACAGTGAGGGGGTTTGGGCTGACTTCCTGGGTCAGAAGTTTCTGAAGCTGCAGCTAGGAATGGGTGTGTAAGTGTGCAGGTGGCTCACACCTGTAATCCTAGCACTTTGGGAGGCCGTAGAGGGAAAATCGCTTGAGCCCAGGAGTTTGAGACCAACCTGGACAGCATAGGAAGACCCCATCCCTACAAAAAATACAAAAATTAGCTGGGCGTGGTGGCCCACACCTGTAGTCCTAGCTACTCGGGAGGCTGAGGTGGAAGAATCACTTATGCTCAGGAGCAATTGCACCACTGCACTCCAGCCTGGGTGAGAGTGAGACCCCAACTCAAAAAAAAAAAAAAAAGTGCTGGCACCGTGTCTTTGGCATATGTGCTGAGCCATAAGCTGCACATGCATAAGGCCAACCCCAGGATGAGGGGTCAAGTAATTCTGTCTCAGCCTCCTGAGTAGCTGGGATTACAGGCGTGCGCCACCACACCCAGCTAATTTTTGTATTTTTAGTAGAGACAAGGTTTCTCCTTGTTGGCCAGGCTGGTCTTAAACTCCTGACTTCGGGTGATCCACCCTCCTTGGCCTCCCAAAGTGCTGGGATTACAGGCATGAGCCACCACACCCAGCGTATCCATCCACTGTTGATGACCTTTCAGTTGTTTCCAATTTTTGTCTGTTGCAAATACTGCTGCCAGGAGCACTGTTGTACATGTCTTCATGTTGCTCATACGCATTATTTTAGGAGGGTATATTCCCAAATAAAGAGTGGAATTTCACGGTCACAGGCAGATACTGCCAAATAGGTTTCCAAAGTAGTTGTACCAATGTATGCTCCTTCAGTAGTGTCAGACAGTTCAAGCTTCTATCTTTCCCAAAACTTGGTATTGTCAAGTCATTTTTATTTTCGCTATCCTGGTAGAGTGCAGTAGTCCTCCCCTCTCCACCTTTTTTTTGGGAGGTAAAGTCTTGTTCTGTTGCCCAGGATGGAGTCCAGTGGTGCATTCTCAGCTCACTGCATCCTCCTCCTCCTGGGTTCAAGCGATTCTCATGCCTCAGCCTCCCAAGTAGCTGGGACCACAGGCGTGGGCCAACATGCCCGGCTAACTTTTGTGCTTTGAGTAAAGACAGGGTTTTGCCATGCTGGCCAGGCTGGTCTCAAACTCCTGGCCTCAAGTGATCTGTCCATCTCAGCCTCCCAAGGTGCTGGGATTACAGATGTGAGTCGCCTCACCTAGCCAGTATTTATTTTTTTCAATTTGCATTTCCCTGATGACTAAAGAGGTTGAGCACCTTTTCAATATTATTTGAATGTTCTCTTTTGTGAAGTAACTATTCGAATCTCTTGCCCCATTTATCTGTTTGTGTATATTTTATTGATTTGTAGTATGTATTCAGGATATGAGTCCATGGATGTTCTATCTTAGAGTATCTTCTCCCACTTTTAATGTCTTTTGATAAAAGAAGGTTCTCAATCATTATGTAATCCAATTTATCAATACTTTCCTTTATAGTTAGTGTATTTTATGTCCTATTAGACAATCCTGTTAGACAGTCCTGTCCTGTTAAAAAATCTTGACTGGCTGTGGTGGCTCATGCCTGTAATCCCAGCACTTTGGGAGGCCAAGGCAGGAGGATCACTTGAGCTCAAGAGTTCCAGACCAGCCTGGGCAAAATGATGAGACCCTGTCCCTACAAAAAAGTAAAGAAATTAGCCGGGTGTGGTGGAGCATACCTGTAGTCTCAGCTACTCAGAGGCCAAGACAGGAGGGTCCCTTGAGCCTAGGAAGTCGAGGCAGCAGGGAGCTATGATCGCGCCACTGCACTGCAGGCTGGGCCACAAAGTGAGACCCCCATCTCTAAAAACTTTTTTAATATAAAAACAAATTTTTTAATCTTTGCTTTCACGCTTGTGAACAGCCACTGCACTCCAGCTCCCGTCTCTGTAAAAAAAAAAAAAAAAAAGTTTGCTTAAAGTCACCTTTAAGATCTTCTCTTGGCCAGGTGCAGTGGCTCACGCCTGTAATCCCAGCACTTTGGGAGGCCGAGGTGGGCGGATTACAGGGTCAGGAGATCGAGACCATCCTGGCCAACATGGTGAAACCCCCATCTCTACTAAAAATACAAAAATTAGCTGGGCGTGGTGGCATGTGCCTGTAATCGCAGCTACTCGGGAGGCTGAGGCAGGAGAATTGCTTGAACTAGGGAGTCAGAGGTTGCAGTGAGCCAAGGTTGCACCACTGTATTCCAGCCTGGCGACAGAGCGAGACTCTGTCTCAAAAAACAAAAAACAAAACAAAAAACAACAACAACAAAAAACAAAACAAGGTCTTAATACTGTTTTCTAGAAACTGTATATTTTCAGATGTCAAATTTATATGGAATTGATTATGCAAGCAGTGTGAAATAGAGATCTCATTTAATTTTTTCTATATGGATATCCAACTGACCCAGCATCATTTATTGAAAAGCCTATTCTTTCAGTTAATAGAGTTGCTCCTGGGGAAACAAAAAAAAGAAAACAACCCTTTCTTCATGTTAGCTCTGAAGAACCACCCTTGTCAAAATTCAAGTTTCCACACATCTTCAGGCCTGTCTCTGGATTTCGTTCCTTTAGTCTTCCTATCCTCGTACCAGTACCACACAATCTTGGTTTCTTTTTATTTTTTAATTTTCATTCTTTTTTTAGATACAGGGTCTCTTGCTCTGTTGCCCAGGCTAGAGTGCAGCATGTGATCATAGCTCACTACAGCCTCGACCTCCCCAGAGCTCACATGATCCTCCCACTTCAGCCTCCCAAGTAGCTGGGACTATACAGGCATGTGCAAAATTTTTGTATTTTTTGTAGAGATGGGGTTTTGCTGTGTTGCTCAGGCTGCTAAATCTAGTTTGTCAGTTTACACACACACAAAATCTAGTGGGATTTTTTTTTTTTTTTTTTTGAGACAGAGTCTTGCTCTGTCGCCCAGGCTGGAGTGCAGTGGCGTCAACTTGGCTCACTGCAAGCTCCGCCTCCCCAGGTTCACGCCATTCTGTCTCAGCCTCCCAAGTAGCTGGGACTACAGGTGCCCGCCACCACACCCGGCTAACTTTTGTATTTTTAGTAGAGACGGTTTCACCATGTTAGCCAAGATGGTCTCGATCTCCTGACCTTGTGATCCGCCCGCCTCAGCCTCCCAAAGTGCTGGGATTACAGGTGTGAGCCACCGCACCCAGCCAAAATTTAGTGGGATTTTTAACTGAAGTTGCATCGAATCCATATATCAATTTGGGAAAATTGGCACCTTTATAATATTGACTTTTCCAATATTGGAACAATTTTTCACTTTATTTATGTCTTTATTTCTCATTTTTTTTACTTTTTTTTTTTTTTTTTTTTTCAGATAGCGTCTGGCTGTGTTGTCCAGGCTGGAGTGCAATGGCATGATCTTGGCTCACTGCAACCTCTGTGTCCCAGGTTCAGGCACTTCTGCCTCATCCTCCAGAGTAGCTGGGATTGCAGGTGCACAACAGCATGCCCAGCTAATTTTTTTTTTTTTTTTTGAAACGGAGTCTCGCTCTGTTACCCAGGCTGGAGTGCAGTGGCGCAATTTAGGCTCACTGCAAGCTGCACCTCCCAGGTTCACGCCATTCTGCTACCTCAGCCTCCCGAGTAGCTGGGACTACGGGCGCCCGCCATCAGGCCCGGCTAATTTTTTTTTGTATTTTTAGTAGAGACAGGGTTTCACCGTGTTAGCCAGGATGGTCTCGATCTCCTGACCTCATGATCCGCCCGCCTCAGCCTCCCAAAGTGCTGGGATTACAGGTGTGAGCCACTGCACCTGGCCAAGCTAATTTTTTTGTATTTTTAGTAGAGATGAGGTTTCACCATGTTGGCCGGACTGATCTCTAACTCCTGACCTCAAATGATCCACCCACCTTGGCCCTCCAAAGTGCTGAGATTTCAGGCATGAGCCACCAATGCCAGGCCTATGTCTTTATTTCCCTCAATAATGTTTTATAGTTTTTTTGTATGTGTGTATGTAGTCTTTGCACATCTTTCATTAGGTTTATTCCTCAGCATTTGATATTACTTGATGCTATTGTAAACATCATTGTTTTTAAGAAAAAAAATTTTTTTTTCTCGTTCACTGCAACCTCTGCCTCCCAGGTTCAAGTGATTCTCCTGCCTCAGCCTCCTCAGTAGCTGGGACTACAGGTGCCCACCACCACGCCCGGCTAATTTCTGTATTTTTAGTAGAGACGGGATTTCACCATGTTGGCCAAACTGGTCTCAAACTCCTGACCTCAGGTGATCTGCCCGCCTTGGCCACCCAAAGTGCTGGGATTACAGGCTTGAGCCAACATGCCCAGGCAAGAAATTTATTTTCTAACTGTTGGTGACATATAGAAATTGCAACTGATTTTTATATATTGATCTTGTGTCCAACAACTTTGCTGAACTCATTCTAACAACTTACCTATAGGTTCCTTTGAAATTTTTACATATACAATCCTACTGCTTGTGAATTAGTTTTTTTTCCCTTCCAATCTTCATAACTTATTATTTTTCTTGCCCTACTGCACTGGATAGGCCCTCCGATATAATACTGAGGCTTGTGGTCATGAATATAAAATGAGACCAATTAGCACGGTTGTTTGTTTTTCTCCAGCAATGTTCTGCTGCGCTAGAGGCAAACAATACGTAAATAGTCTATTTTAACGGGGTTAGATTTTAGCCCAGCAAGTTTGTCTAAGAAGAACAGGGCAGGCCGGGCACAATGGCTCATGCCTGTAATCCCAGCACTTTGGGAGGCCGAGGCGGGAGCATCACAAGGTCAGGAGATCGAGACCAGCCTGGCTAACACGGTGAAACGCCGTCTCTACTAAAAATACAAAAAAAAAAATTAGCTGGGCATGGTGGTGGACGCCTGTAGTCCCAGCTACTCGGGAGGCTGAGTCAGGAGAATGGTGTGAACCTGGGAGGCAGAGCTTGCAGTGAGCCGAGATCGCGCCACTGCACTCCAGCCTGGGCGACAGAGCAAGGCTCTGTCTCAAAAAAAAAAAAAAAAAGAAAAAGAAAAAGAACAGGGCAGGGAGTTTCCGTGGCACTGAACTCTATAAGGCTAATGACACAGGTCAATAGCTGAGGTGATGAACAATGGACTCGAGATCTCAGTGAGGTCAAAGAACTGCTGGATAATTGAGCTGGACAGGTTGGCCAGGTCTTCCCCTGGAAAGGTACACCTGGCTGGGAGTAGACAAACACAGGGTGGGGTGGAAAAGGCAGGAGAAGGAAAGGCTGAGAAGTGTTAGTGGCAGTATCTGCCACACCCTTACCCTGGTCTTCTGATCGCTCCATCTGCCGCCCAGCAGCCTCAAATCCAGGTCTCTGGGTCCTGGGTGGACCTCTAGTTGGGAGCTGATAAGAGAAGGAGGATAGGCTGGGCACGGTGCCTCATGCCGGTAATCCCAGCACTTTGGGAGGCTGAGGCGGGCAGATCACTAGAGGTCAGGAGTTTGATACCAGCCTGGCCAACATGGTGAAGCCCCATCACATGGTGAAGCCCCATCACACCACTTCACTCCAGCCTGGGTGACAGAGTGAAACTCCATCTCAAAAAAAAAAAAAAAAAAAAAAAATGAGGTTAAACCACATAGGGGTCTTATTAGGAGGCAAGGGCAAGATTTGGAGGTGGAGAGAAGAACTACCACCACTATCACTAACATCTGGTTTTTGTTTTTTTTTTTTTACCGGGAGTGCATTAGGAGCTGCCAATGGGGCTGGGGCATAGAGGTGAGTGCAGATTGAGGGAGAGGGGCTCCACAGAACAGCCACAAAGGGAGGATGACAGTGGGATGACACACAGCAGGCAGCAACATGGAGAGTGATCCGCAATCAATCTCACTACTCAGAAGTGAGGAGCTTTGCTCTCCAAAAGGAGTGTTAGCTGGGACCAGCGCCAGCCCTATTGGTGAGAGGGCAGGGCTTGATTTCCCTCAGCCATAGTCCCTTTATGTCTCTGCACATTTGCCCACACAGTCTCCAAGACCTAGGATGCCCACCCCCAATCCCTATCCCTCCCTGCCCTTCCTTTGCAGATGCGGATCTCCCCTTGGTCATTCAAGGCACTGCTCAGGCATCTTATGCAAGAAGGCGTCCCAGGTTGCGAAGGTGACTCAGACGCCTCCTTTGGGACTCCAACACCCTTCCCCGGCAGAGCCCCTGCCTGTCTGCCTCCGTGGTGTCAGGTTTTGTGCCCTCTACTCACTAGATTGTGGACACAGAAAGCGCTGGTGCTGTCAAAACCACTTCTGGGTTGCCGGGCGCGGTGGCTCACACCTATAATCCCAGCACTTTGGGAGGCCAAGATGGGCGGATTGCTTGAGCCCAGGAGTTCAAGACTAATCTGGCCTACATGGTGAGACCCTGTCTCTATAAAAAATGCAAAAATTAGCCAAGTGTGATGACATGTACCCGTAGTCCCAGCTACTCGGGAGGCTGAGGTGAGAGAATCGCCTGGGGAGTTCGAGGCTACGGTGAGCTGTGATCACCACTGCACTCCGAAAGAGTGAGACCTTGTCTCTAAATAGATAAATAAAACTACTTTGGGGGACTCGCTCCTCCAGCCCCTGCACCGATTGGCTCCCATTCAAAGGAGTTCAGCCCTAAGTGCCTCTGCAGATCTTCCACCCCCACTCACAAACCCGTAGGAACCCCGGCCGTGTATCAGGCCCAGAGCTCTGATCCTGGGGAGGTCCTCAGATTCGTAGACAGGAGAGGGAACAACTGGACACCTGTTGCCTGACCTTGGTAGCCACAAGGGGCGCTCGGGAGGTGGAACCCGCAGAAGCCCCGCCTCCCGGAAGCGGAGCAGTCAAGGGGCGAAAGGATGCGCCGACTGATTGGTTGATGGTGATGTCATAGGGACCGTTCGGGGCGGGCCAGAGGCCTTGGCCAGGAGTTCCTCGCCTGTTAGAACCAGGATCCACCCCATCGCGGGAGCCGCACCCTGTGGAGCGTTCTGGGGTCCCGGCCCTGACCTCTTCCTGGGCTTCGGGATGCCCGCGTCCTCTGCACCCGGCGCTGCAGCTCGTTATCGATTCCGCCTTTGGAGGCCGGTCCGTATAGTGTACCTCCCGGACTCTCTCACGGTTAGCCGGCAACCCGCGGAGCCCCCTCCCCCATGCGATGAGTCCGCCGTGAGGGGCGGGGCCTCCCATTGTGCCAATAGAAACAATGACTGACCGATTGGAGTGCTCCGCGTTCACCCCTCGCCTCCGCTCCTCTCGTGACGTCTGTTGCGCCAGGTCCACCCATTGGCCTGGCGAGACCGGCGCGTGCCAGGAGTTACGCAGGGAGAGCTGGAATGCACCGAGGGTGGGGGGAGGACTGAGTTTCTGTGTCAGTCCCTTCAAGGGGTTAAGGCATGCGGTCGTGACGGACGAGGGGCGGGGACCCGAAGAAGCGGGGCCCGCAGCCATGGGGCAACGCCGGGCTCCACGTGGCATCCCAGAGCACTCGGGACTCGCAGCCTGGGAGGGGGTGCAGCCTCCAGTGAAGGGGCCCCGAGCCCGGGAGACTGCTGGGGACCAGCAAGGCAGGGAAGAATTTGGCCTCTGCTCCCGCCTCGGGAGGGTCATCTCTGGTCCCTGCTCCGCAGGGGCGATCCAAACAAGCAGGTGGTCGCGACATGTTTCATAAAACTAGCTGATGGGATAGTTAAAGCTATTGTTCGGGGTGCTGGCACCCCAGACCCCTCTCCAGCCATCGTCCCCTCTACCCCAGGATTTCACACAGTACCCCCTCCCAGAGCTATGAGAACGCTCATGGGCACCAAAATTTCAGACCAAAATCCGGGACACGGTTCAGAACTAGTGGTCAGGAAGGGGGAACAAGAGATCTGGAAGGACAGAAAAAGGCTGGGAGACGGAGCTGGGACAGCGCCCTAGAAGGAGGGAGGTGGGTGAAGGCGGCGACCGAAAGTGGGGAGGGCGGACCCAACGACGGCGAACCTTCGCGCTCTGTTCAGCACCAGGAGCAACGCTCACGTCCTCAATAAAGATGGCGGCAACATCTTCGGTCCTCAGAGCTGCCATGCGCGATGGGTTGTACCACCGTGTTTCGGGCGCCGGGGCAGAGGTGGAGCGAACCATCGGGGCGGCCGGGAGCCATGTTGGAGCGGCGGGAGGCGGCAGCAGCGTCGGGGATGCTGTGGTGGGGGCGGAAAAAGCCAGGGCCGCACGCCGGAGGGGCTCCGGCCGCGGAGTAGATGGTGCCCAGAGGGCGGCGGGGGTGCGGAGAGACAGGCGGAGGGGCGGGGGCCCGGGGCGGCGGCAGGGGCCCGGGAGGGGGCCCGAGCGGCGGGGCCAGCCCAAGGCCCGGACCGGGGCGGGGGGCGGTGGAGGCCGTGCAGGGAGGCGGGGGATGATGGCGAGGCGGCCGCCGTGGCGGGGCCTCGGGGGACGGTCGACCCCCATACTCCTGCTCCTTCTCCTCTCTTTGTTCCCCCTCAGCCAGGAGGAGCTGGGGGGCGGTGGGCACCAGGGCTGGGACCCAGGCTTAGCTGCCACTACGGGGCCAAGGGCGCATATCGGTGGCGGAGCCTTAGCTCTTTGTCCGGAGTCTTCCGGGGTCCGGGAGGATGGGGGGCCTGGCCTGGGGGTCAGGGAGCCTATCTTCGTGGGGCTCCGAGGGAGAAGGCAAAGCGCCCGGAATAGTCGAGGGCCCCCTGAGCAGCCGAATGAGGAGCTGGGGATTGAACACGGCGTCCAGCCATTGGGCAGCCGCGAACGAGAGACAGGACAGGGACCAGGGTCTGTGTTATACTGGCGCCCAGAGGTCTCCTCTTGCGGGCGGACAGGACCTTTGCAAAGAGGTAGTCTGTCACCAGGGGCTCTGTCCTCAGGGGTCCCGGGCTCGGGGAACAGCTCGCCCCTCCCTTCAGACTTTTTGATTCGGCACCACGGTCCCAAGCCGGTGTCCTCCCAGCGGAACGCTGGGACAGGCTCCCGCAAAAGAGTGGGCACCGCGCGCTGCTGTGGGGAATTATGGGCAACAGGGAGCAAGGGTCAGGGCGAGAGAGCCACGACATCCGGAGCAGAAAGGACAGCCCCCCGGCGGAACTGTCTTCCAGGGGCCTCGGGATCTGGCCCCGAGCTGGATTCAGCACCACGCACGGCGAGGACAGCTCCTGCATCAGGTTCAGCACCCCGCGAGTCTCGGACAGCTCCCGAGCCGGCGCCCAAGCGCATGCGCTCCCGGGGTCTCTTCCGCTGCCGCTTCCTCCCGCAGCGCCCCGGGCCGCGTCCCCCGGGACTCCCGGCCCGTCCTGAAGCCAGGAAAGTAACCTCGGCGAACCGGGCACGCTTTCGTCGCGCCGCAAACCGCCACCCGCAGTTTCCGCAGTACAACTACCAGACGCTGGTGCCGGAGAATGAGGCAGCAGGCACCGCGGTGCTACGCGTGGTTGCTCAGGACCCGGACGCCGGCGAGGCCGGGCGCCTAGTCTACTCGCTGGCGGCACTCATGAACAGCCGCTCGCTGGAGCTGTTCAGCATCGACCCGCAGAGCGGCCTTATCCGTACGGCGGCAGCTCTGGACCGCGAGAGCATGGAGCGTCACTACCTGCGTGTGACCGCGCAGGACCACGGGTCGCCGCGCCTCTCGGCCACCACGATGGTGGCCGTGACAGTAGCCGACCGCAACGACCACTCGCCGGTTTTTGAGCAAGCGCAGTACCGGGAGACCCTTCGCGAGAATGTGGAGGAGGGCTACCCTATCCTGCAGCTGCGTGCCACTGACGGCGACGCGCCCCCCAACGCCAACCTGCGCTACCGCTTCGTGGGGCCGCCAGCTGCGCGCGCTGCAGCTGCCGCCGCCTTCGAGATTGATCCACGCTCCGGCCTCATCAGCACCAGCGGCCGAGTGGACCGCGAGCACATGGAAAGCTATGAGCTGGTGGTGGAAGCCAGCGACCAGGGCCAGGAACCCGGGCCGCGCTCGGCCACTGTGCGCGTACACATAACTGTGCTAGACGAGAACGACAATGCTCCTCAGTTCAGCGAGAAGCGCTACGTGGCGCAGGTGCGCGAGGATGTGCGCCCCCACACAGTCGTGCTGCGCGTCACGGCCACTGACCGGGACAAGGACGCCAACGGATTGGTGCACTACAACATCATCAGTGGCAATAGCCGTGGACACTTTGCCATCGACAGCCTCACTGGCGAGATCCAGGTGGTGGCACCTCTGGACTTCGAGGCAGAGAGAGAGTATGCCTTGCGCATCAGGGCGCAGGATGCTGGCCGGCCACCGCTGTCCAACAACACGGGCCTGGCCAGCATCCAGGTGGTGGACATCAATGACCACATTCCTATTTTTGTCAGCACGCCCTTCCAAGTTTCTGTCTTGGAAAATGCTCCCTTGGGTCACTCAGTCATCCACATTCAGGCAGTCGATGCAGACCATGGGGAGAATGCCAGATTGGAGTACTCCCTAACTGGTGTGGCACCTGATACTCCTTTTGTGATAAACAGCGCCACTGGCTGGGTCTCTGTGAGTGGTCCCCTGGACCGTGAGTCTGTGGAGCATTACTTCTTTGGTGTGGAGGCTCGAGACCATGGCTCACCCCCACTCTCTGCCTCAGCCAGTGTCACCGTGACTGTGCTGGACGTTAATGACAATCGGCCTGAGTTCACAATGAAGGAGTACCACCTACGACTGAATGAGGATGCAGCTGTGGGCACCAGTGTGGTCAGCGTGACCGCAGTAGACCGTGATGCCAACAGTGCCATCAGCTACCAGATCACAGGCGGCAACACCCGGAATCGCTTTGCCATCAGCACCCAGGGGGGTGTGGGTCTGGTGACTCTGGCTCTGCCACTGGACTACAAGCAGGAACGCTACTTCAAGCTGGTACTAACTGCATCTGACCGTGCCCTTCATGATCACTGCTATGTGCACATCAACATCACAGATGCCAACACTCATCGGCCGGTCTTTCAAAGTGCCCACTACTCAGTGAGTGTGAATGAAGATCGGCCAATGGGTAGCACCATAGTGGTCATCAGTGCCTCTGATGATGACGTGGGTGAGAATGCTCGTATCACCTATCTCCTGGAGGACAACCTGCCCCAGTTCCGCATTGATGCAGACTCAGGAGCCATTACATTACAGGCCCCATTAGACTATGAGGACCAGGTGACCTACACCCTGGCTATCACAGCTCGGGACAATGGCATCCCACAGAAGGCAGACACTACTTATGTGGAGGTGATGGTCAATGACGTGAATGACAATGCTCCACAATTTGTGGCCTCCCACTATACAGGGCTGGTCTCTGAGGATGCCCCACCTTTCACCAGTGTCCTGCAGATCTCAGCCACTGACCGGGATGCTCATGCCAATGGCCGGGTCCAGTACACTTTCCAGAATGGTGAAGATGGGGATGGAGATTTTACCATTGAGCCCACCTCTGGAATTGTCCGTACAGTAAGGCGGCTAGACCGGGAGGCAGTATCAGTGTATGAGTTGACTGCCTACGCAGTGGACAGAGGTGTGCCCCCACTCCGGACTCCAGTCAGTATCCAGGTGATGGTGCAGGATGTGAACGACAATGCACCTGTCTTCCCAGCTGAGGAGTTTGAGGTGCGGGTGAAAGAGAATAGCATTGTGGGCTCAGTGGTGGCCCAGATCACTGCAGTGGACCCTGACGAAGGCCCCAATGCCCATATAATGTACCAGATCGTGGAGGGGAACATCCCTGAGCTGTTCCAAATGGACATCTTCTCTGGAGAACTGACGGCACTCATTGACCTAGACTATGAGGCTCGCCAAGAATATGTGATTGTGGTGCAGGCCACATCTGCTCCTTTGGTCAGCCGGGCCACTGTGCACGTCCGCCTGGTTGACCAGAATGACAACAGCCCTGTGCTCAACAACTTCCAGATCCTCTTCAACAACTATGTATCCAACCGTTCAGACACCTTCCCGTCGGGCATTATTGGGCGCATCCCAGCTTATGACCCCGATGTCTCCGACCACCTCTTCTACTCCTTTGAGCGTGGCAATGAGCTGCAGCTGCTGGTAGTCAACCAGACCAGTGGGGAGCTGCGACTCAGCCGAAAGCTAGACAATAACCGCCCACTGGTGGCCTCCATGTTGGTGACTGTCACAGGTGAGGGGCAGGGGGCAGGCAAGTGACCCAGTGACACCAACCTGTTGGGCCTCAGGGACTCCACAGGGCACCTCAAACCAAAGAGGGATTTCTAAGCCTTCCAAGAACCCCTTAAGGGTAGGGTTCCTGCACCCTACAAGATCTGCCACAGACCTCACAAGGACTCTGCTTAGGTTCCTGGATAATCTCCACAGAATCCCAGTGATTCCAAGGCATCTAGCAGACCCCATAAAGCCTGTAAAGAACTGTCTGCTACCTAGGGATATCTCCCCTCCTGATAAAAGGTCAGAGGTCCTGGGGTAATCCTCTGGAGGTCCTAGGCAAAGCCAGTATGGGCCAGTCAGTCCACACTATGCCCATGTTCAGACGAAGGGTTACTTTGGGTCCAGTCTGACGCTTACCCTATCTGTGCAGGAAATGACCAATACTTGAGTGGTCAGGAACAGCAGCTTACTATGGAAGCTTCAGGTGGACAGTGGCTTCGTAGGGCCTGAGACCCTGACCTTTGGGAAAATGTCCAGAGGTCCACTTGCCTCTTTCCTGCCCCATCTGCTCCAGTCTTTCAGAAACCCCTCCATAATAGGAGAGTGCAGGTGGGAGAGGCTCTTGAAGTTCTGCCTACTGGAGGCTGCAGAGGTTGGGAAATAGGCTTCACTGGTGCTCATTCCTCAGTTCTGGAGCAGGGACTCCTGGCACTGCCTGAGAAGGCACAACCTTCATTTATCCCTCAACTCACTCAACAGTCTATCCTTATTGACCACCCAGTATGTGCTAGGGTGTGGGGACAAGACGAACAAGGCAGCTAAGCACCTCACCTTCATCTCTGGGGTGGTCACTGTGAAACCACAGGACCCAGGTCTGGAGTGGCGAGCAGGCTGCTAACTCAAGAATGCTGGTGTGTGTGTGTGTGTGTGTATGTCAGGGTTCAAGACCCCCCTGGAGCTTGATAACCCAGGATTCTGGAGGATGGCATTGAGTCTTCACTGGGCCAGGGCCCCTTCTAGTGTCATGGAAGAGCAATTTGCTGACCAAAAATAGGAGATAGGTGATCCCTGATCTGGAACCCTTCTTTTCTGGAGGGGGATGTTTTGCTGGTTCTGCTATGCTGGAGGAGGGGAGAAGGGAAAGGTGGCTGGGAATGAGTGGCCAGTGGCCCTAGCTCCTCTCTGTGTCCTGAGTTGGGGTGGCCTGCTGACCATGATAACTTGGGGAAGTGTGGGTTACTGAGTACTTAGGGTACTTGAGTGCTGTTGCGGGAGTGACTTGCTAACCCATGGGCACTGTGTGGGGTTGCTTGATCCTTGGCCCAGACCCCTCCGTGTATTGGGGATTGGGGGAGGAAGCAGCAGCTTTTTGACACCTTGATGCTGGGGGAGCTGGTGGTCACTAGCCCCAGACTCCCTTGTGTCCTGGTGGGGTCAGCCTGCTGACTTAGAGGTTCTGGGGGCCTAGGCTATCGCTGGCCCCAGCCCTCTTGTGTCCCAGGGAGGGGTGGCCACTGTCCCCAGGATGACCACTGCCCCTGCCCCCGCCTGCAGATGGCCTGCACAGCGTGACGGCGCAGTGTGTGCTGCGCGTGGTCATCATCACGGAGGAGTTGCTGGCCAACAGCCTGACCGTGCGCCTTGAGAACATGTGGCAGGAGCGCTTCCTGTCACCGCTGCTGGGCCGCTTCCTCGAGGGCGTGGCTGCGGTGCTCGCTACGCCCGCTGAGGACGTCTTCATCTTCAACATCCAGAACGACACAGACGTAGGGGGCACCGTGCTCAATGTGAGTTTCTCGGCGCTAGCTCCACGTGGGGCCGGGGCGGGCGCTGCAGGGCCCTGGTTCAGCTCCGAGGAGCTGCAGGAGCAGTTGTACGTGCGCCGGGCGGCGCTGGCGGCTCGCTCCCTGCTCGACGTACTGCCCTTCGACGACAACGTGTGCCTGCGAGAGCCCTGTGAGAACTACATGAAATGCGTGTCCGTGCTCCGCTTTGACTCGTCCGCGCCCTTCCTGGCCTCGGCCTCCACGCTGTTCCGACCCATCCAGCCCATCGCTGGCCTGCGCTGCCGCTGCCCGCCCGGATTCACGGGAGACTTTTGCGAGACCGAGCTCGACCTCTGCTACTCCAACCCATGTCGCAACGGCGGAGCCTGCGCGCGGCGCGAGGGAGGCTACACGTGCGTCTGCCGCCCGCGCTTCACCGGTGAGCAGGGCGCCGGGCCAGAGCTGGGGGAAGCACGGGCCAAGGCTGGGGGCGGGACCACAATGCGAGTGAGTACTGGGAGTCACTTCTGAGGCCACGGCCTGGTATGGACGCGCTTAGGCCAGAAGCCGTAGAGCGTGGCCGGAAGGGGCCGCCGCCGAGGCAGCGATGAGACTGGGGAGGGGGCGGGGCCAGACGGAAGGGGCGTGTCCACCGAAGAGGGCGACCTTTCGGGGGTCTTGGCACCCGGCCTCTGGGCGCGCGGTCTTTGAAGGGGCCGGAGCAGGGGCGGGCGTGGGCGTGACCGCCTCTGACCGCGGCTTGGCCCCCAGGAGAGGACTGCGAGCTGGACACCGAGGCCGGCCGCTGCGTGCCGGGCGTCTGCCGCAACGGGGGCACCTGCACCGACGCGCCCAACGGCGGCTTTCGCTGCCAGTGCCCGGCAGGCGGCGCCTTCGAGGGCCCGCGCTGCGAGGTGGCTGCGCGCTCCTTCCCGCCCAGTTCGTTCGTCATGTTTCGCGGCCTGCGGCAGCGATTCCACCTTACGCTGTCCCTCTCGTAGGTGCCCGCCCCGTGTCTGAGCGCCTCCCCGCCGCCCCCACCTACCCGCCCTGACTCAGATTCCTGACTGCCCCGTCCTGGCATCCCCATGAGACACCGCCCCTCCCCTGACGCCCCGCCCGGGGTCTCCTGACCTCGCTGCACCCGCGTCCCCCCGGTCGGTCCCGCCGTCCCTCGTCGCTTCCTCTCTCGCCCCAGCCCCTTCTCCTCGCAGGGATGGTGGGTGTGAAGTGGTACCCTGCTCCTGACGCTCCCACCCCCGCAACCCCCTCCCACCCCGCCCAGGTTCGCGACAGTGCAGCAGAGCGGGCTGCTCTTCTACAACGGGCGCCTGAACGAGAAGCACGACTTCCTGGCCCTGGAACTCGTGGCTGGCCAAGTGCGGCTCACATATTCCACGGGTGGGTGCCCCGGATGTGACGGCGAAAGGGTGCGTGTGTGCTGGAGGACGCAGGGCCCAAGTCCCCTCAGGTTTGCTTCACTGTGCACCTGAGCACACACTCCACGCCATGCAAGCCCTGAAGACCTAGCTCCTTGGCCATTCCCTGTGGGAAGGTCCCTCCCTCCAAGAAGTCTGTTTCTCCTGTCTGTTCAAAGGCACTCTGAGCCAGCCATTGTGGTCACCAGTGGGGGGACTGATCTGATGCATCCAGGGTGGCCCTGGGAATGGTTGTGCTTATATGACGGGTGGGATGGGGCGACTCCGCTGCTCCTGATGATTCCACATGCATCTCCCCTCCAGGTGAATCCAACACCGTGGTCAGCCCCACAGTTCCAGGGGGCTTGAGTGACGGGCAATGGCATACAGTGCATCTGAGATACTACAACAAGGTGGGGGCCATCCCTGGCATCGGGTATGAGGGGAGTTGGGATGCTGACTTCTGCTCCTCAGGGGTTACTGGGGGCACTGTTGACTGGTGTGCCTGCGTCTTCAGCCCCGGACAGATGCCCTAGGGGGTGCACAGGGCCCCTCCAAGGACAAGGTGGCTGTGCTAAGCGTGGATGATTGTGATGTGGCCGTGGCTCTGCAGTTTGGTGCTGAGATTGGCAACTACTCATGCGCGGCTGCTGGTGTGCAAACAAGCTCCAAGAAGTGAGGCCCCTGCCCCCTAGTCCCCTTGTCCCCTGCCTACCAAAGCCCACTCCAACCCTTCACATCCCATTCCTCATCCCATCCTGCCAAACTCTCCCATCTTTCCCCCAAACCACCAAGATTCCCCTCTCCTCTCAAAGACCCTGAAAGCCTACTCACCCTAGCCCCCAATCCTGTATTCCACCCCATACTCCCTCCTCCCACACACAGTCCCCAGGCAGTCCTCCAAAGCCTCCACCTCCCCACCCCAGTCTCACTAATGTCCCACATCCCCTCCGAGTCCCTTCATCTCATGTCCAGTCCCCCAGAGTCTTCACGTCTCCATCCCCTCCCCAGCCAGCCAGATGCCTCATTCTTTCATCATAGCTCTCAACCCCCATTCACCTACCTTTCCCCAGACCATCGGCCCATCACGGGTGCCCCTTTGCACCCCAACTGAAGTAAGATCCTAACTCCTTCCACAGCTCGGCCTTATTTTCCTCCCTCAATCACCCTACCCTCTGGGTCCTACCCCCCTGCTTCCTGTGGCCCCCCAGGAGCAACTCTACTCTGGCCCCAGTCCCACCAATGACCCAGACCCCTGATCCCCAGGTCCCTGGACCTGACGGGCCCTCTTCTTCTGGGAGGTGTCCCCAACCTCCCCGAGAACTTCCCCGTATCCCATAAGGACTTCATCGGCTGTATGCGGGACCTGCACATTGATGGCCGCCGAGTGGACATGGCGGCTTTTGTCGCAAATAATGGCACCATGGCAGGTAGGCCTGAAGCTTCCACCAGCCTAGCCCATGGCCCTGTCCCCATCATAGGGAGGAAGTGGAGGACTCCATACCTGACTTCAAGCCAGTCTCCTTTGGTGGCAAGCACCATGCTACAGCCCAGATTTTAGGGCCTGACTCTTACCAACCCCACTCATCGAAAGAAAATGGGAAATGGGGCTGAGATCTTGGTCTCTTTCAGCCCCTCTGGACACTAAAGTCCTGTCCAGCACTTGTGCCCCCCAACCCTTGTTCTCATGTCCGCCATGTGCTTTCCTCTCCCAGGCTGCCAAGCCAAGCTACACTTTTGTGACTCAGGCCCCTGCAAGAACAGTGGCTTCTGCTCGGAGCGCTGGGGCAGCTTCAGCTGCGACTGCCCTGTGGGCTTCGGCGGCAAAGACTGTCAGCTTAGTAAGTGGGCAGCATGGGGCAGAGGGGCCTGCAGGGTCAGATCTGTTCCTGGGGCAGGGGCTGTAACCCTGTTTCTCTTATCCACTCAGCTATGGCCCATCCCCACCATTTCCGTGGCAACGGCACACTGAGCTGGAACTTTGGAAGTGACATGGCTGTGTCTGTGCCATGGTACCTGGGGCTGGCATTTCGGACACGGGCAACGCAGGGGGTCCTGATGCAAGTGCAGGCTGGGCCACACAGCACGCTCCTTTGCCAGGTGTGTCCACCCTGCTCACCCCTATACCCTCAGTTCTCAGTCTCTTAGGCCGCCACTGACATTCTTGTGGGTTCAGGTTGGTCACACAGCATACTTTTCTGCCAGGTGTCCCAACCACACTTGACCCTGCTCTGGACCCTAGCCCTTGATTCTCTTTCCATCATTATATCCTCTGCAGGTGCAGGGCTCCAGCATAGCTCTCTCTTATGCAAGCTGCACCAACCCACCCACAACACCTGGTCCTATCCTCTGCCCCCTGACCCCATATCAGCAACATGATGTCCCCTGGCACAGTGCCCTTTGTGCCAGGTATAACCTTGACCCCACTGTTCTGACCTCTGATATTCCTGACCTCTGAGCCCTCTGATCTCACCTCCAAGTCCCAGCCCACATGGGGCTCTAACCCCAGGGCTATGCATCTCTGCCCACAGCTAGATCGGGGGTTACTGTCTGTGACAGTGACCAGGGGCTCGGGCCGTGCTTCCCATCTCCTTCTGGACCAGGTGACTGTCAGTGATGGCCGGTGGCACGATCTGCGGCTGGAGTTGCAGGAGGAACCAGGTGGCCGGCGGGGCCACCATGTCCTTATGGTCTCACTGGACTTTAGCCTCTTCCAGGTCTGGCCTCTGACCCCGGGGTAGTCTGTTCTCAGCCTTCCAACCAGATCCGCCTTATTTGACCCCACCTCTAGTCCAGCTCCTCTCAGTTCCCTCCACTGCACTGAGTCTGATGTTCTACCCCTAGTTCCCCACCATATATCCTTGCACTGAGCCCACCCACCAGCCAAGTTGGTCCACTCTCAAGCCCTCTTTGTGCCAGATTTGGGGCCTGGTCTTGGGGAACCTCTGTAGCCAGCACTTTGCCTGATTCCTAGAAGCCCCTTCTAGTCTCTGCCCCAGTCTCTACCCACCCCCGGTCAAAATCAAGCAATATTAAGGTCTACTGTGGGTCCAGGAGGGAGGGGGCAGCCTAGAAGGGCTAGAAGAAGGCCAAGACTGACTCTGGGCTATGACAGGGGTTCATCAGGCCCCTCTCCCTCAGTGCTGACTGCCCCACTTCCTCCAGGACACCATGGCGGTGGGGAGTGAGCTGCAGGGCCTGAAGGTAAAGCAGCTCCACGTGGGAGGCCTGCCCCCCGGCAGTGCAGAGGAGGCTCCTCAGGGTCTGGTTGGCTGCATCCAGGTGGGGGTCAGCATGGGAATGTGATATGGGGCATTAGGGTCAGGGGTCAGAAGTCAGGGGCTCCTTGGGACCTGAAAGGCAGTATTCAAGTGGGGGTTGGTGCGAGGGGGTGAATGACCCAGAGTTGAGAGCTAGGTCAAGCCTTTCTGTGGCATTGGAGGTGGGAGTCTAGCTTGGATTATCAAGGGCCTTTAGGAATCTGTGTCAGAAACAGCACAATTAGGGTCCCACAGGGGTACCAAATTGGGGATATTTTTGAGGCCTGGGTTTTTTGAGGGTATCAGAAGACTGCATGTCAAGGATCATCAGACCGGGTGGCTGGCTCTGCAGTACTTGAGGCTGAGGTGCCTTAACATGGTCTCACCCCTTGCTGGCTGTGTGTCCACAGGGGGTGTGGCTCGGCTCCACACCCTCTGGCTCCCCGGCCCTGCTACCCCCCAGCCACCGAGTGAATGCGGAGCCTGGCTGTGTTGTGACCAACGCCTGTGCCTCTGGGCCCTGCCCACCTCACGCAGACTGCCGGGACCTCTGGCAGACCTTTTCTTGCACCTGCCAGCCAGGTGAGCCTTGAGAGGGTTGGGGGAAGGGTGACCTGGGCAGGCGTTAGGGGCCCATGATGAAGACTGGGGAACCTGAAGGAGGCAGGGACTCGGGACGGGTGCCTGCTTCCTTCCATGCTCTGCGACCAGGATCCTGAGCTTTCTGACCCAATCTGCAGGTTACTACGGCCCAGGCTGTGTGGATGCCTGCCTCCTGAACCCCTGTCAGAACCAGGGATCATGCCGGCACCTGCCAGGAGCCCCCCATGGCTATACCTGTGACTGTGTGGGTGGCTATTTCGGGCACCACTGTGAGCACAGGTAAGAGGCTGGGGCTGAGGCGATGGGGAGACCTGGCAGGGACAGGGAGGGTCACTGGGATACCGTGGAGGCATCTTACCTGGCTCTGCACCCCCAGGATGGACCAGCAGTGCCCACGGGGCTGGTGGGGGAGCCCAACCTGTGGCCCCTGCAACTGTGATGTTCACAAAGGTTTTGATCCCAACTGCAACAAGACAAATGGGCAGTGTCACTGCAAGGTGCGCCTGGCCCCTGACCTTTTAACCCTTCCTTGGACGCAATCTGCAATTCCTGTCCAGCTTGCTGACCTCCGCCACCTGACTTGGGCCCTAACCTCTTGCCTGTGTCCTGTGACCAAGTTGCTGTCTCTCATCCTTTACCCGTGACCCCTCCCTTGGCTTCACGCATGACCCAGGTGTCCTCTGGCCCATGAGCACTGTTCTCTTGACCCTTTATCCTTGATTCCACTCATTCCCCAAGCCCTGACCTCTGACTTCAGGCCCCTGGCCCATCCTCAAACAGGAGTTCCACTACCGACCGCGGGGCAGTGACTCTTGCCTCCCATGTGACTGCTACCCTGTGGGCTCCACCTCGCGCTCATGTGCACCCCACAGCGGGCAGTGCCCCTGTCGCCCAGGAGCCCTTGGCCGCCAGTGCAACAGCTGTGACAGTCCCTTCGCAGAGGTGACAGCCAGCGGCTGCCGGGGTGAGCAGGCTCCACCCAGCTCCACCCATAGAGGGCTGGTTCCAGTGTGCCACCATCACGTGTCAGTGGCACACATGGCTCCTTGGGGACTCTGGAAGCTTCTCCTGAGGGAGACCACTTACACCCAGGGAACCCTACCTTTGCCCCAAGTACTTTGCTGACCTGTCACAGAATCTGACAGGTCAGCTCCTGAGAAGCCAGCAGGAGTGGCGGGCAGTGGGCCTTGTGGGGGGTGGTGGAGGGGCAGTGGGTGTGGCTGTCAACTGCCCTGTACCCTGACTGCCTGGCTCAGCACCTCTTCTCTCTCTAGTGCTCTATGATGCCTGCCCTAAGTCCCTGAGATCTGGTGTGTGGTGGCCCCAGACAAAGTTTGGCGTCCTGGCCACAGTGCCCTGTCCCCGGGGGGCCCTGGGTGAGTATGTGGGGGGAAAGGACATCACTGAGGGTGGGGGTGGGCCTGTACTCTGACTGCTAGAGCCATGTCTTTTCCTAAATTGGGTGGCTTTGTTCCTGCAAAGAGGTGGAAGTGGGGTGGGAGTCCATGTGGGCCCCTCCCTACACCCTCATTGAGCCTCCATCTGTTTCTCTTGGCTTCTGGGCAGGATTGCGGGGTGCAGGTAAGGGGTACGTGTTTGCTCAGGTGCACTGCCCCCTCCCACTACCAGAGCTTTTGCAGACCCCTCCTGCTGCCTGAGGTCCCTGCAGACCCCTCCCTGCTGCCTAAAGTCCCTGCAGGCCCCTTCTGGCTATCTGAGTACCCCAGGGGCCCTTCTCTGATGCCTGAGATCCTCAGAGACCCCTCCCCATTGCCTGAGGACCCTGCTGACCCCTTCTCAGTTCCTGGGGTCCCCATAGAACTTTCCCCACTGCCTGAGGTCACGAAAGATCCCTCCTCAGTCTGAGGACCCTATAGCTCCTTCCTGCTGCTTGGGGGCCCCTCCCCACTGCCTGAGGTCCCCTCAGAACACTCCCTGCTGCTTGAGGTCTCTGCAGTGGCTGGACAGAGATTGTTTGTGTACGCATGCTCACGTGTGTATCTCTGTGCCTGTGCACGTGTCTGTGAACCTGTTGCGGGGAGGGGATTCTGTGATTAAGTTAGGCTCTCTCTTGTTGGTAGCTACAAACTTTTTTAAGATCCAAGTCAATTCTCATTCAACCTCCATCCCAACCCCAGAGACAAGGGAGAGAAATGACAGCAAAGTAACCACTGGGGCAGTTAAAACTTGTGTGAGAATCCTCCCACCTGACTTTCACTGGATGTTCCTAGAAGCCCTCTTCTGTGTTGGCATGTCTGTGTGTGTGCGAGAGAGCATTGTGTGTCTGCGTACTGGTCTGGTCCATACATCTGTGTGTAATTGGTGAGCATTGGTGTGTGTCTGTGTGAACCAGCACATCTATGAGCCAGTCCTGGCCCACGTGGGTGAGTGTGTGCAGCCCCACCCTTGTGCTTTGTGTGGTTGCTGGTTGAGAATGGTCTACAGCCCTCTCAGGAATTGCCTGACAAGCAGCTGGGGCCTACCTGGGCTTGGGCCGCTACCTCCAGGGGTGCAGCTATAGATGCTCATGACTCTGACTTCTGCCTCAGGGATTCCCCCAGCATAGGAGAGGGTGCTGCGGTTATCTCCTCAGCAAAGGTATCCAGGCCCCAGGCCTGACCAGGGGTTGCCTGCCTCCAGGTGCTGCTGTGCGGCTGTGTGATGAGGCCCAGGGTTGGCTGGAGCCCGACCTCTTCAACTGTACCTCCCCTGCCTTTCGAGAGCTCAGTCTGCTGGTGAGACTGCCCAGACCTTTTCCTGCAACCTAAGACCTTCCTTGGCCTGTGGTGGGCCCCAGATACCACACCCTAGCCCTTGAACTCCTGAGCCTTTCCTGGTTGCCCTTTAATCTGGCAAGGCTTTCTCCCTGTGAAGCTTTAGAGGAAGGCCTAAGGGACCACAGAGCAACCATCTCCTTGTCTTGGCAGCTGGATGGCCTAGAGCTGAACAAGACGGCACTGGATACCATGGAGGCCAAGAAGCTGGCTCAGCGGCTACGGGAGGTGACTGGCCACACTGACCACTATTTTAGCCAAGATGTTCGAGTCACTGCCCGCCTGCTGGCCCACCTGCTGGCCTTCGAGAGCCATCAGCAGGGCTTCGGGCTGACAGCCACACAGGATGCCCACTTCAATGAGGTGGGGCTGTGCCCTATGTTCTCAGTGCCTTGGCCCCCCAGCTCCCAGCCTCCTGCCCCTGGATCCCCAGCTCAGGCTCCTGCTGTTCTCTTGGGAAGTGAAGGTCCTGGGCTCTCCCTCTGTCCTTGTCCTCTCCAGCCCCGCCCCCTTGCCTGTTGGAGCCCCTCTGAGCACCTGTCCAGACCTCTCATGCCTGCCCTATCCCCTCATACATCCTCACCACCTGGCTGAACCCAATTCTATCTCTGTCTTCCCAGAATCTGCTGTGGGCCGGCTCTGCACTGCTTGCCCCAGAGACAGGGGACTTGTGGGCGGCGCTGGGGCAGCGGGCCCCTGGGGGCTCCCCAGGCAGCGCGGGACTGGTGAGGCACCTGGAGGAGTATGCAGCCACACTCGCAAGGAATATGGAACTCACATACCTGAATCCCATGGGGCTGGTGACGCCTAATATCAGTGCGTTGTGGGTGGGGTAGGGCGGGGCACAGCAGGGGGGCCATGAAAGGGCAGGTACCTGAAGGTCTGAGGGGCTGTGGCTATCAATGCCAATGTTAATGGCAGGAGACTCAGCCACCGCCCTCAGCGTTTTGTAGGGACAGGCTCCGAGCTGGTAGCACAGAAAACAGATTGTGGGACTCAGGTGCGGGATGCGAGTAAGAGGGAGTAGAACCCTTGGCAGGGGGAAGAGGTCCATGATGGGCCTCCCCTTTCTTTCTCCTGGGTAGTGCTCAGCATTGACCGCATGGAGCACCCCAGTTCTCCCCGGGGGGCCCGTCGCTACCCTCGCTACCATAGCAACCTCTTTCGAGGCCAGGATGCCTGGGATCCTCACACCCATGTGCTGCTGCCTTCCCAGTCCCCACGGCCATCCCCATCTGAAGGTGAGAGCCCCTAGGGGACCCCTGGGCCAAGTCCTGTCTCTCTGTCCCCCCAACCAGATACTATGTTGCCCTCCTGCCAATTTTCCCCTTTCTAGACCTCCCCAGTGTCAGACCCTCCCACATCTCCCCTCCACCCTCCCTCCCATATTTCCCCTCCACCCTCCCTCCCACATCTCCCCTCCACCCTCCCACATCTCCCCTCCACCCTCCCTCCCACATCTCCCCTCCACCCTCCCTCCCACATCTCCCCTCCACCCTCCACCCTCCCACATCTCCCCTCCACCCTCCCTCCCACATCTCCCCTCCACCCTCCCTCCCACATCTCCCCTCCACCCTCCCTCCCACATCTCCCCTCCACCCTCCACCCTCCCACATCTCCCCTCCACCCTCCACCCTCCCACATCTCCCCTCCACCCTCCCTCCCACATCTCCCTTCCACCCTCCCTCCCACATCTCCCTTCCACCCTCCACCCTCCCACATCTCCCCTCCACCCACCACCCTGCCTCTCACATCTCCCCTCCACCCTCCACCCTCCCTCCCACATCTCCCCTCCACCCTCCACCCTCGACCCTCCCACATCTCCCCTCCACCCTCCACCCTCCCACATCTCCCCTCCACCCTCCACCCTCCCACATCTCCCCTCCACCCTCCCACATCTCCCCTCCACCCTCCCTCCCACATCTCCCCTCCACTGTCCACCTTGCCACACCTTCACTTTGTCAGAGCCTCTCCCTCATCACAAATGACCCCTCCCAGGCCTTGACTGTTACTTTCTGGGTTCATGCTCCCTGCACTCCCCAATTCTGCTCCTGCAGGGAAGAGACCCCCATGCTTGATCGGGTTCAGAGCTGGGTTGGTGGGTGCTTTGGGTCAAAGGTCACTGACAGAAGCTCCTCCTTCTCTCCTGGCAGTTCTGCCCACAAGCAGCAGCATAGAAAACTCCACCACCTCAAGTGTGGTCCCCCCACCAGCCCCGCCAGAGCCAGAGCCTGGGATCTCCATTATCATTCTCCTCGTTTACCGCACCTTAGGGGGACTGCTCCCTGCCCAGTTCCAGGCAGAACGCCGAGGTGCCAGGTACTCAGGCCCCTCACCCCTGAGCTTCCTACGAACTTCTCAGCCTGGCAGCCCCTTTTTTGGTGGGTAGATGCGTAGGTTCACAACACACAGAGAGGAGCACAGCTCCAGGGAGCCCCATCCTTGCCGGGTTCTGTGTGAATCTTATTCTCTGGAGTTGTGCAGAGTGACAGAGCCACAGGCTGACAGACACAGAGCCACACACAGGAGGGATCCATGAGCCAGGTACAGACAGACCAAAGGGCTGACAGAGACAGACAAGGACAGGCTGACTGATGGGGGTAGGAGGGAGGGCAATCAGAGGCAAACAGTTGCAGGTCCCCTGGAGCTGCTCAGCCCCTCAGCAGCCCAGCAGAAGCTGGAGGGATTCTTAGAAACAGCTTCCACTCTGGGGACATCCCAGACCCTGGGTCAGCCCTGGCGAGTGGCATGAAGACGGGGTGAGGCAAGCAGGCTGAGCATGGGGAGGTCAGCAGTGCGTAAGCCCAGATGGGTGTCTCCCCAGGCTTCCTCAGAACCCCGTCATGAACTCCCCGGTGGTCAGCGTGGCTGTGTTCCACGGACGCAACTTCCTAAGGGGAATCCTGGAGTCCCCCATCAGCCTAGAGTTTCGCCTGCTACAGACAGCGAATCGGAGCAAGGCGATCTGTGTGCAGTGGGACCCACCTGGCCTGTGAGGACCCCCATTCTGGAAACCCTTGGTCCCGTTAGCCCTTGGGAGGCCAACTAATAGTCCCAGCCTTCCCCTGGGGCCCCCACTAGTGCTGTTGTGCAACCCGGACCATGAGGAATGCTGTACCCCAACTCCAGGCACCCTCAGCCCTTCCCATGATCTCTCACAAACCCCTGCCTGACACTGGGTCACAGTTGTGTCTAACTGCCCTGTGGCTGCAGGGCGGAGCAGCATGGTGTGTGGACAGCACGGGACTGCGAGCTGGTGCACAGGAATGGGTCCCACGCACGGTGTCGCTGCAGCCGGACAGGGACCTTTGGGGTCCTCATGGATGCCTCTCCCCGTGAGGTGGGGCTGTGTTCAGTGTCCCAAGGAAGTGGGGGGTCAAAGGGACACGGGGATTCTGCCCAACAACCCATCAACCATCCCTGTCTCTGTAGAGGCTGGAGGGCGACCTGGAGCTGCTGGCTGTGTTCACCCACGTGGTCGTGGCTGTGTCTGTGGCTGCGCTGGTGCTGACTGCAGCCATCCTGCTGAGCCTGCGCAGCCTCAAGTCCAATGTGCGTGGGATCCATGCCAATGTGGCAGCCGCCCTGGGGGTGGCAGAGCTCCTCTTCCTGCTGGGGATTCACAGGACCCACAATCAGGTGCAGGATCAGGGCCAGGGAACTTGTGTCCTGATGACCCTACTGGCCCAGGAGGCCTGGGGCCAAAACTCAGGGTCAGAGGTCAGGGATGCTCAGGTTGGGGCCAGGGTTTTCAGCAGGATGCTGGGGTAAGATATTGTGGTTTAGGGGTGAGAGGTGGGAAGCAGATGCCTGGGGTAGGGGTCAGAGGTGGGTGAGGCAGGAGAGGTCCTGACACGCCCCCCTGCCCTCAGCTGGTGTGCACTGCAGTCGCCATCCTCCTGCACTACTTCTTCCTCAGCACCTTCGCGTGGCTCTTCGTGCAGGGGCTGCACCTCTACCGCATGCAGGTTGAGCCACGCAACGTGGACCGCGGCGCCATGCGCTTCTACCATGCCCTGGGCTGGGGCGTCCCTGCTGTGCTGCTGGGTGAGGGCTGTGACCCCCAACCTCCAACCATCACATGGCCTGACCCCTGACCCTGTCCCCACTCCTGCTCATGACCCCCAACCTCAAACCCCAAGCCATCTATTCATGGGGTTGCTGCTCTGCCCTCACCCATGCTTTCTCCCATACATGGGCTGGTCAGCAGCTCTGGAACACACACCCTCAGTCCTACCCTTTCTCTTCCCAAGGCCTTGCTGTGGGCCTGGACCCTGAGGGCTATGGGAACCCTGACTTCTGCTGGATCTCAGTCCACGAGCCCCTCATCTGGAGCTTTGCTGGCCCTGTTGTCCTGGTCATAGTGGTGAGTGCCCTGGACTTGGTGCCCCCTCTGTACTTCCCTCCCTCATTGGGGGAGGAGGTGCAGTGGACTCAGCTGAGGGCGGTCAGGTGGCATTCTGCAGGCTTCCTGGGCTCGGCCTTCATTTTTTCTGTCCTCTGGTCAGTAGCCACCCCCATTCAACTGGCATGGAGATGGGGGCGCGGGGTCAGAGATTCAGTTGCCTGTCCCTGCCTCTGTCTCTGCTTCTCTCTCTCAGTCCCTCTCTGGTTCCCAATTTCTTTTTCTGTGATGCTAAGCTCCTTTGGTGTGTGTGTATATGTGTGAATTTCTCACTGGTTCTGCCTCTCTCCGTGAATCTTAGTCTCTCTCTGTCTCTCATTGCCTCTCTCTCTCTCTCTCTCTCTGCCCTGCCCGGCCCCACATGTCTGGCCGTGGGTCCAGATGAACGGGACCATGTTTCTCCTCGCTGCCCGCACATCCTGCTCCACAGGGCAGAGGGAGGCCAAGAAGACCTCTGCACTGTGAGTTGGCTGGCTGGAGGAAGGGGGCTTCTCAGGATGGCAGGTCCCTCCTGGGTGGGGTCTGGGGCCCCCAGATCTTCCCTGGTGCAGGTTGGGCTCCAAGTTCTAGATGAAGGAATGAAGTCACACCTGCCCTGACCTGTGGTCCCTCTCTGGCGCCCTCGCTATACTGTAGCCCCACATGTGCTTCTGCCCTGCTGTCTCTCCTTGTCCTCTGGGTCCCCCCAGAGTCTCCCATGGCCTGGGTGGCTCACTTTGCCCCCTGCCCTGTGTGTTCCCACCTGTCTTCCGTGCCCTCCCTTGTGGCTCCCATACCCCTGTGTTTTCCCCACGTGTCCTCATGGCTCTTTGACTGCTCTCCTGTTTCTTTGTGGGACCTCCCATCTCCCCCAGTGTCCTCCAGAGACCTCCATGTTCCCGTGTGAGTTCCTTTTTTTCACGTTTCGTGTGTGGCCCCTGTGTGTCCTCCCGTGTTCCCTGCATGAGTCCTACATGAGCCTTGCATGTCCTCCTGTGTCTTCCCATGTCCCCACAGCAGGACCCTTCGCAGCTCCTTCCTGCTGCTTCTGCTGGTCAGTGCCTCCTGGCTCTTTGGGCTCCTGGCAGTCAACCACAGCATCCTAGCCTTCCACTACCTCCATGCTGGACTCTGCGGCCTCCAGGTGACTCTGGTGCCCCTCCCTTGCCCCAGAACCAGGTGGGCCTTCAGTAGGCTGGGGCCATCCCTAGGCAGACGTTGACCCTAGGCCTGGAGCTGACTCTTACTGGATAACTTTGCCAGGCTGGGTACTACCCCAGACCAGACACTGGCCCTAGCTGCTGCCCCCAGGCCTGGAGCTGACTCTAACTTAGGCACTGATCCCAGACTGAGTGCTGATCTTGGATCGACCTTCACCAACACCAAGGCTCCCGACCCCTTGCTGATCCACACCGACCTTACAGACTCCAGCCACTCCTGCTGCTCCATCCTCTCCCCTGCTGACCTTCCCCAACTCCCTTACTGAGTCCCGCATGGGCTCCTCACTGACCCACACTAGCCTACAGTGACTGACCCCATTGCTGACCCACAGTGACTTATACTGGTCCCTGATTGATCCCTGCCGACTCTGCTTTGACCCTCGCTGACCCACAGGGCCTGGCGGTGCTGCTGCTCTTCTGTGTCCTAAATGCAGATGCTCGGGCTGCCTGGATGCCAGCCTGTCTGGGCAGGAAGGCAGCGCCTGAGGAGGCAAGGCCAGCACCTGGGCTGGTGAGTCGGGATGGGGGCCCTGAGAAGCCAGAGTTTTAGGCTGCTTCAGGGTTAGCTCACACTCTGTCCCTACCACCCCCAGGGACCTGGGGCCTACAACAACACGGCTCTCTTTGAGGAGAGTGGCCTCATCCGCATCACTCTGGGCGCCTCCACCGTCTCCTCTGTGAGCAGTGCCCGCTCCGGCCGGACCCAGGACCAGGACAGCCAGCGGGGCCGCAGCTACCTCAGGTGAGAGGAAGAGCCTCCTTGTGAGGGAACACTCAGCTTAGTCCAGCCCCACCTTACCAGGGCTTGGCTGACCAGGTCCTAGGGCGGGTGGCTCCACCCATCTTGGCCATCTGGGGCCCTGCTTCTGCCTCTGCCCTAAATGCTTCCCACCACACACACCCAGGGATGCCATTCCACCCGCAGCTGGCTGTGCACTCAAAGACACTCCAGCCTCCAAGGCACCCCATCACATCCCTCTTTCATGGTGGGGGGGCTCCTGCTTTTCCAGGGACAATGTCCTGGTTCGACATGGCTCAGCCGCTGACCACACTGACCACAGCCTCCAGGCTCATGCTGGCCCCACTGACCTGGACGTGGCCATGTTCCATCGAGATGCTGGTGGAGTTGGGGCCTGGGGCAGGGAGGAGGGAGGCAGAGGATCTCTCCCCATCCCCTTTTCTTCTACCCCATACTGGGAGCAGTGGCTGACTGGGGTGGGACGATCTCCCCCAGGGTCCCTGCCTCAGGAGGCACCTACCTCTCCAGCCCTGGTTCTCCCAGTCCACTCCTGATTCGTCCTTCCCTCTGATAAGTCCCAGCCCTTCTGCTGCTACCTCCACTTCAAGCCCCGGTTCCTGTCCCCAACCCTAACCCCCTTGCCGTACCCACCTCTAGACCCTCAACTCCAAATTCCCTTATCTCCAAGTCCCTTACCTCTGAAAGTACTTCTGACTTTCCCAACTCCAGGCGCAGACTCCGACTCTGACAGTGACCTGTCCTTGGAGGAGGAGAGGAGTCTCTCCATTCCATCTTCAGAAAGCGAGGACAATGGCCGGACGCGGGGGCGCTTCCAACGGCCACTCTGCCGAGCAGCCCAGAGTGAGAGGCTCCTCACCCACCCCAAAGGTGCCAGGCGCCCTCTGACCCCTTGGGTGACCAAGGGATGCCCCATTTGTTATCCCTCCAGCTCCCCATCTTTCCTGCGGTTGGGGTTCATCCTGGTCTTTCTGACCCCTCAGTCATCAGGTTCCCCAACTTTTAGTCTCTGTCCACCTCCAGTTAAGGGGAGGGAGCTCACCAGTCACCCCCACCCATTGATCTCTGAGGAGATACCCTCCTGTTCCCACCTCTGCTCAATGAGAACAGCCAGGGTTTCAAGGGTCATTAGGGTCAGGGGTCATGAGTCACTGGGATCAACCCAGAAGCTCCTGTAACCTGACCTGGCTCCACAGATGTGGATGGCAATGACCTCCTGTCCTACTGGCCAGCCCTGGGGGAGTGCGAGGCAGCCCCCTGTGCTCTGCAGACTTGGGGCTCTGAAAGGCGCCTGGGGCTGGACACCAGCAAGGATGCAGCTAACAACAACCAGCCAGACCCGGCCCTGACCAGTGGGGATGAGACTTCTCTGGGCCGGGCCCAGCGCCAGAGGAAAGGTACAGTCCCTGAGCCCTGGCCCACACCGCAGACACGCTGGGGGCTGCTCATGCCCTGAGCCAAGGGATTGCAGCTTCCTCATCCCAAACTGAGAGCTCTTCTTACTCTGACCTAGGGCGCTTCTGCTTCTCTAGCCTGCTTCACGGTCCTCAGGGACTGCTCCTGTCCTGACCTGGGAATTCTCTGTCCCCCTCTACCCTGGCCAGCACCACAGGGGGACCACAGGCGACCACTCCTGCCCCAGCCCATCTGTTTTTCAGAGACCCTAGGAGCTGCTTCCCCCTGCCCCCCACCCAGATCCCAGAGCCCGTGCTCTGATCTGGAAGATTTCTGCCCCCTACTCTGCTTTTATGGGGACCCGGAGAAGAGGTTTCTGCCCTCACCCTTGCATCACAGGGACCTGGGGACTGCTCCTGTCCAACCCGGGGGGTTCCTGCATTTCAGCCAGGCCTGCATTGTCAGGACCTGAGGGCTGCCCCTCTTCTGACCTCAGGGAGTTTGCCCCATCCCCTGCACCATGAGACCTGCCCGCCCTCCCCCTGCCCCGGGACCACAACTGGAAGATGACTGCCCTTCCACTCTGACCCCTGTCCTGCTGCCTCTCTGGGACCACCAGGGTTGCCTCTGCTGCTCCCCAAGGGGTTCCTGCTCCCATCCCTGTGTTGGAAGGATCCCAAGGGCTGCCACACCCCTAGACTCAGCAATTCCTGCCTGCCCTCCCCCTCCCACACAAACCCTGCCCCCCATTTTCTTCCTCTCACAGGCATCCTGAAGAACCGGTTGCAATACCCACTGGTGCCACAGACCCGAGGTGCCCCTGAGCTGTCCTGGTGCCGTGCAGCCACCTTGGGCCACCGTGCTGTGCCAGCTGCCTCTTACGGTCGCATCTATGCTGGCGGGGGCACGGGCAGCCTTTCACAGCCAGCCAGCCGCTACTCTTCTAGAGAACAGCTGGACCTGCTCCTCCGGCGGCAACTGAGCCGTGAGCGACTAGAGGAAGCCCCTGCCCCTGTTCTACGTCCCCTGAGCCGGCCAGGGTCCCAGGAATGCATGGATGCTGCACCAGGCCGACTGGAGCCCAAAGATCGGGGCAGCACCCTGCCACGGAGGCAGCCACCTCGGGACTACCCTGGCGCCATGGCTGGCCGCTTCGGGTCACGGGATGCGCTCGACTTAGGGGCACCTCGAGAGTGGTTGAGCACGCTGCCTCCGCCCCGCCGCACCCGGGACCTTGACCCACAGCCCCCACCTCTGCCCCTGTCTCCCCAGCGGCAACTCTCAAGGGACCCCCTCTTGCCATCCCGGCCGCTGGACTCTCTGTCTAGGAGCTCGAACTCTCGGGAGCAGCTGGACCAGGTGCCTAGCCGGCACCCCTCACGAGAAGCCCTTGGGCCACTCCCGCAGCTGCTCAGAGCTAGGGAGGACTCGGTCAGTGGCCCCAGCCATGGCCCCTCCACAGAACAGTTGGACATTCTTTCCTCCATCCTTGCCTCTTTCAACTCCTCGGCCCTCTCCTCTGTGCAATCTTCAAGCACACCCTTGGGCCCTCACACCACTGCCACACCTTCTGCCACAGCCTCTGTGCTTGGGCCCTCCACGCCACGTTCTGCCACGTCTCACAGCATCTCGGAGCTGTCGCCAGACTCAGAGTAAGTATGGTCCAGCCACCTGCTTGCACCCTCATCAGCTTAGGGCAACCTCCTGTGTGCCCTGCCCTGTGTTCTGCCACAGAAGGGGATGAGGGCTGGCAGACAGGTGTGGGCTACCCCAGGCTCAGCACAGCCAGAGGGCCACAGGCTGGGGACAGGAATCTGGCAAGAAATGGGGGTGTGACTAGCAGGGACTTGCTGGCTGTGTGACTGGAGCCAGCCAGCCTTCCCAGCACCTCCCAGGCTAAGGAGAAATAGGTGCCATCCGATGGGCTGAGCTAGCGAATGGGAGGGCAGGAGCTGAGGCCTAGAAGTGGGAGATGACCTGGAATATGCAAGGGGCAGGGAGGAGAGCAGGAGGCCTTGCTTGGGAAGGTTCGCCTAGGGGGTCATATAGGACAAGGAGAGGCTGGAAGTGGTGCCAGGATATACCAGGCTGAAGGGCTTGCTTTGTTGAGGATAAATCATTCATTCATCGATGTATTCAGTCAACATTGAGTTCCTCCTGTCTGTGGACACTTTGGGGTGGGGCTCACAGGAACTGAGTTGGAACCTGGTTCATCTCGGGTATGTGTGAAGCATCTGTGGGGAAGGGGATGGCGGACAGACCCAGGAAATAGCTGGATACACAGGAGTCCGAGAGGGACTGGTGGGAGTGGGGAGGAACCAGGAGCTTCCAGGTCTCTTGTAAGCCAAGAGGAGAGTTGAGTTTCAAGGAGGAGAAACAGCTGGGTCAGGCTCTGGGGGTTTGTGGGGTAAGAGATGGCTTGGGGAGGAAGGGGGCCCTAGGGGTGGGGCAGGGGATCGACAGAACTGAGCAGGACCCAGGGCAGAGAGAGGACAAAGGAAGGAGGAAAGAGCAGGGGTTTGGGGATCCTGGGGCTTGGGCACTGAGGGCTGCTGGGGGTGGGGACCAGAGGGAGCTAACCCACGGCCTGGGTCCCCCTGCAGTCTAGCTTTGGGGTCTGGCTGTTTGGGAGGTAGACTAGGGACTGAGCAGGGGTCCAGGCTCTGGAGTCGCACAGGTTTGAGTTTGAGCTCTGTGTCTTACCTTACTAGCTGCGTGACCTTAGGCAGAGGCAAGCTTTTCTGGGCCTCAGTTTCCTCATCTGTAAAGAAGTCTGTAGTAACAAACTCTTTGAGATGTGGAAATCTATGAGATAATATCTGTCAAGTGCTCAATATAGCATCTGTAAACAGTAGGTGCTCTTGAAGCACTTAGAGAAAACACCTGGGCAGCCAAGGAGCCTGGCTGAGTCTAGGGGCGCGGAATGGAGGACTCTGAGAACCCTGGAGTGGGCATGAAGGGGCTGGGGGCTAAGAGGCGAGAGCAGTGGTGGAGGCAAGGGAAGCAGCCAGGCCAAATGTGGTGGGGGAGTCCAGAGCCGCCTGACTCGGAGTCCTCTGGGCATCAACCTCTGATTTCCTCATGTGCCTCCAGAGTTCCCAGAAGTGAGGGTCACTCCTGAGGGGATGACGGCGTGGACGAGGAACAGCTGAGGGCGACAGAGGATCTAGGCTAACAGGAGAGACTCCAGGAGTGGGGGCAGATCCCAAGGCAGCCTCCTGCTCCCCAGTGGTGGGTGCCCCAGCTCTACCTGGTGTGGCAGGGCTGAGGCTCCATGTGCATCTGTGAGCATGCGTGTGACAGGTGCAGAGACGGGGGACTGGAGGGAGACTTTTATACGTTTTGTACCTTTGTAACCAGAGAGATGCTTATGTTATTTTTCAGCTTTTCTGTCTCCTGGGGGGTTTGAGGCTGGGCTGGGAGGGGGAGGGAGATAGAGGGAGAGATGCAGTTTGACCCCATTTGGGTCCTGAGCAAACCCTATGCTCATCTCTCTCTCCTTCCTGGGGTGGACTCAGATGGGTGGGACACATGCCTTCCTCCCCCTATTCCACCCCCAAGTTGATCTGAGTATCGTCAGGGGCCCAAAGTACAGAATTGTTCTTTGCTTTTTATTGAATGCTCCAAAGGCCAAACTTCTGGGGCTGGGGGTTGGTCTTGGAAACAGGGGTCCTCTGACTTCCTCATGGGGGCTTGCTCATACCGCCCCTCCTGGTGGATGTGTGTGTTTATTATGTGGAGTCCCTGCCACTTACTGCCTTATGACCTAGGACTGATGCTGTGGGGTGCTGGTGGAGCAGCTGATGTCGTGTTTACAGAGCAAGGCTTCCCTGTCTCCCACGGGGAGGGGCTCGGGCCTCTAGTCAGACATTCCTGCAGAGGGTCGGTGGAGGGGTCATTCACCTGCCCCTGCAGCAAGCAAAAGTTGTCTGTGGTGCCATTTGATTCCCTGACACTGCCCCCTGCTTGAATTGATTCCGAAGGGTAGGGTGGGAAGGTGAGCAAAGGGAGCAGAAACAAGGGAATTCAAGACCCAGAATGTAGGTGCCACTGCCTCCTATGTTTACAGGATCCTCCGTGGCCCTAGGCACCTGGGCTGCAGGAAGTGACTCCGTTCCACTCCTCCTTTATTCCCTTAAAAAGGGAAAAATGACTGTTACGACCCTGTTCACAAAACTCTTACTTTTGCTATTTTGTCTGCTGTCCAGAACTGAAGACTTTAAAATTTTGTTACTGTTTACAAGTCCAGATTCAAAAAATGTTTTTACTTTGTTTACAACTCAAAACTTTGAGTTTTACACTTTGTTTACAGTAGATAATTTTTTTTCCTTTGTTTCCAAGTGAAAGGTAGGGAAAGTGGGAGAGGGACTTGGAGGACCCACCTGTGAGGACCCTGACCTGGCCATCTTGAGGGGTTTTCTAACCCCCAGGTCTCCCAGGCCGAAGGTCAGCCTTGAGTCCCGTTTAACAGCAGATCCAGAAGACCTTGAGAGTAGGCGTCCTCTAACCACGGGGGAGAGTGGCTGTGCAGGGCTGGGGGGTGGTCTGTGCAGACACCTCCTCACCCACCACCCCATGCATACTCTTGGGAAGCAGCTTCCTGGGAGATTAGAAATTCTACTTCCCTGACTGGAGCTAAATCCCACCAGCCAGGACCCAAACTCTCCTTACCGAGAAGGACCCCAGCTCTTGAAGGGCTGAGTGGCCTGCTGGGGGTGGGAGGGTGTCTTTACTATGTCCTAGGTTTCGTAGATGCCCCTCTCTGGGGTTCCCCTCCTCCAGCCCAGCGGCCCTCTTTCCTGTCTGTGTAAATTGTTCCGTGAAGCCGCGCTCTGTTTTGGGAATAAACTTCTATAGAAAACAGTTGTTGCCTTTTCCTGTTGGGGGCTGGGGAGGTAGGATGGAAGCTGTGAATGATTCAAGCCAGACTGACCTTTGGGAGGAATCTGAGCCCCTCCCAAGAATATCCAGCTATTTTTAGCCCATTTCATGGCAGATCTCTTTCACCTTGAAATCTGGCCCCTCACTTTGTAATTGGGGCCTGATGTTGGAGCACAGGTGCTGAAAATAAGGTGCTAAGGAAAACCTCCCCGCTGGTCAAGGCAACGGCAACAGGACTTCCTAATTCTTCAGGGTCTGCAGCCCTGACCCGGCATTTTTTGCCCTCACCTGCGGTGAAACCAACCTGAGGAACTGCTCTTGCAGTTCCTGCCTTGCCCACCCAACAGCACTGACGCCCACCCAACAGCACTGACCCCCACCATTCTCCTCGGCGGCCCGCGCAGTAACCTTCTGGGAGCTACGTCCGGGCTGTGCTTAGTGCAGCGGAGGGGATCCTCCAACCATTTCTGGCCTGGGTGGCCAGAGTTAAAGGGGAGGACTTGGGGACCGTTGGCTCCGGGTCTCAAAGAGATGCGTAGTCGCAGAAAGCCTGCGGGTGGCGCTCTCAGCTGAAGGCAAGAGAGGCCCCACAGACCTGGATCCCCTACGAGTTAAGGCTGGGGTCACCGGCCAGTGGAGTTTCCTTTTCCCACTCCGTGAGCACCTTCCGCCGAGCCAGGACCTGGGATCAGCTCCAACCTACTCAGGGCCTGGGGGCGCGACTGCGGCCAGCCCGGCGCGGGTGCTTAGTTCCAGTTCTGCAGTCCCATCCAGCTCCGGGCAGAGGGCCGGGCGAGCAGCGAGAGGCCTCATAGGCCAGGTCGCCGGGGAGGAAGCGGTTA
Organism: Homo sapiens; assembly: GCF_000001405.40. NCBI lineage: Eukaryota > Metazoa > Chordata > Mammalia > Primates > Hominidae > Homo > Homo sapiens. Next base: position 48,635,602 of record NC_000003.12, on the reverse strand, counting down.
AATCCTCCTTCTCCAGTCTCTCCCCGCCCGGCGCGCGCCACTTAGGCCCCGCCCCAGCGCGCTGATTGGCCCAAGCCTCCCCGTCCTGCCCCGGGATTAGCCCCCGGGAGAGCGCAGCTGGCCTCACCCGGTCCCGGCGCCGCCTTCCGGAGCGTAGCGGCCTCTAGCTCGAGCAGCAGGAGCAGCCCGCACCGGACAACTTGCGAGCCATGGGGCTGGCGGATGCGTCGGGGTGAGTTCAGCGCACATTCCCGGTGGCCCCGCGCGAGCGCCTCGCTGGAGCAGGCATTCTCCGCTTGCGACGCCTCGCTGGAGCAGGCATTCTCCGCTTGCGACGCCTCGGTTTACCTCTGCTGATTTTCTGCAGGCGGCTGCCCCTCTGCAGCAAGGGGTGGGGGCGGGAGCCGGCGCGACCCCAGTCCCTTGGGCTGTGCGGAAAGCCGCTGGTGTGACGCCCGAGGGCCATCCCGGGCCACAGGGAGGCAGCTGCGTGCGGAGGAGCCCGGCCAGGAGATGTGCCGGCGGGGGTGCGTGGGGCACGGGAGTCCCTGGCAGCGGCCCGTGGACTAGCTGCTTTCAGCTGAGTCCCGAGTCCACCCAGCTCCACTGATCCCGGAGTGAGCGCTCCGGCCTTTCTGGCCCCAGTTGCCTTCCTACAGGGAGGGGCCAATGATCAAGGCTCCGCCCTCCAAACGCGGGTCCCAAGTTGTCGGGGGAGGGAGCCCTTTAAGAAGACCTGAGTGACTCACGTAGGAAAGGAGAGGGGGCTCTACGATCTCCTTGAGATAGCGGTCCCAAGAGTCTCTGAGGATCTTCCTTGCACCCACTCCACACTCCTCCAACAGTACAGCCAGGTTAGAGGCGCTTCCCAGGTGAGTTCCTGTCCCTCAAATGGGATCCTCTCCCCAGGTCAGGGCTTTTCCTAGATCAGAACTTTCCTGACTGGTGAAAGCTTCCCCAACAGGCTAGAGTTTTCCCCCAGGTAAGATCCTTCTGTGAGATCTATTCCCAGGTGACAGCTTTTCCCCATTCCACGTGGGAGCCTCGCCCGAGGTCAGAGCTTTCTCTATGGGAGAGTACCCCCCAGGTGAGAACCCTCTCCCTCTAGGTCTTTTCTTCCCATGTGAGATCTTTCTCTGACTTCAAGTAGGTGCCTCTGGGCAGAGGGAAGATTCCCCCTGTATCAGAACTTGCCAGGCTGATAAAGATTCCCTGGTAGGTCAGAGATCCCTCTAGGTGAGATTCCCCTTGAAAGCTTCTATTCCCAGGTGAGCTCTTTCCCCCACTTCAAGTGGGTACTTCCCTTTCCATGTGGGAGCCTCTCCCTCTAGGTGAGAGATTGCCACTCCAAGAGCAAGCTCCTTCTCAGGTGAGAGCCAGTCCTTGGCTTCCCCATAACAGGCCTGAGCCGTCTACAACCTGGACCCTGGGGCTGGAGGCCCAGGGGCAAGCTTGGCTCCAACACTTTCCTTCCCTTAGAGGGGAGGGTCTCATCTGAGGCCTGAGGCTTGGGAAAGGAGTTGCTTGAGGAGCTGGACCCCTGGTTTGCTGGACCCCTTCCCTGAGTGTGCTCTCAGCCAGCAGTGGGCTCCCGGGGCAGCTGGAGGAGGACCTGGGGACTGGAGAGGGACTGGGTGGGGGAGGGAGCAGCCTGGGACCTGGACTGGTAGAACACTCAGCACTGGGCTGCCACATCTCGGCTGGAGGTATAGCTAGTGCTCATCCTGCAGTCCCTACTTGGGGGACTTTGTCCTAGAAAGAGGCTTTCTCACCAGCCAAAGTTCAGGTACTGCCCCTGTCTGAGTTTGGACATGTGGCCCACAGATGCCAGCTGGGGGCTGGAATACTGTACCTTGATCTTAGGGCCTGGAAAAATCAGGTAGGTAACTCTCTGGTCCTAGGTGGAGGTGTAGGGGAGGTTGGGCCAGGGATGCCTTCACTGTGTCTCTCTGGTCTTGCCACCCCAGACCGAGGGACACACAGGCACTGCTGTCTGCAACACAAGCAATGGACCTGCGGAGGCGAGACTACCACATGGAACGGCCGCTGCTGAACCAGGAGCATTTGGAGGAGCTGGGGCGCTGGGGCTCAGCACCTAGGACCCACCAGTGGCGGACCTGGTTGCAGTAAGGCCAAGATTGGGGCCTGGGGGCGCTGGCGGGGCCCAGGTAGCCCCTGTTCCTGACACCTACCCCTCATATCATGTCCCTAGGTGCTCCCGTGCTCGGGCCTATGCCCTTCTGCTCCAACACCTCCCGGTTTTGGTCTGGTTACCCCGGTATCCTGTGCGTGACTGGCTCCTGGGTGACCTGTTATCCGGCCTGAGTGTGGCCATCATGCAGCTTCCGCAGGGTGAGCCACCTTCAGTGCGTCGGCCTGGAAACCCTGTGGTCTGTGATGCCCAAAACTGGGGCCATGACCTCTACCTTGGAACTATGGCACCTAACCCAGGGCTGGGATTCCCTTATCGTTTCAAGATCTGCTCTCCAGGCCTGCACTGCTACCATTCTACCCCTAGGCTTGGCCTACGCCCTCCTGGCTGGATTGCCCCCCGTGTTTGGCCTCTATAGCTCCTTCTACCCTGTCTTCATCTACTTCCTGTTTGGCACTTCCCGGCACATCTCCGTGGGTAAGTGGAGGCAGGCCTAGCCTTCCAGGAGGATGCCCACATCCATCATGGAGGGCAGGGTGAGGGGGCACTGAGCAGGGCAGGAGCGGCTGGGGAAGAGGGCAGCATTGGTGCTGCATCCCTGGGCTAGCCCACGAGTCATCCCCAGGCAGGACTAGACCCCTGACTGTAGGACCACAGAGGCAGGTGACCTCAAAGCCCTGGCTCCAGGAAGATGAGAGTGGGTGAGGCAGCCCAAGGGGCCTGGAACTTGGCAGAGGCCTGAGCAGCCTAAGGCCAGCCCTGACCCCTTCCCTACTCCACAGAGAGCCTCTGTGTCCCGGGACCAGTAGACACAGGTGGGACAGGGTAGATGAGACAGGGCCAGCATTTCTAGCCATGCTTAAGGGCCTGTGAGCTCAGGGTTTACTCCTGGCCTGGCCAAACCTGAACCGCCAGCACTGTCCCTGTTCATGCAGCCATAATCTGAGTACATTTATCCAGAACTGGAAGTCTCCTGGCCTCTCTCTTAAGACCAGGGCTCCAGGGCAGGGCAGTGTCCTCTCCTCTTCAGACCTGCCCCGTGCCGTCCTTACAGGGACCTTTGCTGTCATGTCTGTGATGGTGGGCAGTGTGACAGAATCCCTGGCCCCGCAGGCCTTGAACGACTCCATGATCAATGAGACAGCCAGAGATGCTGCCCGGGTACAGGTGGCCTCCACACTCAGTGTCCTGGTTGGCCTCTTCCAGGTGTGGAACAGTCAGGAGTATGTGCCCCCCACCACCACTTCTGCTCCCGCCACTGTCCTGTCTGTACTCCCCTGAGTGTCTGACCATCGTCGTCCTCCTCTTGCCGTCTACTCATCCCCCTCCCATCCCACTTGCCCTGCGCTCCTCATTAGCAACCCCAGGACCCCTGCCTCTCCTGACTGCCCCTGGCCGCCCCACAGGTGGGGCTGGGCCTGATCCACTTCGGCTTCGTGGTCACCTACCTGTCAGAACCTCTTGTCCGAGGCTATACCACAGCTGCAGCTGTGCAGGTCTTCGTCTCACAGCTCAAGTATGTGTTTGGCCTCCATCTGAGCAGCCACTCTGGGCCACTGTCCCTCATCTATGTGAGTGAGGGTAGGGGGAGGGAGGGGTAGGTGTGCCCCATGGCCTTGAGTGCTAGCTGTGACCTGGCCTCTCCTCAGACAGTGCTGGAGGTCTGCTGGAAGCTGCCCCAGAGCAAGGTTGGCACCGTGGTCACTGCAGCTGTGGCTGGGGTGGTGCTCGTGGTGGTGAAGCTGTTGAATGACAAGCTGCAGCAGCAGCTGCCCATGCCGATACCCGGGGAGCTGCTCACGGTTCGAGGGCCAGGGAGTGGAGGGCAGGGGAGAAGGGCAGGTCAGGCTGGGTCCTTGCCACGTGGGCAGCCTCCTGTATTTGAGGGCCAGCTGGAGGGGGGCTGGGAGGGTTCTTGGGTATTGTGGGGGGCACAGCAGAAAGCCCCTATGTTGGTTTCTTCCTGCCCCTGACAGCATCTCCCCATAGCCGAAATGGTGTTGCCTGTCTCTCACCCTACGTGACTTTTTCCCACCCTCGAAGAAGGTTTTGCCCAGTATCTCCCTCCTCACCTCACAGTGGTTTATGTGTCCCCCTGACCATGGTGCCAGCACCTGCCTCCCTGACTCTGTCCTCTCCCACAGCTCATCGGGGCCACAGGCATCTCCTATGGCATGGGTCTAAAGCACAGATTTGAGGTAGATGTCGTGGGCAACATCCCTGCAGGGTGAGCTCTGGCCTCCATCAGGTCAGGGAGGGTTGGGCAGCCAGGACAGGACCTTGCTTTGGCCTCACAGATACCTCTCACAGGCTGGTGCCCCCAGTGGCCCCCAACACCCAGCTGTTCTCAAAGCTCGTGGGCAGCGCCTTCACCATCGCTGTGGTTGGGTTTGCCATTGCCATCTCACTGGGGAAGATCTTCGCCCTGAGGCACGGCTACCGGGTGGACAGCAACCAGGTCTGGGTGATGCGGGATGTGTAGGAGGCATCCAAGTGTATGGAGGCGCCAGCAACGGGTGGGGGAGGAACCGGTGGGACACAGGGAGACAGCAGATGTGCTGAGGCCACGTGGGGGACTGAGGGTGGGAGAGCAGGACGTGTGGGACAGCATCCAGTCTCTGGGGGCCACTTGGTGGGGATGGAGATTGGGGATGCACAGGCCTAGATACAGTGGAACAGTGACCAGCCACTTCTAGGAAGTCTTCTCACACCCGTACTGTCCCCCGTCAGGAGCTGGTGGCCCTGGGCCTCAGTAACCTTATCGGAGGCATCTTCCAGTGCTTCCCCGTGAGTTGCTCTATGTCTCGGAGCCTGGTACAGGAGAGCACCGGGGGCAACTCGCAGGTGGGCTTTGGGTGTGGGCATGGGTGTGGGCATGCACATTGCTTTGCCTGGGGAAGGAGGTCTCTCCCCTGCTCACTCCCTCCCCGAACAGGTTGCTGGAGCCATCTCTTCCCTTTTCATCCTCCTCATCATTGTCAAACTTGGGGAACTCTTCCATGACCTGCCCAAGGTGAGCCCCCACCCAGCCAGGTTTCAGGTCTTGGCCAGGCCAGGGCTCTCAAATCAGCCAGTCTAGGTTCAGGCGAGGGGTGGGGACACAAGGTTAGGTTCTGTTTTTCAAGGCTGAGATCTTCAAGGTGAGATTTGGAGACAAGGGTCAGGGGCTGGGTGGGGGTTTGTGTCTGGGGTACTGCCTGAGTGCTTGGGCTTAGTCTGGCTTTGCCTCGGTGAGGAGGGTTGTCAGCATCGGGTGCCCTCAATGGCCCCTGGTGGCACTGTCCCCACCCCAGGCGGTCCTGGCAGCCATCATCATTGTGAACCTGAAGGGCATGCTGAGGCAGCTCAGCGACATGCGCTCCCTCTGGAAGGCCAATCGGGCGGATCTGGTGAGTGCACTGGGAGCCCAGGGCAGGGACTGGGCAGCCCCATGGCTCCTCGCCGCCCTCCAACCGCTGCCCTCTGTTCTCAGCTTATCTGGCTGGTGACCTTCACGGCCACCATCTTGCTGAACCTGGACCTTGGCTTGGTGGTTGCGGTCATCTTCTCCCTGCTGCTCGTGGTGGTCCGGACACAGATGTGAGTCCGCCATGTTGGTCCCCTCATTCCAGCTAGTGAGAGAGTACCACAGGGCTCCCCGCAGCTTTCCCCACATCTCTGGGGACTTCAGGCTCCTTCGGACCCCTCTGTTATCCCCTTTTTCTGCCCCCTCTTCGTGCATTCTCTCTCTCCTTCACAGGCCCCACTACTCTGTCCTGGGGCAGGTGCCAGACACGGATATTTACAGAGATGTGGCAGAGTACTCAGAGGTGAGTGTCAGGGGCTGAGTGAGATGGTGTGGATGGGGAGACGGAGGAAGAATGAGCCTTTGTGGATTCGTTCCACACTTGGCCAGGGAACTGGGGGCTGAGGATACTTTGGCTTTGGTCTTTGGGATTTCAAGGGAGGAGTTTAGGTCTATGACCCCCTCTAGAGGTATGAAGGGACAGAGGGAGAGTGGACAGAGATGGGTCTGGGGCTGGGGAGGGGTCTGTCGTGGAGTCAACAGCACAAGCTCCACCTGCAGAGCAGCCGTGGGTCAGAGAGCCGGAATGGCAGCTCCCTGGGGCGCCAGGTTGGAAGGGAGGCATTTCCTGATCTGATCAGTGGGGTTACTAAGTCCTCAGTCATCCATTTATCTCCTGAGAGGTCTTGGGCCAAGTGCTAGGAACATAGGTGGGGGGCTCTGGAATAAAACAAGGCTGTTGCCTGCAACATGGGCACAGTGCAATTAGGCAGTGCGGGGAGGAATTAAGGGGTCTGAGACATGGGAGAGGATGAGGGGGCAGCCCAGCCCTTACCATGCATGCCTGGAGCCCAGCAGAGACCCGGGCTGTGACCCGAATGGGGTGGGAGCGGGGAAGGTCTGATTGATATGACAGCCTAGGAGGACCTCTGTCTGGGTGCAGAAAACAGAACACAAGGCAGGGGTTGGAAACCCAAGAGAAAGGTTAAGAGCCTGTGAAGCCTGCCTGGGTGGTGGCAGGAGAGGTGGGGAGGGAGAGGCACTGTGGGGGGATGGGGATGACACCGTCGGGCTTGTGGCCTAAGCCCCTGGGAGGGCCTGGACTGCAGCCTGGGGAGCAGAGGGCTGGGCGGTGGCAGGCACTGGGCACACTAGGGAAGGAAAGGCAGGAGAACAGGATGCAGCCAGGAGAGAGGAGATTCAGCCACCACCAGTTCTGCCTCATCCCCAGGCCAAGGAAGTCCGGGGGGTGAAGGTCTTCCGCTCCTCGGCCACCGTGTACTTTGCCAATGCTGAGTTCTACAGTGATGCGCTGAAGCAGAGGGTGAGACGGAGTCCCCAGGATGGGTGTCAGGCCCCAGCTCCCAGAGAGCTCACCAACCCTTCTCTGATGTTTGCCTCCAGTGTGGTGTGGATGTCGACTTCCTCATCTCCCAGAAGAAGAAACTGCTCAAGAAGCAGGAGCAGCTGAAGCTGAAGCAACTGCAGAAAGAGGAGAAGCTTCGGAAACAGGCAGGGCCCCTTTTGTCTGGTGACCCCCATCTCCTGCCCCCTGTTCCCTGCCCCAGCCTTTCTCCTGGCCCCCGACTCCTCCCTCGTCCTCACTCCTCATCCCTTCCCCTTTCTCCCTCATGCTCCCAGGGACCCTGCTTCACTCCCCTAGCAGGTCCGGGCTCTAGGCAGCATTTTCTCTCCCATCATCTGAACCAGTGACAGTGAGAACCGTCACAGTCCTCTTCCCTTTCACGGCTGTTCCAGGAGCTTCAGCCTGGCTGCTGCAGGTCCCACAGCTTCTGGTCCTGGCCCACCCACCTGCCCAGCACCAGGGGGCATCACCAGGCCTATGTGACATGGCTGTCATGGCAGCCGGGCTAGCTGTTTCCCATTCCCTGTCTTCCCTGGTGTAGGCTGCCTCCCCCAAGGGCGCCTCAGTTTCCATTAATGTCAACACCAGCCTTGAAGACATGAGGAGCAACAACGTTGAGGACTGCAAGATGATGGTGAGACTGGAGGTGGGAAAGGAGGTGACAGCTGTGAGCTGCAGAGATGCAGGATCCACATGTCTCATGAGGAATGCCATGGACCCAGCAGCTGTGGGCTCGAGGGTGTTGCGCCGATGGCAGGAGGAGTGGGGAGGCTGGGTCAGATATTCTTCAGGGAGCGTCGTGATATGCCACAGAATCTAGGCTTAGATTCTCAGGCCTAGATGAAGACCTTGAATTTGTAGATCCCACAAGACTTCCCCCAGAGTCTGCTCATGGGTAGAGGAAAGGGATGGGGTATATGGGAGAAAATCAAGGGGTCAAAGGCAGGCGTGGTGGTACGCGCCTGTAGTCCCAGCTCTTCGGGAGGCTAAGGCGGGAAAATCATTTGAGCCCAGGAGCTCGGGGCTGCAGTGCGCTCTAATGGTGCCTGTGAATAACCACTGCATTCAGCCTGGGCAATGAAGCGAGACCCCGTCTCTAAAAAAAAAATTGAGGGGTCAAAGAGGATGCCAAACTTAATTAGAGACTGAGACAGGGCAGGGTGCCGAGGTGTCTGCATGCGTTTCATGTGGATGCCCGTGTCTATTCTGGCCTGCTCCTGGGCCCCCTCCCCACTCAGCCCTGGCTGATGAGAATGGGACAGGGACTCCCTTCTCGTGTCCCTGTGCAGCGTCGGCCCAGGAGGTAGCAGAGCAGTATATGCACATCTGGGTGTGCCCTCCTGCATGTCCCCACACATCTGTCATTCCTGTCTTTGCACACCTATGTGACTCCCGCATGTTTGTGTCCTTATGTGTCCCATGCATGCTCCCCATCTGACCTTGCGTGTTCTCGCGTGTCTGTGTGCGGCCAGTCCTGCCTTCACTCTCTCATGGGTGGCCCTGGCAGCATGTCTGGCTCCCCAGCAGGTGAGCTCAGGAGATAAGATGGAAGATGCAACAGCCAATGGTCAAGAAGACTCCAAGGCCCCAGATGGGTCCACACTGAAGGCCCTGGGCCTGCCTCAGCCAGACTTCCACAGCCTCATCCTGGACCTGGGTGCCCTCTCCTTTGTGGACACTGTGTGCCTCAAGAGCCTGAAGAATGTAAGGACGGGGGCAGGCCAAGGCCCCTCGAGCTTCCACACTGACCCTGTAATTTGCCCTGAGAGCACTCCCAGCCTCTGACTCCCCAAACCCTCAAAGCTCCCCTTCTAAACTCCCTCCCCAAGCCTGCCCGAGCCCCCCTCTGAGTCCCTGAGCCTCCCTCTGAGGCTGGCCCCCTTTTCCGCTACAGATTTTCCATGACTTCCGGGAGATTGAGGTGGAGGTGTACATGGCGGCCTGCCACAGTGAGTAGGGTGGGAACAGCAGGAGGGACCTGGGAAGAGGGTAGGATACTTTTGGCCAAGGGGTTTTCCAAGTAGCACAAGGAAAAAGTCTTTCTCTGGAACTGGAGGTCAGAGGTGTCCTGGGAGACAGGAGTCCAGGGTTACAAGTGATGTGGATTCAGCTGTAGCCTCAGGGGTGGAGGTCAGGGGTGATGAGGTCAGGGCATTCTGTTGGCTCCCGGGAGTTGAGTTCCTAGAGGTTCTGAGAGTCAGGGGAGGCCTACTTCTTGCCCACAGGCCCTGTGGTCAGCCAGCTTGAGGCTGGGCACTTCTTCGATGCATCCATCACCAAGAAGCATCTCTTTGCCTCTGTCCATGATGCTGTCACCTTTGCCCTCCAACACCCGAGGCCTGTCCCCGACAGCCCTGTTTCGGTGAGCCTACCTCTGGCCTGCCAAGCTCTTTTTTGTTAATCTATTGCTTGTCCCCACCCTGGCCCCAGCTCCAGGGAGTCTTTCCTGGTGGCCATGGCTCTGTCCCCAGTGGGCCCAGTGCTTTCTCCGCTGTCTTTGGATAAAGCTGTTCTAGGGGCGGGGGTTGGTCTGTGTCCTTTGGAAACTGACTAGAGCCTCCCCTCCTCTGCCTGCTCAGGTCACCAGACTCTGAACATGCTACATCCTGCCCAAGACTGCACCTCTGGAGGTGCAGGGCACCCTTGAGAAGCCCCTCACCCCTAGGCCGCCTCCAGGTGCTACCCAGGAGTCCCCTCCATGTACACACACACAACTCAGGGAAGGAGGTCCTGGGACTCCAAGTTCAGCGCTCCAGGTCTGGGACAGGGCCTGCATGCAGTCAGGCTGGCAGTGGCGCGGTACAGGGAGGGAACTGGTGCATATTTTAGCCTCAGGAATAAAGATTTGTCTGCTCAACTCCAGTCTCTGCTGTGGCTTGGTGGGGCCCTGGTGGTGGGTGGTCCACAGCTGTGGCTGCTGACCCTTCCTGTGCCCTGAAGGTGAGACGGGGCAGAAGGTGTAGGAAGGACTCGGGAGGTTAGGGTACAGAGCAGGGGAGCTGTGGAGGCATCCCCTGTTAAGGTCTCTCCCCAGCCATGCATAGCCCTCACTCGCTGTCTCCTCAGATGTGAAACAGTTGGAACCAGAGCTGCTTCTCAGGAATAATTTGCTCTCAGGAATACCCGAGAAGGTACAGGGCAGCGTGGGTGCCAATGGGCAGTCCCTGGAGGATACAGAGTGAACACCTAGGAGCAGCTGTTCCCCCACACTGCTGCTCTATGCTTAAGAATAAGCATGACCGGGCCGGGCACGGTGGTTCACACCTGTAATCCCAGCACTTTGGGAAGCAGAGGCAGGTGGATCACTTGACATCAGGAGTTCAAGAACATCCTGGCCAACATGGTGAAATCCCACCTCTACTAAAAATACAAAAGTTAGTCGGGCGTGGTGATACATGCCTGTAATCCCAGCTACTCGGGAAGCTGAGGCATGAGAATCGCTTGAACTTGGGAGGCAGAGGTTGCAATGAGCCCAGATCATGCCCCGCATGGGTGACAGATCACCTGGGCATGGTAGAACACTGTCAGCCAAGGAGTGTGTGTTGATTTCTGCCATTAAATGCCGACATCTGGGCATGTGACCCAGCAGGCAGTGGGGCGTTGGGTCAGCTGACAGTGATGGCAGGGGAGGGACCGGGTCTTAGGATCTGTCTGGGCCTCAGTGTGCTGTTCATCGGTAGAGCGTGAGTGGCTACAATTCTTGCTTCAGGGGTTGCTCAGTGAATATTAAATGAGTAGATGCCGGGCCTATAATCCCAGCACTTTGGGAGGCCCGAGGCAGGTGAAACCCCATCTCTACTAAAAATACAAAAATGAGCTGGGCATGGTGCTGGACGCCTGTAATCCCAGCTACTGGGAAGGCTGAGGTGGGAGGATCAATTGAACCCAAGAGGCGGAGGTTGCAGTGAGCTGAAATCATGCTGGAGGGAGCTGCACTCCAGCTCGTGTGACAGAGCAAGACCCTGTCTCAAAAATAAATGAGGAAATGCCAGGAAATGCGAAAACAATGCTGGGCTCAGGTCCTCTCCTCCAAACATGCGAGCACTGCTGTTCATCAGGTGCTGAGCAGGTGCCAGGCTCTGTGCAGGGGTCTGGGCACCATCCTGAGCATGGACAGAGGCCACCCTGCCCTTCAAATCGCAGAGGTACCCTTGCCTGGCTCTGTTTTATCATGGTCTGTATTGGTGCCTGGCACCATCACCCCCCACCCCCCAACTCATGGCCTAGAAGTTCAGCCCCAGGAAATAAGAGCTTTTATTTACTCTGTCACACCACGTCCTAGCATCAGAAATGGTGCCTGGCAGCTGCTCAGTAAATATTGTTTGAATGAAGCTTATATGTTGGAGAGGGCAGTTTAGACCTCAAACAGGAAATTGCAGGTAGTTAGAAATGCTTTGAAGAAAATAAAGCAGGGTCACGTGATAGAAGAGGTCATATGTTACCCAAGATGCTCATGGGAGGGGGACTCAGCAGGTGACCCTGGAACTGAAATTCCAGCCATAAGAAAGAAGGTGACTTTCTAGGCCTGGGGAGCTGTGGTGCTGGCAGTGGGGGTATTGAGGCAGGCCTGTGGGAGGCAGGGGCAGCATGAGCTGAGGTGAGAGGGTGGGGGGACCTCACAGTCCAGGGGGAGACTTTGGGCTTTGTTCTGACAGCGGGGGAGCTGCCTGTGGATTTTGATCCCACATCTTTGAGCACTCACCCAACTGCGATGTGGACTGTGGGGCTGCGGTTGGGTGTGGGGGACCTGCGAGTTTGGTCAGCCTAGAGAGGTGATGCCCCTGGTGGAAAGCAAAAGGTTTTAGGGGCCGTGTGGATTTTTTTTTTTTTTCTTTTTAAATCGGCTCTTGCTCTGTTCCCCGGGCTGGAGTGCAGTGCTGTGATCACCACTCACTACAGCATTGACCTCCTGGGCTCAAGCGATCTTCCTGCCTCAGCCTCCTAAGTAGCTGGGACTACAGGTACATGCCACCACACCCAGCTAGTTCCCCCACCTCCCCCCACCCAAGACGGAGTCTCGCTCTGTCGCCCAGGCTGGAGTGCAATGGTACGATCTTGGCTCACTGCAACCTCCACCTCCTGGGTCCAAGTGATTCTCCCACCTCAGCCTCCTGAATAGCTGGGATTACAGGCACCCACCATCATGTCCAGCTAATTTTTGTATTTTTGTAGAGACGAAGTTTCACCATATTGGCCAGGCTGGTTTTGAACTCCTGACCTCAAGTGATCCTCCTGCCTTGGCCTCCCAAAGTGTTGGGATTACAGGGGTGAGCCACCGCACCCAGCCCCAGCTAGTTTTTGTTTGTTTGTATTTTGAGATGGAGTCTCGCTCTGTCGCCCAGGCCAGAGTGCAGTGACATGATCTCAACTCACTGCAAACTCTGCCTCCCGGGTTTAAGTGATTCTCCTGCCTCAGCTTCCCAAGTAGCTGGGACTACAGGGGTGTGCCAGCACGCCCAGCTAATTTTTTTTTTTTTTTGTATTTTTAGTAGAGACGGGGTTTCACCATGTTAGCCAGGATGGTCTCAATTTCCTGATGTCGTGATCCACCCACCTCAGCTTCCTGAAGTGCTGGGATTACAAGTGTGAGCCACCACAGCCGGCCTTTTTCTTTTTTTTGAGATGGAGTTTTGCTGTTGTTGCCCAGGCTGGAATGCAATGGCGCGATCTCGGCTCACCACAACCTCCACCTTCCAGGTTCAAGTGATTCCCCTGCCTCGGCCTGCTGAGTAGCTGGGATTACAGGCATGAACCACCACGCCTGGCTATTTTAGTAGAGGCAGGTCTCCATGTTGGTCAGGCTGGTCTCGAGCCCCCGACCTCGGGTGATCCATCTGCCTTGGCCTCCCAAAGTGCTGGGATTACAGGCCTGAGCCATGGTGCCCAGCCTAGTTAAAAAAAAAAAAAAAGTTTGTAAGGTCGGGTGCGGTGGCTCACGCCTGTAATCCCAGCACTTTGGGAGGCCGAGGCAGGTGGATCACGAGGTCAGAAGATTGAGACCATCCTGGCTAACACGGTGAAACCCCGTCTCTACTAAAAATACAAAAAATTAGCCGGGCGAGGTGGCGGGCGCCTGTAGTCCCAGCTACTCAGGAGGCTGAGGCAGGAGAATGGCGTGAACCCGGGAGGCAGAGCTTGCGGTGAGCGGAGATCGTGCCACTGCACTCCAGCCTGGGCGACAGAGCAAGACTCTGTCTCAAAAAAAAAAAAAGAATTTCTGTTAGTTACTGGTTTCTTTAACTGTTTGGGACTTAGTTTCTTTTTTTATCTTTTTTGAGAAAAAATCTCACTCTGTTGCCCAGGCTGGAGTGCAGTGGTGCAATCACAGCTCATTGCAGTCTTGACCTCCCAGGCTTAGGTGATCCTCCCACTTCAGCCTCCTGGGTAGCTGGGACAACAGGCATGTGCCACTATACCCAGCTAATTATTTGTATTTTTTATGGAGATGGGGTTTTGCCGTGATGCCCAGGCTGGTCTCAAACTTCTGGGCTCAAGCCATCCACCTGCCTCAACCTCCCAAAGTGCTGGGATTCCAGGTGTGTGCCACTACACCCAGCCTAGGGCCCAGCTTCAAAAGGAGGTGCTCCCTCAGTTTGGGGCCAGCTAGGCCCGCTGGGACAGCAGGACCCAGAACCCAGGTCTGCCGTTGTCCTCAAGCCCTGGACTCCAGCCCCCTGACCACAGCCAGTTTCTGGCCAGGCTGCTCATGAAAGGCCATGGGCCTGGCTGGAACCTGCTGCCTTAGAGCCAGGCCTCTTCCCGGGGGAGGGGCGTTTGCCCGTTGCCAGGTGCCCGGGTTCCGGCCCTGGCACTAGCGACGGCCATGCTGCATGTGCTGGCCTCGCTGCCTTTGCTGCTCCTGCTGGTGACGTCTGCCTCCACCCACGCCTGGTCGAGACCCCTCTGGTACCAGGTGGGGCTGGACTTGCAGCCCTGGGGGTGTCAGCCAAAGAGTGTGGAGGGCTGTAGGGGTGGCCTGAGCTGTCCTGGCTACTGGCTGGGCCCTGGAGCAAGCCGCATCTACCCCGTGGCTGCGGTCATGATCACCACCACGATGCTGATGATCTGCCGCAAGATACTGCAGGGGCGGCGGCGCTCACAGGCCACCAAGGGTGAGGTGAGCACAGCTCTTCTTTCTCCCCCACAGCCCCTGCCTCAATATACGTACGCTCAGTGAGCCCGTCTTCCACCCAACCCTGCCCCATGGGTCCACACTGGCCTGTGGACCTCCCACACCCCCACCCCCAGCTCACAGCCCATTGTCCCTGTGTCCACACACCTTCGTGGAACCCATGTCCACCACCCACAGCCAGCACCCTGCCCCCAACTCTCCCCTTTAGTACCCCTGCTCTCATCCAGCCCCTGTGGGCCCCATGACCACTGTAGCCCACAACAGACCCTCGGTGATCCTCTATCACCCTGAGTCTCCCTCCCATCCCATCTGGGCACTGCCCCACACCCTACTCCCTGCTCCCCAGCTCCATCACTGCCCCTTGTCACATCTCCCTCTCTGCCCACCATTCTCACTCCTGCCTCTTGGTCCTGGTCTCAGCATCCGCAGGTGACCACTGAGCCCTGCGGACCCTGGAAACGGCGGGCCCCAATCTCAGACCACACCCTGCTCCGTGGGGTCCTGCACATGCTGGATGCCCTCCTGGTCCACATCGAAGGCCACCTACGTCATCTAGCCACCCAGCGGCAAATCCAAATAAAGGGGACTTCCACCCAGAGTGGGTGACCGAACATGTGCCTCTCTTTGCCTGACAGCCTGAGGTCCTGGGCCAGGTCTGCTCTTTCCAGGCCTGTCTGGACCGTGTGTCCCTTTTCAGCTTTTAGAGTCAGCTGACTTGGTGTCCAGGACGGGCGGGCAGGTGGGGCATAGGCTGGCTCACACTGCTCCATTGCCCCCACCAACTGACCTTTCCTCCCTAAGGATCCCTCCTGGAGACACAACTGCTCCTCTGGGCTGGGCGTGGTGGCTCACACCCGTAATCCCAGCGCTTTGAGAGGCCGAGGTGGGAGGATCATTTGAGCTCAAGAGTTCGAGACCAGCCTGGGCAACATGGCAACCCCATCCCTACGAAAAATACAAACAAACAAACAAAAATTAGCTGAGCACACACATAGTGGTGTGTGCCTGTAGTACCAACTACTCAGGAAGCTGAGGTGGGAGGATGGCTTGAGCCTGGCAGGCAGTGGTTGCAGTGAGCCAAGATTGTGCCACTGTACTCCAGCCTGGGTGACAGAGCAAGAACTTGTCTCAAAACAAACAAAAACTGCTCCTCTGGCCTGACCAGTACCTGGGGACTCCCTGTGTGATGGGAGAGGACTTACCAACGGGACAGGCTTGGGTGGCTCAGGAAGGGTTGCCCAGAGGAGCCAACAACCTGGCTGAGCCCTGAGGGGAAATGGGTGTGAGGAAGGGAAATCCAGGTGGCGGTCTGGTTCTGAGCAAAAGCCACGTGCTGTGTTTGGTACTCTCTGCACATGGGCAAGGTGGGCAGTGCACATGATAAAGGGCCTCAAGTGCTGAGTGAGGGTACTGGGCCTCTCCAGTGCACAGGGTGAGCTGAGGAGGGACCTGGTCAGCTGAGAAGAGGGGTGGGGGCAGTGGTGAAGCTGGAACCAGATGCTGAGGATCTCTGATGGGGGACTGAGAGCCCCAAGCCCCCATCACTGTGGAGTCGCACACCCTTTGGCTTCACCCATCCTTGTCACCACCTCAGGGAGGTGACTTTAGTCCTGCCATCAAACAGCAGCTGGCTCTGGCTTCCTTCTTCCCAGGCCCTGCAAGGCCCTCCCTTGAGAGGCCACTGCTCTGTCTCCAATAACAGCCCCTCCCCAGATTCTTGGCTCCAGCAGCCCCAACCTGGGGTCAGGCAGGCCGCCCTAGCTGCCTTTGTTTCTATGGCAGTCTCAAACATGCTCTAGTGCCTCAGCCGCCCTTGCTCTAAGGACCCTGGAAAAGAAGGGACCCTCACTTTAATCCCTTTCTCTTTCTTTTTCCCCTTTTTAAAAATTGTTTCTTTTTGTTTTTTTGACGAACTCAAGCAATCCTCCTGCCTTGGCCTCCCAAGTAGCTGAGACTATAGGCATACATCACCATACCCAGCTAATTAAAAAATATATATATATTTGTAGAGATGGAGTCTATCTTGCCCAGGCTGGCTTCAACTGATCCTCTTGCCTCTGCCTCTCAAAGTGCTGGGATGACAGGTATGAGCCACAGTGCCTGTCCCAGGTTCCTGCTTTAGAAAAAGGCAACAACGTTATGAATTCAAAAATGGAAGTGAATTAAAATAATGAGAAAAGAAATGATGATACTTTTTTTTGAAAACTTTTTTTTTAAATTGACAAATACTACAATACTAAATCCAGAAAAATAACATAACTTGTGGCAACTTCCTGACATATTTCTAATACCTTGGTCCCCTACATGGTCTGGCTTCTTACTCTGAAGGCCTCTACAGAGGACAAGGATTTTGTGATTTTTGGGGGAGATATTTTCCATACAGAGAAAAGATACTTCAGTCTTCCTCCTAACATGGTTGAAATTTGTGTTTTAATTATTGGTAGTTTAGGAAAGTTAAACTTCCTAATCTGTTGTTGACGGTGCCATACAAATGTTCTGGATTGTTGTAAAATTTGAGAAACTGTCATCAGCCTTCTTTCATATAGGAACTATGAAATTTGGAAGAATTTTCCACAGACGAGGTTCTGGCTCCACGCATTTCAAACCTTGTTTTCCTTCCATGGCTCACAGTTTTCCCAGCACTGGGTGCCGTGGGGCATGTCCTTAAGGCAATAGGACTTTGCACTTCTGTCCTTACCCAGCAGGATTTTCCTACGAGCCACATTCCTAGTTTATTCTAGAACAAGACCAATAAACTAACTTTACACAAGGGTGGAGCAAACCACATAAATATGTCCCTCTTAACCTGGTGTAGAAAGTAAAAAAAAAAAAGTTCCTCTTCAAAGTTTCCCTTCTTGTTAAAGAATAAATTATAAGTGTTACAAATAATAGTTTCTTTTAAAGACTAACTTCCTTTAAGCCTCCTCACTTTGTGCTAATAACTCTTTGTTAAGCCCTATCTTATGTAGCTGTTAGATATAAAGAAATAAGTACATTCTGTGTCCTTGTACTTTAACCAAAATATTTGTGCTGGACATGCTCACAGGCACATTCCAGCTTGCAGCCTATGTGCCTTCCTTATTTCGAAATGTTATTACTTTTGGCTGGGTGCAGTGACTCACGCCTGTTATCCCAGCACTTTGGGAGGCTGAGGCGGGCAGATCATGAGGTCAGGAGATCAAGACCATCCTGGTTAACACAGTGAAACCCCGCCTCTACCAAAAATGCAAAAAAGATTAGCCAGGCATGGTGGTGGGTGCCTGTAGTCCCAGCTACTCCGGAAGCTGAGGCAGAAGAATGGCGTGAACCCATGGCAGAGCTTGCAGTGAGCCGAGATCATGCCATTGCACTCCAGCCTGGGCGACAGAGCAAGACTCCATCTCAAAAAAGAAAAAAAAGAAAAAAAGAAATGTTATTACTTTTCTAAGTCCTTCTAAGTCCTTTCGTAAGCAATTTCCTCTTTTCCTTTGTTCTCCCTTGCCTTTACCTATTTAAGAAAATTTTAAGTTATTAGCCGGTCAAGTTTAGCTTAGATTGTGCAGTCCGTCTCCAGCCAATGGAGGCAGGACACAGTAGCAAGGACAAGCTGCATAAAGAATAAAAATTGCTTCCCTCCTTTGTTCAAGTGTGCTCTCACCATTGTTTCATCTGCAAGGAGCACCCTTTCTGCAGAAAGTAAATTTGCCTTGCTGAGAAAACTTTTTGTCTCAATGCTAATTTTTCCTTGCGGTACTGAAGAACAGCATTCTGTTTCTGAATAAACATTTTACTTATAACACCCAGTGTGTCCCTGTGGTAGACTCAGAGATATGCCACACAAAGGCCAGCTGCTGCCAGCCACTCAGGGGACGGCCAGCAGACAGGTCCACTCTGGCTGTGGCAGAGCCCCTATAGCCAGACTTCTTCCTTGCCCAACCCTTTCCCTCCTTCCCTGAGGTGCTCATCTCAAGGGACTCTTGTAAATATCTTGTGCTCTGATCTTCCTCTTGGAGTTGGATTCCTAGAGAACCCAACCTGGGACCATCTTCAACCCACCTTCCCTTTGGCTGGACCCCGAAAATGCCACAGCCTCTCTGATGTCCTCCAAGTGAGGGGAAGTGGGCTGGAGTCAAAAGAGAGACAGGGTCTCACTATGTTGCCCTGGTCTCAAACTCCTGAACTCAAATGACTCTCCCACCTCAGCCTCCCAAAGTTCTGAGATCATAGGCATGAGCCACTGCACCTGGCTGAAAAAGAGATTGTGATGGGAAGTATCCCTCAGGAAGCCCAGGCATTGGAATTATTAATCAAAAACAATAAATCAACTGTCTTAGTATGTTCAATGAACTAAGGGAAGCCATGGACAAAGAACTAAAGGAAATTAGGAAAATTATGTCTGAACATAAAGAATACTAATAAAGAGGGCCGGGCGCGGTGGCTCATGCCTGTAATCCCAGCACTTTGGGAGGCCTAGGTGGGTGGATCACGAGGTCAGGAGATCAAGACCATCCTGGCTAACACAGTGAAACCCCATCTCTACTAAAAATACAAAAAATTAGCCGGGCACAGTGGTGGGCACCTGTAGTCCCAGCTACTCGGGAGGCTGAGGCAGGAGAATGGCATGAACTGGGGAGGCAGAGCTTGCAGCGAGCCAAGAGTGCCACTGCACTGTGGCCTGGGTGAAAGAGCAAGACTCTGTCTCAAAAAAAAAAAAAAAAAAAAAATTAATACAGAGAAAAATTTTAAAGGGACCAAACAAATTCTGAACCTGAAAGCAAATCATTTGTCAGTAATCTCATTAAATATAAATAGATTAAACTCTCCTATTAATAAATGAATTTTCAGATTGGTTTTTTAAAAAAGGTTAATCTATATGTTGTCTATCAGAGACTCACTTCAGATATAAGAACATAAAAACACCAGAAGTAAAAGGATGGAAGAAATATTTTATGGCCTGGCATGGTGGCTTACACCTGTAATCCCAGCACTTTGGGAGGCTGAGGCAGGTGGATTGCTTAAAGAGTTTGAGACCAGCCTGGGCAACAAGGCAAAACCCCATTTCTACAAAAAACACAAAAAATTAGCTGGGCATGGTGGTGTGCACCTTTAGTCCCAGCTACCCCGGAGGCTGAGGTGGGAGGATCACCTGATCTCAGGAAGGTCAAAGCTGCAGTGAGTCATGATCACACCACTGCACTCTAGCCTGGGGCAACAGAGTGAGACTCTGTTTCAAGAAAGAAAAAAAGAAAAAGAAAAAGAAAAAAAAATACTTCATGCAAATAGCAACCAGAAGAGAGTCAAGGTGGCTTTATTATTGTCAGGTATAGTAGCCTCTAAATCAAAAAGATTACAAGAGACAAAGAAGGACGTTATCTATTGATAAAAATTGCTTTTTTTTTTTGAGACGGAGTCTCACTTTGTCGCCTAGGCAGGAGTGCAGTGGCGCAATCTCGGCTCACTGCAACCTCTGCCTCCTGGGTTCATGCCATTCTCCAGCCTCGGCTTCCTGAGTAGCCGGGACTACAGGTGTCTGCCACCATACCCAGCTAATTTTTTTTGTACTTTTTTTTTTTTTTTTTTTTTTTTGAGACGGAGTCTCGCTCTGTCGCCCAGGCTGGAGTGCAGTGGCGGGATCTCGGCTCACTGCAAGCTCTGCCTCCCGGGTTCACGCCATTCTCCTGCCTCAGCCTCCCAAGTAGCTGGGACTACAGGCGCCCGCCACTACGCCCGGCTAATTTTTTGTATTTTTAGTAGAGACGGGGTTTCACCGTTTTAGCCGGGATGGTCTCGATCTCCTGACCTCGTGATCCGCCCGCCTCGGCCTCCCAAAGTGCTGGGATTACAGGCGTGAGCCACCGCGCCCGGCATTTTTTTTGTATTTTTAGTAGAGACGGGGTTTCACTGTGTTAGCCAGGATGGTCTCTGTCTCCTGACCTCGTGATCTTCCTGCCTTGGCCTCCCAAAGTGCTGGGATTACAGGCGTAAGCCACTGCGCCCAGCCTTTTTTTTTTTTTGAGACAGAGTTTCGCTCTTGTTGCCCAGGCTGGAGTGCAATGGCATGATCTTGGCTCACCACAGCCTCTGCCTCCCGGGTTCAAGCAATTCTCCTGCCTCAGCCTCCTGAGTAGCTGGGATTACAGGCATGCGCCACCATGCCCTACTAATTTTGTATTTTTAGTAGAGACGGGGTTTATCCATGTTGGTCAGGCTGGTCTTGAACTCCTGACCTGAGGTGATCCACCCACCTAATAAAAGTTTCAAAACAAGGCAATATGACAATTAGAAACATTTATGTGCCTAACGGAGCCCCAAAAATAATGAAACAAAAATTATCAGAATTGAAAGTAGTCAGCTCTACAATTATAGTTCATATTTCAACCCCCCACTTTCAATAATGAATAGAACAGGCAGGCGTGGTGGCTCACGCCTGTAATCCCAGGACTTTGGGAGGCTGAGGTGGGCGGATCACCTGAGGTCAGGAGTTCGAGACCAGCCTGGTCAAGATGGTGAAACCTTGTCTCTACTAAAAATACAAAAACTATCTGTGCATGGAGACAGGCCCCTGTAATCCCAGCTACTTGGGAGGCTGAGGCATGAGACTTGCTTGAACCAGGAGGTGGAGGTTGCAGTGAGCCTAGATCACACCACTGCACTCCATCCAACCTGAGCAACAAGAGCAAACTCCGTCTCAAAAAAAAAAAAAAAAAAAAAGCTGCGTGCAGTGGCTCATGCCTGTAATCCCAGCACTTTGTGAGACCAAGGCAGGAGAATCACTTGAGCCCAGGAGTTCGAGACCAAGCTGGGTAATGTGGCAAAATCCCATCTCTATTTAAAAAAATTAAAAGTAAATTTAAAAAATAAAAAGAAACATCTAGAAGAATAAATAGGTGAATGTATCAAACAGAGTAAGAAGGGTAAGTTGAGTGCCAGAGCCCTCCCTACAGAACACAGCCTGCATGGACCTGGTACAAGTTTGAGAATCTATGGGATGATAGAGGGAACAACAGAGATGGGTAGGGAAACAGGGCCTCATCAAGAAACGGTGTTACAAAATTTAGTTTGCCTTTTAGGGGGAGAGAGGATATTTTGACCTTACCTCACTCTATATACCAAGTAAATTCCAGAGAATCAATGAGTCACCAAACACTGTTGCAAAATTATTGCAATGATCACTGCTTGCACTTAACCTTTTAGTAATATTTCCTGTTTTGACCAACCCCTTGAAACGCATCGTTCCCAACCAGCATCAGACTTCCTAGTTGTCTCCTACTTCAATGGCCTTCCCTTCTTAGCCCAGGGTAGCAGTGGGTATAGGTAGGGAGGCTAGGTGACTGGGTTTAGGAATATTTCATTTGGGAGGCTGAGGTGGGAGGATCACTTGAGCCTAGGAGTTCAAGACCAGACTGGGGAATATAGTGAGACCCCATCTCTAGAAAAATGTTTTTAAAAATTAGCTGGGTGTGATGGTGCATGCCTATATAGTTCCAGCTACTCAGGAGGCTGGAGTGGGAAGATGGCTTGAGCTGGAAGGTTGAGGCTGCAGTGAGCCATGATCACACCACTGCATTCCAGCCTGAGTGACAGAAAGCCAGACCCTCTCAAAAAAAAAAAAGAAAGAGAGAGAAAGGAAGGGAGGAAGGAAGGAAGGAAAGGAAGGAGGGAGGGAAGGAAGGAAGGAAGGAAAGGAAGCAGGCAGGCCGGGTGCGGTGGCTCACACCTGTAATCCCAGCACTTTGGGAGGCCAAGGTGGGTGGATCACCTGAGGTTGGGAGTTTGAGACCAGCCTGACTAACATGGAGAAACCCCATCTCTACTAAAAATACAAAATTAGCTAGGCGTGATGGCACATGCCTGTAGTCCCAGCTACTCGGGAGACTGAGGCATGAGCATCGCTTGAACCCGGGAGGCAGAGGTTGCTGATAAGATTGCGCCATTGCACTCCAACCTGGGCAACAAGAGCGAAACTCGGTCTCAAAAATAAAAAAGGTCGGGCGTGGTAGCTCATGCCTGTAATCCCAGCACTTTGGCAGATCACGAGGTCAAGAGATCGAGACCATCCTGGCCAACATGGTGAAATCCCATCTCTACTAAAACTACAAAAATTAGCTGGGTGTGGTGGCACATGCCTTAGTCCCAGCTACTTGGGAGCCTGAGGCAGGAGAATCGCTTGAACCCAGGAGGCGGATGTTGCAGTGAGCCAAGATCATGCCACTGCACTCCAGCCTGGCAACAGAGCGAGACTCCATCTCAAAAAAAAAAAAAAAAGAGATCACGTCCAGGGGCGGTGGCTCACATCTGTAGTCCCAGCACTTTGGGAGGCCAAGGCAGGAGGCTCACTTGAGCCTGGAGTTTGAGACCAGCCTGGGCCACATAGTGAAATCCTGTCTCTACAAAAAATATAAAAGTTAGCTGGGTATGATGGTGTGCACCTGTGTTCCCAGCTACTCAGGAGCCTGAGGTAGAAGGATCACTTGAGCCAGGGCATGGTGGCGTGTGGCGTCCCAGCTACTTGGAAGGCTGAGGCAGGAGAATTGCTTGAATCCAGGAGGCTGAGGTTGCAGTGAGCCAAGATCACGCCACTGCACTTCAGCCTGGGTGACAGAATGAGACTCTGTCAAAAATTAGCGATGTTGGCATGTGCCTGCAGTTCCAGCTACTCGGGAGGCCGAGGCAGGAGAATTGCTTGAACCTGGGAGATGGAGGTTGCAGTGAGCAGAGATCCTGCCACTGCACTCCAGCCTGGGTGACAGAATGAGACTCTGTCTCAAAAAAGAAAGAAAAAAATAGAGATCATAAGACTGAGAGAATGAACCCTTTGTAGCAATAAGATACCAAAGTATAAACAAGACATTAAGGCCATGCCAGGCAAGAGTTAAGCCGTTCACCAAAGAATAAACTATGTTCTAACTGCTGCAAGGTTTTTCTTTTTCTCCAGCAGCTAAACAAGCACTGGCCTTGAGATAAGCAATATAGAAACAATTGCAGTTCATCCATCACCAGACACTGACCCCACAAGCCATAACTATAGCTTTGATTGCACAAGAGATGGATTTTGGTGACTTTTTCCTAATAAGAGACCACTGACCAGGGACTGGCTTCAGTTGGTTTATGGAACCTGTGCACTGAGTGCTTTTGTATCCTTCATTTTGACATATGGTGCTAATTGTATTTCTTTTCTTTTTTTTTTTTTTTTTTGAGATGGAGTCTCCCTCTGTAGCCCAGGCTGGAGTGCAGTGGTGCGATCTTGGCTCACTGCAACCTCCGCTTCCCGGTTTCAAGTGATTCTCCTTCCTCACCCTCCTGAGTAGCTGGGACTACAGGCATACGCCACCACGCCCAGCTAATTTTTGTATTTTTAGTAGAGACGGGGTTTTACTGTGTTGGCCAGGATGGTCTTGATCTTCTGACCTCGTGAGCCACCCACCTCGGCTTCCCAAAGTGCTGAGATTATAGGCGTGAGCCACCGCACCCGGCCTGTAATGTATTTCAATGTTAAGTCTCCACCCCAAAGTGAACATGGGTCATATACAACACACATGTTTATTCAGTATACTTGCATTAGGACCCCCTTCATGAGTATCTATAGCTCTTCCTGTAACCTGTTGAATATGGTATTTTTTGTTTTTGTTTTTTCTTTTTTGAGACAGAGTCTCGCTCTGTCACCCAGGCTGGAGTGCAGTGGCGCGATCTCGGCTCACTGCAACCTCCGCCTCCCAGGTTCAAGCGATTCTTCTGCCTCAGCTTCCCGAGTAGCTGGGATTATAGGCACATGCCATCATGCCTGGCAGATTTTTTGTATTTTTAGTAGAGACGGGGTTTCACCATGTTAGCCAGGATGGTCTCAATCTCCTGACCTTGTGATCCGCCCACCTCGGCCTCCCAAAGTTTGGGATTACAGGTGTGAGCCACCGTGCCCGGCCGAATATGTATGTTTAGCCAAGCCATTCGACATAAAGCTCCTGCCTCTTTTTAAGGGTCTGTCTCTGGTTTTGACCAGAAGCCCACCTCCCAGCCTGCAGGTTGTAACCCTTTATAAGAAATAAAGTCAGCCTGGCACGGTGGCTCATGACTGTAATCCCAGCACTTTGGGAGGCTGAGGTAGGAGGATCACTTGAGCTCAGGAGTTTAAGATCAGCCTGGGCAACATAATGAGACCCCCGTCTCCACAAAAAATAAAAAAAAATTAGCTGGGTGTGGTGTGAGAGCCTGTGGTCATGGCATCTGGCATGATTTTTATAAAGATAGTTTTATTTTAAGTATAAGAGTAGTTTTTGGGTAAGGTGTGGTGGCTCACCCCTGTAATCCTAGCACTTTGGGAGGCTGAGGTGGGTGGATTGCTTGAGGCCAGGAGTTTGATATCAGCCTGGCCAACATGGTAAAAAATGCAATGATCCTAGCCCTTGCCTCTTCCTGTACTTAAGATACTGTCTGACAGGATTAATGATTATGCTTCTGTGACCTATAAACAGATGTACTCTTGCACCCAAACCTTGATGAGATTTATGCTCTAATGTAACTTCTGAGCACATTTGATGTAATTTCTGAGCACATGGAGAGCCGCCACCACCAGTGTATAAACTGTCGGAAACACTGCTTTGGAGCAGTCTAGCAGAAACTCCCTGAAAGGCTCTCCCGGGTTGCAATTCTTGGTAAGACTTCTGAATAGAACTAACTTTAAATATTTAAAAGCTTGTTTTTTTTTTTCTTTAGTTGACATAACAAAGCATACCTTAGAAGTCTTTTTTTTTTTTTTTTTTTTTTTTTGAGACGGAGTTTCGCTCTTGTTGCCCAGGCTGGAAATGGCGCGATCTCGGCTCACCGCAACCTCCGCCTCCCGGGTTCAAGTGATTCTCCTGCCTCAGCCTCTGGAGTAGCTAGGATTACAGGCATGCGCCACCACGCCCGTCTACTTTTGTATTTTTAGTAGAGACGGGGTTTCTCCATGTCGGTCAGGCTGGTCTCAAATTCCCGACCTCAGGTGATCCGCCCACCTCGGCCTTCCAAAGTGCTGGGATTACAGGCATGAGCCACTGCACCCAGCCAGAATTCTTTTTCCTCTTACAGAAAAGGAAAGGTTTCACCATGTTGGCCAGGCTGGTCTTGGACTCCTCGCCTCAAGTGATCCACCTGCCTCGGCCTCCCAAAGTGTTGGGATTACAGGAGTGAGCCACCGCTCCCGGCCTGTACTTAGTTCTTTTAAAGAGAAAACTGGCAGGGCGCAAAACTGGCCAACATGGAGAAACCTTGTCTCTTCTAAAGAAACAAAAATTACCGGGCATAATCCCAGCTACTCGGGAGGCTGAGGCAGGAGAATCGCTTGAAGCCGGGAGGCGGAGGTTGCAGTGAGCCGAGATCGCGCCATTGCACTCCAGCCTGGGCGACAGAGCGAGACCCTGTCTCAGAAAATAAAAAATAAATAAAGAGAAAAAAATACTGACTTTCAGCACCAACTTGTGGTCCCAGGTAAGTTTCCACGCTGGTACTTTAGCCCTGGGCTCGAACCTGCGGACACGCTGTGGCTGCAACTCCCCGCCCGCCAGACCTCAGTACGCAGCGCGGCTGGTGAGAAACATAATGCACTCTGACTTCCACGCGTGGAATGGGGAGATGGACTGCACGGCGGGCGGACCTGCTCGGGCTGATGGACGGCAGGTGGACTGATGTGCGCAGGGACTGGCGGCAGCGCGGTCAGAGCCAGTCAGCCAAAGCCAGGCCAGCACAATAGACTGTCCCGGTTCCCGCCAGGAGGCGGCCGAGCACCAACTGTACGGTACTGCGCCTGCGCCGCGACCGCCAACGCGCCCAGTCTACGCTTGCGCGGCGCAACAGGGCCGACTGCAGCTGGAAGATGGCGGCGTCCGTGGTCTGTCGGGCCGCTACCGCCGGGGCACAAGTGCTATTGCGCGCCCGCCGCTCGGTGAGGTGGTGGCGAGAGCGCGGGGCTTCGGGACAGGGCTTCGGGAAGCGGACAGGTGTGGGCTGTTAGCAGTGGCAGGTCGAGGTGGGGAGGACGCGGGGTCAGGGCCGTGGGAAGGTCACGGCGGAGGGCGGGGAAAGGTATCTCGCCGCTTGCCTAGGGGCGGGGTTCGGGGGTCCTCCTGAGGACCTGGGAGGTGGGGAGCGATCCCCTGACCGAGTCCTCACTCGCGGCTGTTCCCTTCCACAGCCGGCCCTGCTGCGGACGCCAGCCTTGCGGAGTACGGCAACCTTCGCTCAGGCGCTCCAGTTCGTGCCGGAGACGCAGGTTAGCCTGCTGGACAACGGCCTGCGTGTGGCCTCCGAGCAGTCCTCTCAGCCCACTTGCACGGTGAGTTGGGGACGCTTTTGGGGAGAGGGCCTCCAGGTTGGGCCTGCCGTCTTTTCCCTGGTTGGGGTGTGACCTTGGGCTCGAGTCTTCCCGTTTGTGGTTTGGGTTCGGACCCAGGACCACTCACCCCGAGAATGGCCCCATTCCCTACCCTAGCCACGCCTTGGCTTCACGGGACAATCTTCACTATAAGCCAACATTATTTAGCATATAATGCCCGTTAAGTAGGCGGCCAAATTCTTTTCCAGCCTTTTGTTAAGGAGCCCATATAAGGGAAGTGATCATGTCTCCTCTTATAATGCGGAAAATGGGATTCAGACACCTTAGGTGACTTGCAGGGGTCCAGGTCTGTCAGCCTCACTGCCCAAGGTCATAATCTCCAGGCTAGACCAGAAATACATTTTAGGAAGCAAATGCATTTTAACAGTACAATGAAATGTGTGATTTTCCAAAAAATACAAATTCTCTAAATTGACACAAGAAATCTTGAGTCACAGATAGATATATGAATAGGTGAGAAGATTCCCAAGAAATAATTATCTCCTCCTCCTTTCAGCCCCCAGCCCCAGGGCCAGATGTTTTTATTGACACATCCTTTTAGTTTTCCAGAAACAATGTCCTGCGATTTAAATTGTTACTAAGCATAGGAAAAGGTGGCCTGCAACTTCCTTGTTATATGTCACTTGTTATAGTAAAGAATGCTATATTACATGAACTCTAAAATGTGCTAGATTGTAAGGAGCTGTCTGTGCTCCAGTGCCAGAGAAAGAATCTCAAGAATCTTGCCAATTTTAATCAAAGGATACTATAGATTGTAAAATGCCTCTTGCATTCCAAGATGTTAGATGTGAAATACATGTTCATCTAAGATTGTGTGATATATGGTATATGCATTGACATCTCTTAGGAAAGCAAATATCACATGTTCTCACTTATCAGTGGGAGCTAAAAAATACGTACATACAGATGTAGAGAGTGGAATGATGGACAGTGAAGACTTGGAAGGATGAAGGGGTGGATGATGAGAAACTACTTAATGGGTCCAGGCCTGGAGGCTCACACCTGTAATCTCAGCACTTTGGGAGACCAAGGCAGGCGGATCAGCTGAGGCCAGGAGTTCAAGACCAGCCTGGCAAACATAGTGAAGCCCCATCTCTACTAAAAATACAAAAATTAGCCATGCATGGCACACGCCTGTAATCCCAGCTCCTGGGGAGACTGAGGCAAGAGAATCGCTTGAACCCGGGAGGCAGAGATTGCAGTGAGCCGAGATGGAGCCACTGCACTCCAGCCTGGGTGAGAGAGCGAGAGTCCATCTCAAAAAAAAAAAAAGAAATTACTTAATGGGTACAAGGTTTGTTATTCTGGTGATGGATAATTCAGAATCCCTGATTTGACTACTTGTGCATTCTGTGCCTGTAATGACATCACACTTGTGGGCGGGGCACAGTGGCTTACACCAGTAATTCCAGGGCTTTGAGAGGCCAAAGCAGGAGGATCGATTGAGCCCAGGAATAAGAGGTTGCAGTGAGCCATGATTATGTCACTGTACTCTGGCCTGGGTGACAGAGCAAGGCCCTCTGTCTTAAAAAAAAAAAAAAAGAAAAAAATGGAGTTTCAGGTGTGGATAGAAATTTCTAAAAATTGTGCTTGTACCCCATAAATTTATACAATAAAAAAAAGTCTTGGCTGGGCGCAGTGGCTCATGCCTATAATCCCAGCACTTTGGGAGACCGAGGCAGGCGGATCACGAGGTCAAGAGATTGAGACCATCCTGGCCAACATGGTGAAACCCCGCCTCTACTAAAAATACAAAAATTAGGCTAGACGCGGTGGCTCACGCCTGTAATCCCAGCACTTTGGGAGGCCGAGGCGGGCGAATCACAAGGTCAGGAGATTGAGACCATCCTGGCTAACACGGTGAAACCCCGTCTCTACTAAAAATACAAAAAATTAGCCGGGCGTGGTGGCGGGCGCCTGTAGTTCCAGCTACTCGGGAGGCTGAGGCAGGAGAATGCCATGAACCTGGGAGGCAGAGCTTGCAGTGAGCCAAGATCGCACCACTGCACTCCAGCCTGGGTGACAGAGCGAGACTCCGTCTCAAAAAAAAAACACACACACACAAAAAAACAAAAATTAGCTGGGCGTGGTGGTGCACGCCTGTAGTTCCAGCTACTCGGGAGGCTGAGGCGGGAGAATCACTTGAACCCAGGAAGCAGAGGTTGAGTGAGCCGACATCACACCACTGCACTCGTCTCGTGACAGAGTGAGACTCCATGTCAAAAAAAAAAAAAAGTACTTAGGAAAGTAGATGTGAAAAACTTAAATCAGCTGTGAACAAATAGTAAATTAAAAGACTAGACCGTGTGACCAAGTGGGGTGAGTGGTACGTGTTTCTTTTACATTTTTTTTTTTTTTTTGAGATGGAGTCTCTCTGTCACCCAGGCTGGAGTGCAGTGGCACGATCTTGGCTCACTACATCCTCTGCCTCTTGGGTTCAAGCAATTCTGCCTCAGCCTCCCAAGTAGCTAGGACTACAGGCACGTGCCACCACACCTGGCTAATTTTTGTATTTTTAGTAGAGACAGGGTTTCACTATATTGGCCAGGCTGGTCTCGAACTGCTGACCTCGTAATCCACCTGCCTTGGCCTCCCAAAGTGCTGGGATTACAGGTATAAGCCACCGCGCCCAGCCTGTGGTGCGTGTTTCACAGCAACCAGGAGGCTGTCAAGAAAATTAATATTACCTTATTGGGTGCCAAGGCAACACTGTTTGGTGTTCAGAGCTGATTAAAAACAACAACAAAAAAGATATTATAGGAACAATATTTAGTGTGATAAAATATACAGTCTAAACCAATAGTCCCTTCCTTAATGATGAAAGGATAAAATCATTGCCAGAACAAAGGCAGCGTGTAATTTTTAGAAAGGAAAAAATAAGTTGTTATTTGCAAATGATATGTTGTATGCTTAGACAAAAACAAATAATTAACTGAAAATTGAGAGTGAATTTAAGGATTTGTATGCTGGTGAGACCAGGTAAATGTGCACAGTTAGAAGTGTCCCTGTGGGTCCTTGATAGCCAATCAGGAGAGCAATGATGTGGTGTGACGAGTCATTCGGCTGCCCCTGTTTTCCAAGCATGACTGTGTCCCCAAGCACAGGGGTCCTGCTGGGGCAGCTCTCCCTGACTCCAGGATTCATAAGTCCCTGCCTGGGGCTTGTACTGAGTCACTCAGGTGGGGTGTGAGTAGGGGGCTGGGGAGTGGTTTGTTTGTAACCTTTTCTGGTGGCTTCTTGACCAGGTGGGAGTGTGGATTGATGTTGGCAGCCGTTTTGAGACTGAGAAGAATAATGGGGCAGGCTACTTTTTGGAGCATCTGGCTTTCAAGGTGAGGCTCTTAAAGTCTGTCTCCTCTGGGCTTAGGGCTGCCTGTTGTCCCTCCTGAGGATGAAGGTCAGAAAAATTAGCCTGATTATGGGCCTCAGTTGCGGGGCTGATGTCTGGCTGGCTTTCCTAAAAGGAGCCACATGAGCTTAACCTCTCCTGAGTGGGCACGTATCTGATGAGCCCCTGCCTGAGGCCCTCAGAGCCAAGAGGACCCAAGGAACCATAGGAGCCCCACTTTTCACCAGAGAAGCCAGGCCTGTGGAACACACGTAGATATGCACATGCATTTTAACAAACCCACAGACATGGGCATGCATGCTTGCTTATGAAATGTTCTTCTCTGGTGGAATATCTAGGCATCCCTTGGTTGTAAAGACCCATGTTTTTTAAAGGAATGAAAAACATGGAGAAGGATTATGGGGTGGGCAGGGCCATGGAGCCATAGTAGGCAACCTAGCCAGCTGCAATGTCACAGGTATGTGTGCAGAATTAACGTGTGTGTGCACACCAAGAGATAGCACCACTGTTCTCCACACACAGGACTAGGATTGGGTCCCACAGAGGCCACTAGCATGTATTCACAAACATACAGTCATGGGAATGGCATGGGAGGAGTGGGTTCTATCACTTGAACACAGGTGTGGGCTTACCTGACCATGGCTGTCAATAAGGAGGGGGGAGGTGTACTGGTAATGATCCCCACAGCTTGTTGGTAAGCTGTTACAGGAGCTTTAGGCAACACTTGCTCTGGCCATGCCCTTCAGTCCTGGCCCTGGCTATCTCTGTTCTGTTGGCGCATGATGCCATGGTTTTGGTCACCTCAAGGCCTGCTTAGTGCTTGGTAAACAGACTCTGGGATCTGTGTCCCCAGAGTCTATGCTGAGGGAGGTACCTGTGGACCAGTGGTCCTGCTGGGTGTTTAGCCTCTGAGGACAGGGTTCTTGGGTTCCTGTGTAGCTCCTGATTGTTCTGGTTGATATCTGGTTCCAGGGAACAAAGAATCGGCCTGGCAGTGCCCTGGAGAAGGAGGTGGAGAGCATGGGGGCCCATCTTAATGCCTACAGCACCCGGGAGCACACAGCTTACTACATCAAGGCGCTGTCCAAGGATCTGCCGAAAGGTAACACCTGGAGGAAGAGGCGGGGACAGAGGGCAGGGAAGCAGAGGACAGCTACCTAGGAGCCCCTGGCTGACCACAGAATCATATTACCCTTAGCGTATGGCTTTGCAGCTGGGCAACTAGGGGTGGGCAGCAGGAGATGCCAGGCCTGGGGATTTTGTGCTGTCGTTGGTCTGCAGTGGTCCACCTGGCACCTAAACATGTCCTCCTTGCATCTAGCTGTGGAGCTCCTGGGTGACATTGTGCAGAACTGTAGTCTGGAAGACTCACAGATTGAGAAGGAACGTGATGTGATCCTGCGGGAGATGCAGGAGAATGATGCATCTATGCGAGATGTGGTCTTTAACTACCTGCATGCCACAGCATTCCAGGGCACACCTCTAGCCCAGGCTGTGGAGGGGCCCAGTGAGAATGTCAGGTGAGAGTTGGCTGGCCTTGTGGGGGGATGCTTGCTCCATTCTGGCCTGGCCAGACCCTTTCCAGGTCACATTTTTAGTTGGCTAGCTGTCGGGGTTATTTTCCTGAGTTATGCAACTGGAGACAGTTTCTGTATCCATGTGGTCCAGTGAGTCTTTTTTAATGGCTTTGTGGGCTTCACTTGAATTTTGGGCTTTGTTTTAAGGTATGTTTTGGTGCATGTCCTGACAGTCCAAGGGCGAAGTGTCTGGGTGTCCCCTCCATGTGGTCTCTTGTCTCCTTTGTGGATGGCTCCGGGAGCTTTGATGCTGCCCTTTTGAGAGTCCCACAGTGTTGGCTCACGCCTTCTCAGAGAAGACTATGAGCCTGTCCTGAAGTCAGGCATGAGGCAAGGGCAGACAAGGGTTGCCCTCTGGGCCCTGGAGGGGTGGGTGGCAGAGACAGGGGAAGGGGGTTGGGGAGTGTGCTAGGGCCCACTCTTCGGAGAAACCATGCCTCTCCTAGTCTGCCTCCTCAGTCCCATTCATGCATGTACCCCAACTCACTCCAGTGTGGTAGAGGTGTTGACACACTGACCATATGTCTTGTAGGAAGCTGTCTCGTGCAGACTTGACCGAGTACCTCAGCACACATTACAAGGCCCCTCGAATGGTGCTGGCAGCAGCTGGAGGTGAGTGATGGAATCACTGAAGTCCTGGGTAGTGGGGTCCCAGCCTTGGTTATCAAAGCCGAGGTCCTGGTTCCCACCATAGGGGACCTTTCACCCCAGGGGACTCTGCTCCCACCCTAACCTTGAGGGGAATGACCTTCCTCCTGTGCTCTCTGAGGTGGGATAGGATTCTACCCTGCCGCCACCACTGGGACTGGTTACACAGGATGCTGTCCCTCTGGTACAGGTCTGTCTTAGCCCCACCTGGTTCTAGGATACTGAGTTCATGGGCTGGTAGGGGATGTAAGCTCCTGGCCTTGTTCCTTGTGGCCTTGCCCTTGGGAGAGCCAGCCATTAGTTGTGTGTTGATGCATGCCTGATAACAAACCAAGAAGTGCCTTGAAAGGAAGGCACAGAAGGGTGGGGAAGATTTCACTGGGGACTCAGAGTTGGAGTTTGGGGGAGGGGCTTTTTAAAGCACCTGTAGTTTGAACAGAAGCCTGAAAGGTGGTGAGTGTTATTTAGGTGGGGTGTGGGGAGCTGAGCGCAGGGGAAGAGCAGTGTCATGGTCTAAGGTTTGCTCTGCTGCTGTGTGGGGTCACAGTGCAGGTAGGCTGGCTAGAGAGGGGCTGTGGCAGGGACTGGGCAGGAGATGGCAGGAGCAAGGGGGAGCAGTAGATGGACTCCAGGTGGTTTTATAGATGGAACCTGGTTGGGGTCTGGACATGGGTAAGGAACTGAGGTCAAGGTGCTTCCCATCTTGGCTGGTCGTGGTGGCTCACGCCTGTAATCCTAGCACTTTGGAAGGCCGAGGTGGGTGAATCACCTGAGGTAAGGAGTTCGAGACCAGCCCAGCCAACGTGACAAAACCCCGTCTCTGGTAAAAATACAAAAATTAGCCAGGCTTGGTGGCAGTTGCCTATAATCCCAGCTACTTGGAAGGCTGAGGCAGGAGAATCCCTTGAACCCGGGGGACGGAGGTTGCAGCGAGCTGAGATTGTACCACTGCACTCCGGCCTGCACAACAGAGTGAAACTCCATCTCAAAAAAAAAAAAAAAAACAAACATGCTTCCCAGCTTATGACCTTGGCGGCTGAGTGTGCAGAAAAGACCAATAGGAAGAGCATGACCAGGGGCTTTGGAGCTGGGGAACCTGGGGGCAAGAGCAATCTGACGTGTGTGTCAGACTAGCAGGGCTTGAGCTCATGGAAGGAAGGAATGAAAGGCCAACGCAGGCCGGGCGCGGTGGCTCACGCCTGTAATCCCAGCACTTTGGGAGGCCGAGGCGGGCGGATCACAAGATCAGGAGCTCGAGACCATCCTGGCTAACACAGTGAAACCCCGTCTCTACTGAAAATACAAAAAAATTAGCCAGGCGTGGTGGCGGGCGCCTATAGTCCCAGCTACTCGGGAGGCTGAGGCAGGAGAATGGCGTGGACCCGGGAGGTGGAGCTTGCAGTTAGCTGAGATTGCACCACTGTGCTCCAGCCTGGGCAACAGAGCGAGACTCCGTCTCAAAAAAAAAAAAAAAGGCCAATGCAACTGGTGGCACCACAGAGCCCTCCTCTTGTGGAGGTGAGGAGGCAAGATCCAAGGAGTCCTAGGGTATACGTTTGTAACATTATTTGCAAATGTCCCCAGCTCTCAGGGGACCCAAGAGCTAATCACAGCCCTGTAATAGCTCCTCTTTCTGCCCCCTCACTTGCCACCCCCTGCAGGGCCAGCAGCCAGAAATACTTGAGGGAGAGCTAGAGGGAAAAGGCAGGCCAGGTGGCTTTGTGCCCAGGAGTACCAGTCTTGTCCTTGATGTAGGTGGAATGCATCTTCTCAAGTGAGAACCCACACTTGGATCACATGGCAGCCCATTTTGAAACTCTGAACGCTTTTGCTCTCCTGGGACTGAGGCCATGGGAGCTATTTGGCCCTGAGGTGCCTGTCCTGTCCACAAGGCAGGGTCTGTCTGAGGAGGACCTTCTTTCCTCACCCTGTTCTAATGTCACATACTCCTGGTTTCTCCCACTAAGACAGGACATGGGGGTCCTCTGCCTGTCTGTGAATCGCCCCACCCTGTGCCTTGGGCCCTGGCTGGTCAGTAATGCCACTGTCTGTCTCAGCAGGAGTGGAGCACCAGCAACTGTTAGACCTCGCCCAGAAGCACCTCGGTGGCATCCCATGGACATATGCAGAGGACGCTGTGCCCACTCTTACTCCATGCCGCTTCACTGGCAGTGAGGTATGCTGCCTTTTGGGCAGGAGTAGTGCTCAGCTGGGGGCCTGTGGGAGGACCCCCATGTGCATGGTTATCCTGGTGACTCCAGAGATACCTCAGCAGTTGGGAAGGGGTTCTGTGGCTGCTGCATCACAGGCACACATGTTCACACACATACACCCTCTACCCACACCTGCCACCTTTTCTGTTCCCCTGGCAGTCTGGCTGTTCCTCAGCCTTGTCATGTACTGTTTCAGATCCGCCACCGTGATGATGCTCTACCTTTTGCCCACGTGGCCATTGCAGTAGAGGGTCCTGGCTGGGCCAGCCCGGACAATGTGGCCTTGCAAGTGGCCAATGCCATCATCGGCCACTATGACTGCACTTATGGTGGTGGCGTGGTGAGTGCCAGCGCGAGCATGGGACCTCGCCTTCAGGGAAGAGAGGGTGCTGGGGCTGTGTGCTCCTGTGCGTGGGGGTCACAGTGTGCGTTGAAGACAAGAGGGTGGGTGCTGACCACCTATCCCCCTGGCAGCACCTGTCCAGCCCACTGGCTTCAGGTGCTGTGGCCAACAAGCTATGCCAGAGTTTCCAGACCTTCAGCATCTGCTATGCAGAGACGGGCTTGCTGGGTGCACACTTTGTCTGTGACCGAATGAAAATCGATGACATGATGTTCGTCCTGCAAGGGCAGTGGTAAGTGGCAGCCTGGTATTCCTAGGTGGGATGGCGGCTTTAACCAGCACAGTGGGAGGCTGAGAGATGACACACTGGCTCAGAATGAATACCACCCACCCCCCCACTTTAGGATGCGCCTGTGTACCAGTGCCACGGAGAGTGAGGTGGCCCGGGGCAAAAACATCCTCAGAAATGCCCTGGTATCTCATCTAGATGGTGAGTCCTACAGCTCAGCGGGGAGGGGTAGAGTACATCTTGCCAGCGACAGCACCAAGGTGGCCACTGCTCCTAACTAACCAAGGTTAGAAAGGAAAACTTTGAAGACCACGCCATGCCCCATCACCCCACCCTTGGAGATGCAGGCAGGTGTGAGACAGGTCCACAGCCCATCACTGCCATAATAGGTGACCATAGAAGAGAGGGCTGTGATCTGAGTCAGCATGAGGTCAGGGAGGTCCTTGTCAACCTGAGGCTGGAGATTGTTTGTGTACCTGTGGGTCCAGGATTGGGCTGGGTGGACCTCTGAGCCTTCTCTCACCCTTAAAGGCACTACTCCTGTGTGTGAGGACATCGGACGCAGCCTCCTGACCTATGGCCGCCGCATCCCCCTGGCTGAATGGGAAAGCCGGATTGCGGTAACATGGACCCCTGGGAGAGGTTCTGGAGTCTTGGCCTGGCAGACACCTGGGAGGTGTAGGGTTGGGGCCTGGCATAGCGCAGCCTGCTCCTATAGGCATCCCTGGTGTCCTAGGCAGCTGTCACCTGCAGGGGTAGCATAGTGGGAGGGCAGGGCATAGGTGCTGATGGCTGTGGAGATGGGCGGGGCCCATGGAGGTCTATAGCAGGGATCCCTTCTGCCTTTCCTCTTTTGGGCTGGGGACAGCTGCATGCTGCCTGTGGGAGATCTCTGCTAGTTGGATGATGCTGACTGGCTGAGGTGGTGGCCAGGTGCCCGTTAGCCAGTATGCCCTCTGCCTCACCCTGCAGGAGGTGGATGCCAGTGTGGTACGTGAGATCTGCTCCAAGTACATCTATGACCAGTGCCCAGCAGTGGCTGGATATGGTAAGTGGCCTAGGGGGTCTGCTCTTTGTTTATTTCCTCAGGCCGTTCTCTTGGCCTCCCCTTCCACCTCTGCTCCCGCACTGCTGCTCAGCTTACAGAGCAGCCAGTTAAGGCCCCAAGCAGCTCTCCCCAGTCCCCTGGCTGCCAGGGAGTTCTTGCTCAGAAAACCTGTCCCAGCAGTTCCTTGACTGCCTGCCAAGGTGCCTTCATCAATACCCTGCACCCGTCAGGTAACGGGCACCTCCATGTGGGGTGGGGCTTCAAGGGCCAGAACATGAAGGGACAGGCTCAGCACCCCTGGGGGAATGTTCTCTCCTCTCTTTCCACTCAAAGCCTGTCTTGTGCTGCTCTGGGCAGCATCTCCGAGCTGGGTGCGGCACAGGGCCAGGTGTCCCTGTGCAGGCCAGGTACCCCACCCTGACGCTCCACCCTATCCCCACAGGCCCCATTGAGCAGCTCCCAGACTACAACCGGATCCGTAGCGGCATGTTCTGGCTGCGCTTCTAGGCGGGAAGCCTATGTAAGCAAGAGGGCAGGGCCGGGGTTTGTGGTCCCCCCCCCACCACAAACACAGCACTTCGGCTCCTCTAACCTGTGCCACAGGTGACCACCAATAAAATCCTCTGCTGAGAAGTGTGTCATCCCTCTTTTGGCATTGGCATGGAGTCCATGGGGCAGTAGATGGGGAGCAAGGACTTCCCTCTAGTTCTGTGGCTCCTGGATCCTCCTGCCTTCCCACAGGCTGATGTGTCCTCAGCCAGGGGCAAGCGTGGGGGTTGCAGCTGAGGCCGGAAGTCTTTGATGCCTACAGGGAGCTGAGCCCAGATGTTTCCACTCAGCCACTTAGGGGAGTTCCTCAGCCAGCTGGTCCCAAGATTGGGCTGTGGGAGTCCATAGGAAGTGTAAACCCAGCCTTTGCCCCTGTAGGAGTCCCAGCCTGGAATCCCTGCAGGCTCAGGTGGGAAACCCCTCACTGTGGACCTTGTGCCAAGTCACCCCCTGGTGGTCCCTGGTGGACCAGAAGGGGCCAAGGGGTGTCTCCAAGGATGCCTCTTGTGTGTGTTTACTCTGCATTCTGGGAGGAGGATAGCCTGGGGCATAGTGTTCTCATTTGGTTTCTAACTGCTGCCTGGACAAGCAGGGCAGGAATCCTTTGCCTCCGCTGACTCAGGCTCCAAGAATAGCCCTGAGCTCAGTGGGGCCCGAGCCCCCTCCCTCTACTACATTTGTCCCAGGCAAGTCCAGAGCTGCTGGCCTGACAATCCCCTCCCCATTTTCCTGAGGCAGCCAGGACCTGGTACAGCTCTTAGCTACCTAGTCCCTCTGTTATCTCTTTTGGCTCTGGTCCCCATGGTGGGTGCGCAGGTAGGCTGCTCCTCCTGCACCCCCCAGTGCTTCCACAGTCAGGTTCTCTGGGATCCCAGGGGGAAGTTGAAAGCGAGGGGCCCAATTTTCCTTTGAGGAAGTCGCTGCCTGGCAGTCACAAGCAGGGTGCTGGGACAAGGTCTTTTAGAAGATGGCTGTTCAGAAGTCCCCCCAGCATCGTAGCTTGGAAGTAGCCCAAGGAACCCTTGTATCACTATCACCCTGCCCCACTGCCTTTCCCTCACCATTGGTTGCCATACGTTGCCAATTCGGAGACATTTGTTAAGCACCTTCTACGGCCCGGGACTGGGGCATTGCGCAGATCATTCTACTTTGTGAACGGCTGGAGAGAAGATGCTGGGCAGCGCAGAACCCTGACAGGCCCAACCCTGGGTGCTCATGGAGGTGCAACACCCAGGCAGGGGAACAAGTGCCAAGTCTGTTGTCAAGTTTGAGCTCCTGGAGGATGGGGCTTCATTTCTAAGCCCAGCCTGGCCCTTAGAGGCTACAGGTGTGCTGGACACGAGAGCTTGAGTTGCTGGGAGTGGTCTGGTTCTAAGGGACCTTGCGTACCAAGCCAGGGACTCTGGTCTTTACCCTGGAGCCATGCTGGGGAGGTGTGTTGGAGGTTACTGTGAAGAGAAGTGACTTGGTCAGAGTTGAGATTCAGCATGGGGACTCTCAGGCCATATTTCTGTATCAGTCTTGGTGAGCTGTGCTGTGGCAGAACAGAGGTCATGGCCACACGAACTGGAGCCAGCTGTAGGGGACACAAAGAGGACTACATTCCCAGCAGGGCTGGGAGACGCGGAGGCACGAGTGGGTTGGAGGAGGGTAATCTTCCATAGTCCAGTGAGGAGTTTGGTGGTGTCCAGGGTACAGTGGGATGTGTGGGGCTGGGACCTGATAAAGAGGCCCTGGTTGGAAACAGATGGGGTGAGGTAGTGACTGAGGCCAGGGAAGGAAATGTTCAGGGAAAGCTTGGGAGGGAGAAGGATGTGCTCTGGGGGCTCCACCGCCCTGATGGGGTTGCAGGTAGGCACTGGC
This sequence comes from Homo sapiens, assembly GCF_000001405.40. Taxonomy (NCBI): domain Eukaryota; kingdom Metazoa; phylum Chordata; class Mammalia; order Primates; family Hominidae; genus Homo; species Homo sapiens. The sequence continues at coordinate 48,597,222 of NC_000003.12, read as the reverse complement.
CTCGGGCTGTGCCCTAGGCTGTGTTCCTCCCAGGAGGCCAGAGCTGGGGCTTCAGAGGGCCACACTCCTGCTCGTGAGTCTCATAGAAGCTCCAGACGTGGAGTCATTCCAACCTTACTCCTACCTTCTCAACAGCCTCTCCCAGCACCCTTTGAGAGACCCTCTCACAGCAGCCTGTCCTTTCTTTTGGAGGCACCTCAATTCTGATGAGGTTTGCCTGAGCACCCACCCTCCCAGCTGGGCCTCCTGTCTCCCCTAAGACTGGCCCACGTGTGCACATATGTCTGTACCGTACTGTCCATGCCACTGGCCTGCTCTTGCCCGCCCTGGCTGCACGGGAGGAGGTGACAGTCTTAGGGGGAAGGGGCTGCCTGTGTGATAACATACCTGGTTCTCTGCAGCCCCCCACCTGGAGCACACCTTGCAGGGATGGGGGGTCCTGGGACATGGCTGAGGAGACCCTGACCTTGGAATAAGGTCATAGCACTATGCCCCAGGATAGTTTGGGGGGTCAGTAATAAGGGATAGAGCCCCAGCCTTCCTTGGGCAATAGGAAAGCAGGCAGCATGGATGGTCTTCACTGCCTCCAGCTCTGGCCACACCAGAGTCCTCGGGCTGTGGAGGAGTCCAGCCAGTGCTGTCCCCATATCTCCCTGTGGATCCCAGGGGAGGCTGTGGGGCCGGGCATATTAGAAGGGGCCCAGCAGCCTTGGTGAGTATAGATGTGCTTTCTGGGCTGCCCAGAGTTATTCAGGATTAGCAGGAAAAAAAGGGGGAGCAGGACCCAGATGGGGGCCTGCCCTTCTTAGCAGTGCCTCTCTGCCTTAGTGTCACCCATCTAATGGAGAGATATGCATATACAGAGCCCCACCTCCTTCGGACAGTGGCCCTGGCGTGGTGTGTGTTGGAGGACTGTCCACAGCCTCAGAAGCGAAGCTGGGGGAGGGTGTGAAGTCAGCCTGGGTAAGGGGACAGGAGTAAGGTAGGGGGCAGTTATGAAGCTGGAAGCTACAGGTACCATGAGGGCAGTGAGGAAAGGAGGAAGGGGCCCAAGGGGACCTCGGCCTGGTAGGGGAGATGGGTGGCAGGGACCTACAAGAAAAGTAGATGGAAGGAGAGGATGCCTGTGGGTGAGGACATGTAGGTAGGGGGACCTGGCCTGGGGCATGGAGGGCTCGATTCCTGAGAGATGAGCTGTCACTGTGGGTGGTCCCGCCCTCCACAGATGGGCGGCCCCCTCCCTGCAGGCACAGCTGGATTGCATCTGCCTGTGACATGGTAGGGGATGTGGGACACTGGGATGTATGCATAAGCATGACACAGGTTCTCTCCTCCTTCCGGCTTATCCCCTACAAAGAGGGGGTGAGTTACTTGGATCCAGGCCAAGGGGACCTTGGTTTCCCTAAGACCGGCCCAGAGTCACTCATTTGCCAGGGCTTCTTGCCTGTCAAGGAGATCCGGGTGGGGCCCAGGAGGCCCACCAGACAGATGGCTGAATCACAGGAGTGGCCGGCGGGACCCATGGCCTGAGGGCTTGTCTGGGCACCCCCACTGGATTGGGGGTGAGTCATCCCCAACTGCAGCCCCACCCCCCACGGCGCTGCTGCCTTGTGGCTCTGCAGGAACCTGTCCACTCCTCAGCCTGGTCACTGTGATTGACCTAAAGCAGCCAAGACCTGTGACCTTAGATGGAGTTAGGGGTACTCCCTCAGCATCTGCCCATGCAGAACCTTCTGGGAAATTCCCAGAAGCCACGGGGGGTCGGGGGGTTTATAGTTAAGTGCGTCATATCGTTTGTCTGGGGGAGGGGTGGGGGGGGCGGCGACCTCTCAGGGATATGGGTGAGGGCGGGTGCCTGGGTTCCCGCCTGCCGCTCCGCCCCCCGAGATCAGGGACTTTTCTCTGCTCTGCCCGAGAGACTGCAGCGGCGGCGGCGGGAGCGGGCGGACGCGCAGGCAAGACCAGGACTCGGGCTGGAGGGGCGCTGGGCTCGGACCTGCCAAGGCCACGGGGGAGCAAGGGACAGAGGCGGGGGTCCTAGCTGACGGCTTTTACTGCCTAGGATGACGCTGCGGCTTCTGGTGGCCGCGCTCTGCGCCGGGATCCTGGCAGAGGCGCCCCGAGTGCGAGCCCAGCACAGGGAGAGAGGTGGGCACCGCAAGGGAGGACCCGGCCCGGGGCACTGCACCGTGCCACCCTCCGCTCCACTCGGCCTTCATCCCCAACACCCCCCGCCCACAACCCAGCCAACTCCACGACGCCCCGCGGATTCCTCCTAATTCTGGGACTCCCCGAACCCTCCGCGATCGGTGCTGGGTTCCCTAAACCGCCTCCTATCCTGTTCCTACCCAAATTCTGGCTCCCTGGATGCGTGCGGGGTCCCCTGCCTTATGCCAATCCACGCCGGCCCCTAGAGGCTGACCTCAGTCCCAAGTCCACACCCGTGCTGGCGACTCTCCCTCCCCCGCACACCCCCAACCCTCCGCGGGAGTCTGCTCTGGGACCCACCGAGCTCAACTCCCTCCAAGGCCCTCAGGCTCAGGCCGATTCGGCCCTGGTTTGCATAAGATGAGGCCTACTCTCCCCACCATCCCAAGTCCCAGTGAGGCCACCGTGCGGGTAGGCGGGTGGTTGGCCTCCCAGAAGAGGCCCTGATCTCTCCTGCCCGCCCCAGTGACCTGCACGCGCCTTTACGCCGCTGACATTGTGTTCTTACTGGATGGCTCCTCATCCATTGGCCGCAGCAATTTCCGCGAGGTCCGCAGCTTTCTCGAAGGGCTGGTGCTGCCTTTCTCTGGAGCAGCCAGTGCACAGGGTGTGCGCTTTGCCACAGTGCAGTACAGCGATGACCCACGGTGAGTAGGGGCCCTGGGGGCTGGGGACCACGAGATCCCCACCAAGACTCCTTCCCCAGAGAGGGAGGAGACCCTGGAAACCCCAGGCCAGGTCTTTGCAGAAACAAGTTTTGGGGAACCTAGAGACCCCCTAGCCAGGACCTCCTTTGGAGACAGAGGTAAGGATTCCCTAGGTAGAACCTTCGTGCCCTGAGGCACCTCCAGGCTACTGCAAGACAGGAAGGTGCAAGACAGTGAGGCTGTGTTTTCTGATCTGGAGATGGGGAGCCCAGGAGGGGGCCCCCACGCCTGTTGGATTCTCCACGTTCTAGCCCTCTAACCCTTGCAGCCGTTCACCAGAGGTGCTCCATCTGGCCAGCATCCACTTTCCTACATCTGGACCCCTCCTCCTGCAATTATTTAATTAAGCAGCATCTTGTTCCCCACAGACTGTGAGCCCCTAAGGGCTCCTTCAGGTCTGCCCAGGCCCACCTGCAGATGGTGCACAAAGGAGCCCCTGGGGAGTTTGTTAACCTGGGGGTTCCAGAGGCAAGTGGGTGTGGAGAATGACAGAACGAAGGGACCCCTCAAGAGAGCCTGATACCCGTAACCCTCACCCTAGAGGCCTCCTCAAGGCCAGGGCCAGAAGAGATCCTGAGTCCTAGCCTGTTGCCACCCCTACCCTCCAACAGGACAGAGTTCGGCCTGGATGCACTTGGCTCTGGGGGTGATGTGATCCGCGCCATCCGTGAGCTTAGCTACAAGGGGGGCAACACTCGCACAGGGGCTGCAATTCTCCATGTGGCTGACCATGTCTTCCTGCCCCAGCTGGCCCGACCTGGTGTCCCCAAGGTGATCCCTACCCCTACCATGCCTCCCAAGATGACCCCAAATGAAGTGTCCAGGGGAACCGTGATTTGACCCCTGCACCTGTCCCAGGTCTGCATCCTGATCACAGACGGGAAGTCCCAGGACCTGGTGGACACAGCTGCCCAAAGGCTGAAGGGGCAGGGGGTCAAGCTATTTGCTGTGGGTAAGGACCGAGCAGGAGTGACAGGTCAGCTGGGGGGTGGGGGCAGTCAGAGAGCATGTGGGTGACTGAGTCCTGATGGGTCGTCACTTCAGGGATCAAGAATGCTGACCCTGAGGAGCTGAAGCGAGTTGCCTCACAGCCCACCAGTGACTTCTTCTTCTTCGTCAATGACTTCAGCATCTTGAGGACACTACTGCCCCTCGTTTCCCGGAGAGTGTGCACGACTGCTGGTGGCGTGCCTGTGACCCGACCTCGTGAGTTCCTGCCCACACGGTGTACCCTGACCTAGACCCCGGACCCCAATCCCCACTTGGCAGTGCTGATTCCATCCTATGTGCTCCTGACCCCGACCCCAACTCTGCATCATACATGCCCACCCCAATCCTCCTGCCTGATCCCCTGATCCCGCATTCCCAGCGGATGACTCGACCTCTGCTCCACGAGACCTGGTGCTGTCTGAGCCAAGCAGCCAATCCTTGAGAGTACAGTGGACAGCGGCCAGTGGCCCTGTGACTGGCTACAAGGTCCAGTACACTCCTCTGACGGGGCTGGGACAGCCACTGCCGAGTGAGCGGCAGGAGGTAGGATGTCAGGAGTGATAGGTGGTGGCTGGGGACTTGGCTGGGCAAGATAAAGTGACCTCTTGCCCTGGGCAGGTGAACGTCCCAGCTGGTGAGACCAGTGTGCGGCTGCGGGGTCTCCGGCCACTGACCGAGTACCAAGTGACTGTGATTGCCCTCTACGCCAACAGCATCGGGGAGGCTGTGAGCGGGACAGCTCGGACCAGTGAGCAATTCTGCCAGCCTCTGACCCCATTCACCTAACCCCCGACCCCAGTACCCCCTCCCACTTCTGACTCCATGAATCCCTGGTGGGACTCTCCCCCAGCTGCCCTAGAAGGGCCGGAACTGACCATCCAGAATACCACAGCCCACAGCCTCCTGGTGGCCTGGCGGAGTGTGCCAGGTGCCACTGGCTACCGTGTGACATGGCGGGTCCTCAGTGGTGAGTGAGAGATGTGGGCTGAGGGGAGTCCCCGCGCCTCAGACAAGGCTGTAGAGTCCTGAGTCTGCAAGGCCCACTGGCCCCTTGGTGTCCCCCATGCAGGTGGGCCCACACAGCAGCAGGAGCTGGGCCCTGGGCAGGGTTCAGTGTTGCTGCGTGACTTGGAGCCTGGCACGGACTATGAGGTGACCGTGAGCACCCTATTTGGCCGCAGTGTGGGGCCCGCCACTTCCCTGATGGCTCGCACTGGTGAGAAGGCTGGGCACTTTCTTCAGGCTGGGACGGGCAGGCAGGGCAAGGCCCGGAGGCCACTGACATCCCATGTGCCCTGGGCAGACGCTTCTGTTGAGCAGACCCTGCGCCCGGTCATCCTGGGCCCCACATCCATCCTCCTTTCCTGGAACTTGGTGCCTGAGGCCCGTGGCTACCGGTTGGAATGGCGGCGTGAGACTGGTCAGTGCGGGGGAAGGGATGGACAGGCAAGGGTCAGGGCATGGCCTCTGCTGGTCTGACCCTGTTATCTTGCAGGCTTGGAGCCACCGCAGAAGGTGGTACTGCCCTCTGATGTGACCCGCTACCAGTTGGATGGGCTGCAGCCGGGCACTGAGTACCGCCTCACACTCTACACTCTGCTGGAGGGCCACGAGGTGGCCACCCCTGCAACCGTGGTTCCCACTGGTGAGGGCTCTGTGGGCTGGGCCAGTGAGTGGGGGAGGTGTCGGAGCCCCAGGCTGCCTCTATGCTGTGCTCTCCAACAGGACCAGAGCTGCCTGTGAGCCCTGTAACAGACCTGCAAGCCACCGAGCTGCCCGGGCAGCGGGTGCGAGTGTCCTGGAGCCCAGTCCCTGGTGCCACCCAGTACCGCATCATTGTGCGCAGCACCCAGGGTGAGGTGGACGCAGCCAGCACCCCCACCACACACACTGAAGTTCCAGCCTGAGGGGTCTGAGTGTACCTCCAGCCCTCTCCTTCCACACCTGGGTCCCTATAGTCTCCTCCCTGTCTCGTTATCCATCTGCTTCCCAAGATGGCACTGAGCCCTGAACTGTCAACAGGGTGTGTCTGCCCCTACCCTACCCCAACCAATCTCCTCCCTGCCCCACACCCCATCCACGGCTTTCACCTCTGCACAGCCACAAGCTCAATCACCTGTCTTTCTGTTACCCTAGTGGTGACCACTGTACACCAACCTCTCATTGCATGTCCCCATCCAGCACTGACCTCTGCCATCCCACATCAGTGTCTGTCAATGGCTCATCAGTTCTCACTGCAGTCCACTGACTCCTGTCATCCTACATGCTAAGATCCCACAGACTCCTGTCCTCCAGTGTCCCTGACCATCACTGGCCCCTTTCATCCTATGTCCTTGTCTTGCACTCACTTTTTTCAGCCATATCCCAGCTCTCTGGTCCCCACCACCCCACATCCCCACCCCCATGGCCCTTCTCACTCTGCGTCCCTGTCCATCACTGCCATCGTCCCACATCCCTGTCTCTTTCTGACCCCTGCCCACCTACCCTGACTTCTCTCTTAGGGGTTGAGCGGACCCTGGTGCTTCCTGGGAGTCAGACAGCATTCGACTTGGATGACGTTCAGGCTGGGCTTAGCTACACTGTGCGGGTGTCTGCTCGAGTGGGTCCCCGTGAGGGCAGTGCCAGTGTCCTCACTGTCCGCCGGGGTGAGTACTGCAGGAGGCTTGTGGAGGACAGCTGCCTGCCTCACTCTGGTCCTGGTTCTGACTTCTGACTTCTGTCTGTAACTCCTAGAGCCGGAAACTCCACTTGCTGTTCCAGGGCTGCGGGTTGTGGTGTCAGATGCAACGCGAGTGAGGGTGGCCTGGGGACCCGTCCCTGGAGCCAGTGGATTTCGGATTAGCTGGAGCACAGGCAGTGGTCAGTGTGGGGTGTGTGGGGGGACTGCCAAAGGGACCAATGAGGGTATGGGTGCCAGAGGGGACAGGCAGGAGCCATGCCAGCATTTCCCTCTGACCTCAGGTCCGGAGTCCAGCCAGACACTGCCCCCAGACTCTACTGCCACAGACATCACAGGGCTGCAGCCTGGAACCACCTACCAGGTGGCTGTGTCGGTACTGCGAGGCAGAGAGGAGGGCCCTGCTGCAGTCATCGTGGCTCGAACGGGTCAGGCCCTGCCCCCGTCCCTTGGCTCTCTGCCTCCATTGCTCTTTCAGACCCCCATGCCTTCCCTTGCAGACCCTTGCTTCTCCCCAGAACTCCTGCCTCCCCCTTCAGAATCCCACTCCCTCCTCCCTCAGAGACGCTGCTTCCTCTTCAGTTTCAGCTGTCTCCCCTTAAGCCCTCCCCGTATTCAGATTCCTCCGCTTCTCTCCTAAGACTCCCACAGCCTTTGCCCTCAAATATCCACCACTTCAACCCTCAGACCCCCATCCCTTTTTTGCTGGACCCAAATCTCCTCTGAGATTTACACTTTCTCCTCCATCAGACCTGCTCACTGCTTCCTAAAACCTCCACCTCCCCACTCCTCCACTGGACCTATTCACCATCTCCTCTATCAAATTCCCGTCTCCTGTTAGACTCCCATCATCTTCCCCTATCAGATAGCCCCACTCCTTCCTGCCTGTTCCAGCAGACTCCCCATTGCCTCTCCCCACTAGACCCACTGGGCCCAGTGAGGACGGTCCATGTGACTCAGGCCAGCAGCTCATCTGTCACCATTACCTGGACCAGGGTTCCTGGCGCCACAGGATACAGGGTTTCCTGGCACTCAGCCCACGGTGGGGACTGGGGTTTGGGAGGGGGCAGGTCAGGGTGGAATGGGGGCTGGGGGTTTATTGGGGGTCCAGGTGGGGCTCTGGGGCACAGAGTTTGCTAGCCCTGGAGCTGCCTCCATCCCTGTTCCCAGGCCCAGAGAAATCCCAGTTGGTTTCTGGGGAGGCCACGGTGGCTGAGCTGGATGGACTGGAGCCAGATACTGAGTATACGGTGCATGTGAGGGCCCATGTGGCTGGCGTGGATGGGCCCCCTGCCTCTGTGGTTGTGAGGACTGGTGAGTGGACCCTGGCCAGCTACTAGCCACACCGCATTAGCTACCCTGCCCTGCTGTGTGTTCCTGATTGCCCAGCTGCCTCCACCCCCCTGCTCAGTGACTGTCCTGTCCACACTGACCCACCCCACACTGATTAAGTGTCCACCCACGGTGACCTCCTGGTGGCCCCACACTGCCCACCCCAAGGCACTGACCTCCTCCTCCTCAGGGCTGCCTAAAGTGACCTGTCCACACTAACCTCACACTGACTTTCAGATCACCCCTGCGTCAACCATTCCTGCACTGCCTCTCTGTTCTCTACCAGGACCCCTTACCTTGCCTCTGTCCCCAGCCCCTGAGCCTGTGGGTCGTGTGTCGAGGCTGCAGATCCTCAATGCTTCCAGCGACGTTCTACGGATCACCTGGGTAGGGGTCACTGGAGCCACAGCTTACAGACTGGCCTGGGGCCGGAGTGAAGGTATGGCTCCCTGACGCCACCCCTGTCCTTCCTGGCTGGGACTGCTCACCCCTAACCATTGCTGTATGCCCACCTGGCCAGGCGGCCCCATGAGGCACCAGATACTCCCAGGAAACACAGACTCTGCAGAGATCCGGGGTCTCGAAGGTGGAGTCAGCTACTCAGTGCGAGTGACTGCACTTGTCGGGGACCGCGAGGGCACACCTGTCTCCATTGTTGTCACTACGCGTAGGCAGAGCATGCGCTGGAGAGCTTCGGATGGGTGGTGTGGATGGTTTGGGGATCCGGGCTTGTGCTCTGGATTGGAGAAAGGACCAGGATTGGTAGTGAGCCTTTGGGGGCAGGGTCTGAGAGGAGGGAGAGGGGTCTGAGAGGCTGGGCGGGGTGCGTGTGCCAGGGTGGGCCTGGGATTGGTGCAGGGGCCATGGGGGCAGAGCCTCCCTGATTCCTGAGCTTTCTCTCCAGCGCCTGAGGCTCCGCCAGCCCTGGGGACGCTTCACGTGGTGCAGCGCGGGGAGCACTCGCTGAGGCTGCGCTGGGAGCCGGTGCCCAGAGCGCAGGGCTTCCTTCTGCACTGGCAACCTGAGGGTGAGAGGTGTCCCCAGGAGGAAGTTAGGGACCATTGGGGGCAGGGCTGTGGCAGACTCCGCAAGGTAGGCGAGGACAGTGATGGTGGGCGGGGTCTGTCACTGGGGGTCTGCGGGATCCGTGACAGTAGGTAAGATCAATCAATGAAGTGGGTGGGATCAATGAGTTCATGGAGGGTCAGTCTGGCAGGGTCCGTAAAGTGGGCAGGGTCAGTGAGGATGAGGAAGATCAGTCAGGAGGGTGAACCCAGTTAACAGAGCCAGTGAAGTGGGCAGGCCCTTTAATGCCCCCAGGTGTCACTATCCCACATGCTCTTGGCCCCCACCCTCACGCCTGCCCCAGGTGGCCAGGAACAGTCCCGGGTCCTGGGGCCCGAGCTCAGCAGCTATCACCTGGACGGGCTGGAGCCAGCGACACAGTACCGCGTGAGGCTGAGTGTCCTAGGGCCAGCTGGAGAAGGGCCCTCTGCAGAGGTGACTGCGCGCACTGGTAAGCCTGCCTCACCTTGGCGTGCTCCTCCCCTGCTGATGACCCACCCTGACTTCCTGCACCCCGACTCTGAGTGACTCCTCCTGTACCCCTACCCCTCACCCTCTGACCCTGGGTGACCCCAGCATGACCTCCCATGATGCTTCAATAAGACAAACCGGACCCAGGATCTCAGATCTCTCCCTTCTGGGTTCTCAGGACTCAGCCTCTGATCCTCGATCTTTCATTCCTCCTTCAGAGTCACCTCGTGTTCCAAGCATTGAACTACGTGTGGTGGACACCTCGATCGACTCGGTGACTTTGGCCTGGACTCCAGTGTCCAGGGCATCCAGCTACATCCTATCCTGGCGGCCACTCAGAGGCCCTGGCCAGGGTGAGGGGGAGGCCAGGATTTGGGTGGGCTGGCAGTTGGGGCTCTGTGGAGACAGCTTTTTAATCAAGTTCTGTCTCCTGCAGAAGTGCCTGGGTCCCCGCAGACACTTCCAGGGATCTCAAGCTCCCAGCGGGTGACAGGGCTAGAGCCTGGCGTCTCTTACATCTTCTCCCTGACGCCTGTCCTGGATGGTGTGCGGGGTCCTGAGGCATCTGTCACACAGACGCCAGGTATAGTGGGCGTAGTGGGAAGGGCAGAAAGGTGTGTCTGGGTGGGCTGCCCGCTTCAGTAACTTGTTCCCCTTCCTACAGTGTGCCCCCGTGGCCTGGCGGATGTGGTGTTCCTACCACATGCCACTCAAGACAATGCTCACCGTGCGGAGGCTACGAGGAGGGTCCTGGAGCGTCTGGTGTTGGCACTTGGGCCTCTTGGGCCACAGGCAGTTCAGGTTTGGCCCTGGGGCAGCCAGATTCTACCTCTCCCTGAGGCCCCCCACCCAGGCTCCATACCAGTTACCATCTCCTGACCACCCAATAGGTTCAGGCATTCTCCCAGCTCTCTCACAGGCTCCAGACCTCACCTACTGCCTGGCTCCCTATCCTGCCATCACTGCTGACTCCCTAATAGATAGGGTTTGGTCACACACACCCTGATGTGTTTCTCCAGGCTCTGTGCACCCCCATCCCTGCTCTGTCATCCTCCTCAGGCTCTGTGTTTCCTTCCACCCCAGGTTGGCCTGCTGTCTTACAGTCATCGGCCCTCCCCACTGTTCCCACTGAATGGCTCCCATGACCTTGGCATTATCTTGCAAAGGATCCGTGACATGCCCTACATGGACCCAAGTGGGAACAACCTGGGTGAGGACTGCAGCAGGCATGGACTCCTGGGGCTATCCACTGGGAGCTTGGTGCCCCAGGGTTCTGACATGTCCTTCCTTCCAGGCACAGCCGTGGTCACAGCTCACAGATACATGTTGGCACCAGATGCTCCTGGGCGCCGCCAGCACGTACCAGGGGTGATGGTTCTGCTAGTGGATGAACCCTTGAGAGGTGACATATTCAGCCCCATCCGTGAGGCCCAGGCTTCTGGTAAGGAGTAGGCTGATGGGGAAGGGGTCTGGGAATAGGGGTGGCCCTGAAAAGGCTATCATGCAGCCACTGGACCCCACCTTAGGGCTTAATGTGGTGATGTTGGGAATGGCTGGAGCGGACCCAGAGCAGCTGCGTCGCTTGGCGCCGGGTATGGACTCTGTCCAGACCTTCTTCGCCGTGGATGATGGGCCAAGCCTGGACCAGGCAGTCAGTGGTCTGGCCACAGCCCTGTGTCAGGCATCCTTCACTACTCAGGTTTGGAAGAGGCCTCTGGGGGACTGGGTGGTAGAATATAAGGGGTCTGGGGGTTCTTGGTAGAAATGTTCAACCTCAAAGAGACCCTATGTCCGCAGCCCCGGCCAGAGCCCTGCCCAGTGTATTGTCCAAAGGTAAGAGTCCCTCATCGAGAGGTGAACAGAGGCTGCACCTGGGGCTAGCCACTCTGACCCACATCTGACATGTCTTTCCCCAGGGCCAGAAGGGGGAACCTGGAGAGATGGTGAGTGCCCCTGCGGGCGGGGAATAGAGAATGGGTTGAGTGTCAGTGGGGCAGGAGAGGTTGGCAGCACAGGTCTCACTGATTACCCTTCCTAGGGCCTGAGAGGACAAGTTGGGCCTCCTGGCGACCCTGGCCTCCCGGTGAGTGTCCCCCACATCTGTCCCTGCACCCTGACTGGCTTATCCCCACCTAACTGCTATCTTCTTTCAGGGCAGGACCGGTGCTCCCGGCCCCCAGGGGCCCCCTGGAAGTGCCACTGCCAAGGGCGAGAGGGTGAGTGTGGAGACCATCGAGGTTTCTCTGAGGCACTCCTCAAAGCTGTCTCGGGGTTTTTACAAGAGAGAAGGAAGAAGCAGAGTTAGAATCATCGGGAATTCCTAGAAGCCCAGCTGGAGGTTATAAACCACCACAGAGACTTTGGGGGACACTCTGAAATAGAAGGGCCAGTGGGGCCTCTAGCCCCGCTGCAGAGCCTGAGCAGCAGCTCCAAGTCCCAGAGGCAGGGAAGCCCTCTGCCTTGTCGCTGCCCTTGTGCCTGGAATTGGGCTCTGTGAAGCTCTGAGGGGCCATTTCTCTGCCTCACTGTTCCACCCCCAATAACACTTGGGGGTCAGTGGGGTAGGCGACCCCTTGTTGATGGGGTGAGGCCCCTCCAGCAAACCAGGGGCCTTGGGGGAGGGTCCCTTCCTGTCCTGACCTCTTCACCTCCTCAGGGCTTCCCTGGAGCAGATGGGCGTCCAGGCAGCCCTGGCCGCGCCGGGAATCCTGGGACCCCTGGAGCCCCTGGCCTAAAGGTGAGCAAGCCTTGTCCTGCAGGTCAGGGTGGGCGCTGCCTGAGTGGGTGGGGTGGCTCCGACTGTTCTGCCTCTGGCCTCCATTTGCAGGGCTCTCCAGGGTTGCCTGGCCCTCGTGGGGACCCGGTAAGGTGCCTTCCCTTCTTTGCTCTCTAAGTGTCTTCCCAGGGTTCTTCCACAGGGTGGGAGCCTGGGGTGGTGGTGCAGTGCCCACGTTGACATTCGCCTGAGCCCAAGCACCACCCTCTGCTCTGTTTCGTCCTCAGGGAGAGCGAGGACCTCGAGGCCCAAAGGGGGAGCCGGTAGGTGAAGGGGGAAGGGAGGCGGCCGGGATGTCCCAGGGAGGAGCAGGACTGCCCCACACCAGACCCTGTGCAGGGCCTAAGGCGCGAATAGGAATAGCTGGACATGTCTAGGGGCTTCTTCCAGCTCAAGGCCCCCATAGCCTGAATCCTGCCCACTGCTCTCTGTCCTTACAGGGGGCTCCCGGACAAGTCATCGGAGGTGAAGGACCTGGGCTTCCTGGGCGGAAAGGGGACCCTGGACCATCGGTAAGTGCAGGGTATGTGGAGGCAAGTGATGTGTAGTGGGGGGACCAACACGAGGGGGGCGAGAGTGAGGTCTGTGGGGTTGCACCTTATACTTTGTCTCCTCCATCAGGGCCCCCCTGGACCTCGTGGACCACTGGGGGACCCAGGACCCCGTGGCCCCCCAGGGCTTCCTGGAACAGCCATGAAGGTGACAGCCTCATGAGTGCCATGTGATGCAGAGACCTGGTGACCCCATTTGAACCCACATAACCCCTGCCAGTTACTCTGGCCCTTGTGACCCTTTGATTACCCCCATCCTCACCATGACGCCTCAGTTCTCCCAAAATCCTTGAAATCCAATTGGACCCCATGACCCTCATCACTCCTGGTATCTTTGGGAGTGAGGTGTGGCCCAGGGTCATGGGGTCGTCATCTGTTTTCTAGGGTGACAAAGGCGATCGTGGGGAGCGGGTAAGTGAGGGACAGGTTGTGCTAGGGGTGGCTTGGAGTCTGATTCCCCTGTTCATTCCCTGACCTGCTGTTCTCTCCCAGGGTCCCCCTGGACCAGGTGAAGGTGGCATTGCTCCTGGGGAGCCTGGGCTGCCGGTGAGGGGCCTTGAGGCTCTGCTGGGGGCCCTGCTCAGGGGTGTGGGTCTCTCCTGGGGCAGTGGTTGGGTGCTGGGCTTCATAGTTCTTGGCTCATATTTTTACTCACTTCTTCCTAGGGTCTTCCCGGAAGCCCTGGACCCCAAGGCCCCGTTGGCCCCCCTGGAAAGAAAGGAGAAAAAGTAGGAAGGCTGACTTGATGATGTCCCAGTTCTGGGGTGGGAGGCTGCGTGCTGGGGGCAGGGCCTCCCTTCGGTCTTCCCACCCGTGTGTTTCTCCTTCAGGGTGACTCTGAGGATGGAGCTCCAGGCCTCCCAGGACAACCTGGGTCTCCGGGTGAGCAGGTGAGTGGAGGGGCCAGGGATTCTGAATATGGTGGGCACAGCTCCAGCCCCTACCTCAATCATCAACCACTGCTCCATCCTCATGCCCAAACCCAAATCTCTGAACCCCCAAATTCATCCCTTCCAGGGCCCACGGGGACCTCCTGGAGCTATTGGCCCCAAAGTGAGTACCAGTTGGGGGATTCAGGTGTGAGGGGTGCTACTCTGGGCTCCCCATGGTGTTAGGGGAGGCTGGAAGATAAGGAGATAAGAGTTCCCTCCAGGTCAGAGGTCGTGGTTTTGGAGGGGGTGGTTGGAGTTTGGGACCCCTTGTCTGGGGTTTGACGTTCAAGCCCCGCCACCAACCCTCTCTCTCTCTGTCTTTCTCTCACCCTCTCTCTTCAGGGTGACCGGGGCTTTCCAGGGCCCCTGGGTGAGGCTGGAGAGAAGGTAAGTGCAACCTGGGGGGTGCCAAGGGCCCTGGAGGATCTGGGCCCAACTCAGCTCTGACCTCTTCTTTTCCATCAGGGCGAACGTGGACCCCCAGGCCCAGCGGGATCCCGGGTAAACCCACTGGCTGCAATGCTCATACCAGCTGACCTGGCTGTGCCCTTTCTGGTTCTGACTTCTTGCCCTTGACCCCTGCTACCCCTGCTCCTCACCCCTCCTCAATGACCACTTATCCCTGCTGATACAGGCTCTAACCCTCAGCCCCAGGGACCTGGCTTTGAACCTCTGACCCTGCTGAACTGACCTTGATTTTCACTGACCTGGTCTCTGTTCTCCTGCCAAGTCTTACCCCTGCCAACCTAAATCCCAATCTTCCCTGACCCCTCTCCAGCCCCCACCCCAGCCTCTAGCCCTGTCTGTCCATATCCCCCGTCCCCACCCACCTGCACAGCTCTTCCCTTCCTCTCCTCCAGGGGCTGCCAGGGGTTGCTGGACGTCCTGGAGCCAAGGGTCCTGAAGTGAGTCTGTGACTGTGGTGGGACCAGGAGTGGGACTTTTGTGTGTCCCTCCCCTTTCCCTTCCCCTCCTGGGCTCACACTTTCTCTACATTCAGGGGCCACCAGGACCCACTGGCCGCCAAGGAGAGAAGGTGGGTCCTCGGCTGGGGGTGGCACTGTCTGGTACTAGGGATGTGGCAGATGGGACACTGGGATTTTGGGCTCCTAGGTGACTCCCTGACCTGTCCCTGCTCCTATCCTCTCTCCACAGGGGGAGCCTGGTCGCCCTGGGGACCCTGCAGTGGTGGTGAGTGACGGGAGGATGGCGCTCTGAGCACAGCACAGCCCTTGAGCAGTGACCCTCCTATAGAACACTATCTGGGCTGTGATTCCACAGTGCTGGGCCCGTGAGCAGGCTGGGAGCTCTGCGGCTCTCCTTCTGCTAGAACCTGCCCCCAGACTCTTGGCTATGATCCTGTGACCCCAAGACCGCCATGCAGGTCATGAGCTCTTTGTGTCAGTCCATTTTGTATAACCCCTTCCCTGCTGTCAGCGGTGACTCTGTGACTTCTGGGCGGGGACTGAGCTGTATGACTTCCAATTCCATGTGACCTCCATTCCAATGAAGACTTTGATCATACAACCCCAAGGCAGGGCCAAGCTGTATCTGTCCTGTTTGTTTTCAGGGACCTGCTGTTGCTGGACCCAAAGGAGAAAAGGTAAGCCTGGTATGGGGCAAGGGGAGGTTTCTACAGGGTTGAGGTCTAGGTCATAGGGCCTATCTATGGGACTTGGGGGGTCACAGGACTTGCTGGGTCAGGGGGTTAACTGGAGCCTGGGACTAGCACTGATGGTCTTTGTCACCTCCAGGGAGATGTGGGGCCCGCTGGGCCCAGAGGAGCTACCGGAGTCCAAGGGGAACGGGTAAGTGAAGCGAAGTGTTTAGGGGGCAGTTGGTGAAGGTTGTCTTCCTGACTTCTTATCCTTCCATCCACAGGGCCCACCCGGCTTGGTTCTTCCTGGAGACCCTGGCCCCAAGGGAGACCCTGGAGACCGGGTGAATCAATGTGGGAATGGGGAGTGTGACAGAGGGAGATGAGGTGGTGGGACCCTGACTAAGTCCTGCCCCCCTTCTGTCCCCTTCAGGGTCCCATTGGCCTTACTGGCAGAGCAGGACCCCCAGTGAGTACCCGTTACCCTGGGCAACCTCAAGGCTTCTGGGGTCCCCTCCCCTTGAGAACTGCTTGCTTCGAGCGTCCTGCATCACCTCCCTCTTGCCTCCTCCACAGGGTGACTCAGGGCCTCCTGGAGAGAAGGGAGACCCTGGGCGGCCTGGCCCCCCAGGACCTGTTGGCCCCCGAGGACGAGATGTAAGAGGCTGGAGTCGGGGGAGTCATGGCGGGTAAGGGAGTAGGGCTGTTGCCAGCATCATGGGGGTTCTTGGAACCAGGGCTGACTCTCATGTTTCACAGGGTGAAGTTGGAGAGAAAGGTGACGAGGGTCCTCCGGTGAGACTCCTTCCCACTGTGGTTTCTGATCCTTTACCCTTGAACTAGGATCCCAGTAGGCTGGTGCTCCACCAGTTCATCCATCCACTCCCTGCCTCCTGTCCAGCTGCTGCTCAGACCCTTCTCTGTCCCCTCTCCCTGAGTGAGTTAGATCCTGACTGCCCTGTGCAGTATGACTTTTCTCTCTATCACCAGGGTGACCCGGGTTTGCCTGGAAAAGCAGGCGAGCGTGGCCTTCGGGTGAGTCTTGGCAGAGAGAAGTAACAGGGGTGATGGGAGGTGGGCATGAAGGTGATAGGAAAGGCTGAGGGGGGTAAGGGGTGATGGGAGTCCCTGCAGGGAGGCATGGGGTGATGGGAACCTCTGATGTGGATTTTGGAGTAATGGGGAACCTGGGGCAGTGTAGCGGGTCATAGGGGCACCTGCAAAATATTGGGAGGGTCTGTCTCAGGCCAGCTGCTCTTCTTAGGGGGCACCTGGAGTTCGGGGGCCTGTGGGTGAAAAGGGAGACCAGGGAGATCCTGGAGAGGATGGACGAAATGTGAGTCCCAGCCTATGACTCCTCACCCCAACCTTAACCCTCCAACCAGCCAATTCCCAATACCTGATCCTACCCCCCAACCCTGTAATGCTAAACCCTCCCAATCTTCACTTCCTTTGACCCCTGCACACACGCATCTGAAGGCTACCAACATTCCCATGAGTCCTCATGGTGCTTCCAAAGCTCTCCCAAACTGCTGCCTACCTTGAGTGGCCCTGACCCCTGCCTTTCTGCAGGGCAGCCCTGGATCATCTGGACCCAAGGGTGACCGTGGGGAGCCGGTGAGTAGGGCTGGTGTCCTGGGCTCAGAAGGGATGGAGGGTCCCCTGGCGCTGCTGCCAGTGTGCCTTCACACAAGGGGTCTGGAGGTCCAGGTGGGAAGCATGGATGGCCACCCATGCCTGCTGGGGGCTGGCATTGGGGTGCTTCGGGGAACTTGGGGGCAGAGTTGAGCCTGGGGCAAACCAGAGCCATGGCCTGGGACCTGAGGGCTCCTATTGACTATAATCATTTCCTTTCCCAGGGTCCCCCAGGACCCCCGGGACGGCTGGTAAGGGCTGCGCTGGGTCTGGTCCTCTGTCATTGTTCTCACTTGCCCCTTTGGCTCCACATCATGTCCCCTCATTCCTTCCACTAACTCCCACTTCCCCCACTGTCCCTCTGAAACCTCCGCGGATCCCTGGAGCCCCTCACAGACCCTGTATCCCCTCGCCAACTCCTCTTCCCCTTGTTGAGCCATTCTTCTCACTGGTCATTCCCCCCACAGGTAGACACAGGACCTGGAGCCAGAGAGAAGGTATTAGGGTCTGTGGGTGGAGGGTAAGAAAGACCCCAGTGCCCCTCCCAGCAGGTTCTACCTTGGGCATGGCTTGGCTTCAAGGCTGTTCCTCAGCAAGCTTATCTCTGCCACAGGGAGAGCCTGGGGACCGCGGACAAGAGGGTCCTCGAGGGCCCAAGGGTGATCCTGGCCTCCCTGGAGCCCCTGGGGAAAGGGTGAGTGTGATTGGTCCTCGGGGGTGCAGGCATGGGAGGGCCTGCTCTGATTTCTTCCTCCCCTATCCTCAGGGCATTGAAGGGTTTCGGGGACCCCCAGGCCCACAGGTGAGTGATGCACTTTGCCCCGTCTGCCAAGTCCCCATCTTACCCTCACCTCTTATCTGACCCTGTTCCCTCCAGGGGGACCCAGGTGTCCGAGGCCCAGCAGGAGAAAAGGTGAGAGGGTGTGGGGGTTTCTCAGGACATGAGCCTGGGTTATCAGATCCACCTCAGCCTTGGTGGCCTCTTACCACTCTATTTTCCACAGGGTGACCGGGGTCCCCCTGGGCTGGATGGCCGGAGCGGACTGGATGGGAAACCAGGAGCCGCTGGGCCCTCTGGGCCGAATGTGAGTCTTGGTAGTCCTGCCTGGTTGTCCCCTTCCCCTACCCCTTCACATGAGGACCCTAGACCCCAGCCTCATTGGTTGGTCTTGGCCTTGACGAGCTCTGGGGCGAGACCTGTTGTCTGTGTCTTCTCCCAGAGCCCTGCCTGGGTGGGGCATGTTCTTGCCATGCAGGCCTTAGGCTCACAGGGACTAGAGCCCCTGACCCCATGACCATGATGAACTGACTTTGAGTCTCTCCTCAGGGTGCTGCAGGCAAAGCTGGGGACCCAGGGAGAGACGTAAGTGAGGGGAGATGCTGGGACAGAGGGGGCTCGGGGCTGCGTAAGCTCCAACCAGATCATCATAGTCACAGCATCCGAGAGAGTTGGTGGGGGGTCGGTTCAGCCTTGCCTTTGGGAGGGTCTCAGTCCCTGGCACACAGGTTTTAGTAGAATCCCCCTTTCTGACCTTCTTTGCCTTGGGGGTCTTCATAGGCCCTCCAAGTCCTGGGGGTTCTTCCCTTGGGAGTCTCAGCAGGGGCCCCCATCCATGGGGTCTGTGCCTGAGGGATCTCAATGGGACCTCTCAGTCCTGGGGGTCTCTACCCTGGAGGGAGATCTTTTTGGGGTCCTCTTAGTCCATGGGGTGTGCCCCAAGGGATATCTCAGAGGCCCTATAAATCTTAACAAAGACTTTTTCCAGGGGCTTCCAGGCCTCCGTGGAGAACAGGGCCTCCCTGGCCCCTCTGGTCCCCCTGGATTACCGGTGAGACCAGACTTTCATGTTACCCCCTTTTCCCCCTTACTACCCTCACCCGATCCCCGACATCCAACCAGTGATCTGTTCCCACAGGGAAAGCCAGGCGAGGATGGCAAACCTGGCCTGAATGGAAAAAACGTGAGTGTGTCCAGGGCAGCTGCGGCGAAACCTGCCAAGAAACGCCAGCACACCTACACAGCCAAGATCTGTAGCAACACATGAGGCACACGTGTAGACACATGCATCCTGGCCCAGACATACAGATGCATCCAGAAACATAGTTTTTTTTTTTTTGAGATGGAGTTTCGCTCTTGTTGCCCAGGTTGGAGTGCAGTGGCACAATCTCAGCTCACTGCAACCTTCGACTCTCGGGTTCAAGTGATTCTCCTGCCTCAACCTCCCGAGTAACTGGGATTACAGGCATGCGCCACCATGCCTGGCTAATTTTGTATTTTTAGTAGAGATGGGGTTTCTCCATGTTAGTCAGGCTGATCACAAACTGACCTCAGGTGATCCGCCCGCCTCGGCCTCCTAAAGTGCTGGGATTACAGGCGTGAGCCATTGCGCCAGGCCTGGAAACATAGTTCTATATGCACACACAGGCAGCCTCACAGACACATAGGGAGTTAGGTGAATGGGCCAATTTATGCCAGGATGGGCTGACACATGCCCAGATAACCCACAGCCATAGGCACAGGTGAAGAGCCACAGACAGGTCGACAGGCACAAACACACTGGTGTGTAGCCACATTTGGGGCACTTAGAGACATGTTGATACCCAGACACTTCCACCCAGACTCATGTGCTAAGACATGGACCCAAGACCGCATGTGGACCTGTGTTGAGACATGGTGAGACACACATGGATGGCTCTGACCTGTGACATGTGCTAGGACATGCTGGCCCATGACTTTATATGGTCACCCACACGCTTATGGTCATACACATTGAGCTACACACAAGAGTTGCAGACAGATGCCAAGACACATGGCTCTCAAGGCATGTATAAGCCCATGCTCTTTGGAGACATGTATAAGCCCATGCCCATATGCAGACATGGGCCAAGATGTGCAAACAGACCAGGACACACAGACCCATGGGTACATGTACTAAGACACACATGGATATGCACACACCCAGGACATGTGGACGATCACCAACCCAGAGATGCATAAATGTGGAGCTACCTCTAGAGAGCCAGAGTCAAAGGACATGTGTGCAGTTGCCTGTTGGGGTGAGCAGGCCTATGCAGGCACACCCTTAGACATGTAGCAGCTCACTCAGACGGCCACAGGCCATGCTCCAAGACACACACAACCATGGAGCTACAGGCACAGAAATACAGTCACAGTCATCTGAAATCTAGCAAGGTAGTGTCTTGCAGCCAGACACCAGTGAATGTTTGGGCTGATGTGAGTCCTCTGCCCACAGGGAGAACCTGGGGACCCTGGAGAAGACGGGAGGAAGGTAAAGTCCCCCACCTGGGGTCTCTCTGGTCTCTGCTTGGAGCCATGCCTGAAGCATCCTTGTCTTCCTTAGGGAGAGAAAGGAGATTCAGGCGCCTCTGGGAGAGAAGTGAGTATTGGAGTTTTCTGCAACCTCTGACCCCTGACCCTGACCCTGGGGGAATATGACTCCACTCTTTTCTGAGGTCTCAGGGTGCTGATGCTGGCTGCATCCTTCACAGGGTCGTGATGGCCCCAAGGGTGAGCGTGGAGCTCCTGGTATCCTTGGACCCCAGGGGCCTCCAGGCCTCCCAGGGCCAGTGGGCCCTCCTGGCCAGGTGAGTGTCCTGGGTCATTCTGGGACTTCAGAGCATTAGAAGCCATGATGTTTCAATGGGCAACCCTCCTGGGAAGCCATGGGCCTTTGTGACCCCTTTGTGTTCTGCCGTATCTCAGGGTTTTCCTGGTGTCCCAGGAGGCACGGGCCCCAAGGTGAGTGCGGATGTTGGGTAGGGGGCGTGGTGAGGGGGCTGACCAGGCTGGGGGCCATTTCCCCACCTGGTCATTCTTGTTTTCAGGGTGACCGTGGGGAGACTGGATCCAAAGGGGAGCAGGTGAGGCCCCCACCTTTTCCACATGCCCAGGTAGCCACAGCACCCACATGTGCACATGCACACCCATAGGCTGGTTCCTAGCAGTTTGTCTTCATCTCTCCAGGGCCTCCCTGGAGAGCGTGGCCTGCGAGGAGAGCCTGGAAGTGTGCCGGTGAGCCAGGCTTGGGATGTCCCCTTGACTCTGTTTTGCATGCCCATTGGGGCCACCTTGCCATCCCCTTCCCCTTGCCATGAGGCTCCATAGGTTCTGTGCTGTGTGTTCAGTGCCCTGCCCCATTGGGGTTCTTGTAGCCCACACTCAAGGGAACTTGGGCAGTGGGGACACACCAGAAAGGGGCTCCCAGGAGTCTCCAGCCATGCCTCAACCAAGTGCTAAAGGGTGCTCTGGGCAAGAGGCCTAGGGAAAAGGGTGTGAAGGTGCTTTCCTGAGGCCGTGCGGGGCAGAAGGCAGGAGCTTCTCTGTCATGGGCAGCCCTTCACCCAGACTTTGTCCCCAGAATGTGGATCGGTTGCTGGAAACTGCTGGCATCAAGGTGGGTTGTTTAGGGGCTGGGGGTAGGGACAAGTGGGGGCCCTTGGGGCTAGTGGTGCCCACAGGCATAGGGGCTGCGGCGACGCACCCCGCTCCTCTGACCTCTTGCTGTCCCTCAGGCATCTGCCCTGCGGGAGATCGTGGAGACCTGGGATGAGAGCTCTGGTAGCTTCCTGCCTGTGCCCGAACGGCGTCGAGGCCCCAAGGGGGACTCAGGCGAACAGGGCCCCCCAGGCAAGGAGGTGAGCAGAAGTGGCTCAGTGGGTTGTGCCCCGTGGAGTGGGGTGTAGCTGTACAGCCACCAGCATTCTCTCTTCCACTCCTGCAGGGCCCCATCGGCTTTCCTGGAGAACGCGGGCTGAAGGGCGACCGTGGAGACCCTGGCCCTCAGGGGCCACCTGGTCTGGCCCTTGGGGAGAGGGGCCCCCCCGGGCCTTCCGGCCTTGCCGGGGAGCCTGGAAAGCCTGGTATTCCCGGGCTCCCAGGCAGGGCTGGGGGTGTGGGAGAGGCAGGAAGGCCAGGAGAGAGGGTGAGGCTGGGGGCTGGCCAGGAGAGTGAGGGAAGAGGGGTTGGGAGGGGTGGGACCCCCCATGGGCTTGGCCCTCACCCGCTATTTGCATTTCAGGGAGAACGGGGAGAGAAAGGAGAACGTGGAGAACAGGTGGGCTGCGATGGGCTTCGTGGGGCAGGCTGTCTGGAGGCTGTGCTGGGGCTGCCACCCCATTTTCTTGTTTCCTGCAGGGCAGAGATGGCCCTCCTGGACTCCCTGGAACCCCTGGGCCCCCCGGACCCCCTGGCCCCAAGGTGATCACCCCATCCCTGCCTTAGTCCTGTGACTAGTGACCAGGAAGCCACCCTTAGCTTGGTCCCCAGAAATATGGTAGTGTGTGCCATAACCCTGGAATTTCTGACCCTATAACCCTCTGTGATCCTGAGATCTGTGATGACTCCCCCATGCCTCTATGACAGAGACATCTCTCCCCTGTGACCTTGTGTTTGTAGGTGTCTGTGGATGAGCCAGGTCCTGGACTCTCTGGAGAACAGGGACCCCCTGGACTCAAGGGTGCTAAGGTCAGTGTGTGGAATCAGCTCGGGGCCACCCTCTGCCATGGCACTAGGGACTGACTTGACATCTCATCCCCACAGGGGGAGCCGGGCAGCAATGGTGACCAAGGTCCCAAAGGAGACAGGGTGAGGCCTCTCTCCACCCTTCCATAGAGTCCCCCTCCTTTCTGGGGGCACACTAGAGGTGGTGTGCATATGCACCTGGGCACGTGGCAGGGACTGGGGGCTCAGGGCACGACACTCTGCCTTCAGGGTGTGCCAGGCATCAAAGGAGACCGGGGAGAGCCTGGACCGAGGGGTCAGGACGGCAACCCGGTAAGTCCTTGCCCAACAGCCACACATGTGCAAGAAGGTGGCTCTCACATGTATTGTCCTGTGTGCAGGGCTGGGGTCTGTACTGCCTGGGACTGTCTGGGTCCTGACTCTGTCTAGGGGGATGGTGGGTGGAGGGGAAGTTGGAACTGGGAAACTAAGGCCTTAAACCTATTCTCTGCAGGGTCTACCAGGAGAGCGTGGTATGGCTGGGCCTGAAGGGAAGCCGGTGAGTGGTGGCTGAAGCACCTGGCCCCAGGCTCCGGACCCTCCGCTAGGTGCTGCTGCTGCTGTGTGTGTGCATGTCTGTGTGTGTGTGTTTGTGTGTACCTGTGTCTGTGTGCCTCTCTGTGTGTGCCTGCTTGTGTGTGCCTGTGTCTGTGTGTGCCTGTGTGTGCCTGTGTCTGTGTGTGGTTGTATGTGGATGTGTGTGTGCAGGCCCGTGTGTGCTATCTATGAGAGGCAGTCCATGGGTAGGTATTATCTGTGACTGGAAAGGGTGAGGTATGGAAATTGACCCCCAAGGAAAAAGCCCCCAGAGGTTGGGAACAGGCCCAAGTGAGGCCCAGATTGAGGCTCATCAGTGCCCTCTCTATGTAGGGTCTGCAGGGTCCAAGAGGCCCCCCTGGCCCAGTGGTGAGTACCCAAGAACCTTCACCTGTCTTGCCCCCATCCTGTGCCCTGCCCCAGTGACCAGTACTGCCTCAGTTTCCTTGGTGGGGTGCGGCTAACTCCCCCTCATCAGACTCTTTTTCGCCACAACAGGGTGGTCATGGAGACCCTGGACCACCTGGTGCCCCGGTGAGTGACCAGGGAACACTGCCTGGTGAGGGTCTGGAAGGGCTGGGATAGGCATTGGCCACAGCTGATGAGCCAGGCCTTCTCTGTGTTAATCCCTGAGCCCTGTTCCCTGCCCTTGACCCTTTTCTCTAGGGTCTTGCTGGCCCTGCAGGACCCCAAGGACCTTCTGGCCTGAAGGTGAGTCTAGGTGTGTGGATAGGAGGAGGAGGCTCCTTCAAGCTGTGTCCATGCCTGGGGTAGTGTGCGCCAACCTCCTGGGCTGTCATCTCCTGCAATGAGGATGAGCTCCAGGAGCCCTGGCCACGTGGGCTCTGCTCATGCAGTCTCTGGGTTGTTTGCAGGGGGAGCCTGGAGAGACAGGACCTCCAGGACGGGTGAGTGGCCTAGCTCACAGGTTAGGGTCATAGGGAGATGGGTGGGGTTGGCACTGCCCTGAACTTTCTCTTCCTCCAGGGCCTGACTGGACCTACTGGAGCTGTGGGACTTCCTGGACCCCCCGGCCCTTCAGGCCTTGTGGTGAGTGAGTCCCTGTGGCCCCTGTAGGGACACCGTGTTTTCACTCCTTGGGGCCCATGTTCTCTCATGTCGTCCTGTGTCCATTGTCACCCTGACATCCGACTTGTTCTCCGTCAGGGTCCACAGGGGTCTCCAGGTTTGCCTGGACAAGTGGTGAGTTCTGGGGGTCAAGGGTTGGGCTCCAGGGGTCAAGGGTCGACAGGCAGCCCTGACAGAGCTCTTCCCTCTCAGGGGGAGACAGGGAAGCCGGGAGCCCCAGGTCGAGATGGTGCCAGTGGAAAAGATGGAGACAGAGGGAGCCCTGGTGTGCCAGTATGTGTTCTGGGGGCAGCTCGCTAGGGTGTGGTGCCCAGCTGTGGGCCTGAAATATGAGGAGTGGGGCAGCAGGGGTGGTGGTGGAGAGGCACTGAGTTCCTCACGCTGCTCTGCCATAGGGGTCACCAGGTCTGCCTGGCCCTGTCGGACCTAAAGGAGAACCTGGCCCCACGGGGGCCCCTGGACAGGTGATCTTTGACCCTGACTTCCACCCCCTGCAGCAACTCCTCTGCCTCACCCACAAGCCTGTTTCCAAATGCCATGGGGGTGGCAGGGTGGGGGCGGGGGAGGAGGAGGAAACTCACTAGCATTCCCCACAGGCTGTGGTCGGGCTCCCTGGAGCAAAGGGAGAGAAGGTGAGTGTGTGTGGGGCTGCCAGTGAGGGGGGGTCAACTGGTGGGGGCCAAGGAATCCCACTGACCTCTCCCCCTTACCAGGGAGCCCCTGGAGGCCTTGCTGGAGACCTGGTGGGTGAGCCGGTAAGTAGGGAACTTCTGACAGCAGATGTTCTGGGGGTCCTGTCTCTCCAGTGGCCTAACTTCTGACCTTCGACCCATAGTTTACCCACCCTCATGACCCTCAGCTTTCATAGTAGACCGCATATTTAAGCTCTGGCCCCATGCCTCCCTCCGGAGTCTCATCTTTCTGTGACTGATGCCTGTGTTGCCTCCTGACCTCTGTCAACAGGGAGCCAAAGGTGACCGAGGACTGCCAGGGCCGCGAGGCGAGAAGGTGAGGTGGGTTGGCCCTGGGGCCTGACTACTGAGCAGAGAAGGCTCAGTCCAGACACCCCTCACCTGCCATTCTGTGCAGGGTGAAGCTGGCCGTGCAGGGGAGCCCGGAGACCCTGGGGAAGATGTGAGTCCGGGGCCTAGGCAAGGGCGAGCCTGGCCTGAGGAGTGTGATGGCGGGCATAAGGGGCCACTCTTGGGCCGGGGCACATGTCTGAGCCCCTGAGTCGGGCTGCATGTCCCAACATCCAGGAGCCTGCTCTCTGGATCACAGGGAGCCACACACTGTCGGCTTCCACACTCTGAGCTCTGGGGGCCCTGTCTTGGCTTCTGTGTGCCCATCCTTGGTCTGTTTCTCACCACATCTGGGCACACGTGTGCTCTGGTCTGATCTCCCAGATCCCAGGACACACCTGAGTTCTTGTGAACCTCTCCTTGGTCCTGTGTTTACAATCCTCCTTTCCCCTGCCCCTGGCTGCCAGCGTTCAGCCTGTGGCCATGCCTGCTCTACCCGGGAGTGGACGTGTTGGGGTTCCCCTCTGAGCGCCCGTGTGTCCGCACTCACGTCTGTGGAGCCAGATGTCTGCACTCGCGTGTGGGCTCCCTGTGCCTGTGCCATGCCTGAACTCCCACCTGTCTATGGTAGTATCTGAGCGTCCCTCTGTCTGTGCTGTCCTGAGATAGGCCATGGTCATGTCTGAGCTCCTGTGAGCCAATTCTTGGTCGCATGTCTGAGTTCCCATGTGTTCATGGTCACATCAGAACTCCCCTGGGAATATTTTCAGCCCGTGTCTGAACTCTGTGCTCATGTTCCTACCCTCTCAAATGCTGTTTGCTGGGTTTTCTTAGGGTCAGAAAGGGGCTCCAGGACCCAAAGGTTTCAAGGTATGTGTACCCAGAAGGGTCCCTGCTGGGGTCCTGGTCGTGAGACTCCCTGAGCTTGATCCGATGCCTCTTTTCCTCAAAGGGTGACCCAGGAGTCGGGGTCCCGGGCTCCCCTGGGCCTCCTGGCCCTCCAGGTGTGAAGGTAAGTCAATGCCCCATCACCAGTTGTAGGGGCAGCAGGCCGGGCCCCCACAGGAGGAAGAGGGAGTTCTGATGAGAGTCCTGGGAGGGGTCCTGCATTGACCATTCCCTCCCTTTGCTGTTTTTATTTCAGGGAGATCTGGGCCTCCCTGGCCTGCCCGGTGCTCCTGGTGTTGTTGGGTTCCCGGGTCAGACAGGCCCTCGAGGAGAGATGGGTCAGCCAGGCCCTAGTGGAGAGCGGGTGAGGGGCTGGGAACAGCATGTAGGGGCATGGTGAATCCATGGTGGGTGAGGAGGGGGCCCTGCCTTGGGGGTTCCCAGTCTTGAGGGGGCAGAGGGTAGGAGGGTTCCCAAGTCACTCTCTGCCTCTCTTGCCCCATTTTTCTGGTAGGGTCTGGCAGGCCCCCCAGGGAGAGAAGGAATCCCAGGACCCCTGGGGCCACCTGGACCACCGGGGTCAGTGGTGAGTAGAGGTGCCCTAAAGCCCCACGTATTTGATTTCCTGTCCTCGTGAGGACTTAGGATGGGGCGGGCCACACTGTGGGGTGTTGGGGGAGGCGCTTTGAGAGCCACAGGACCCTCACCTCACTCTGACCTACAGGGACCACCTGGGGCCTCTGGACTCAAAGGAGACAAGGTAGGTGGGACAAGTGCTGCTGACTCTCTCTTGTGCCCTGGTCACCCCCTTCAGCCTCCACTGACCTCCCATGACCCTGCGTCCCCCACTGATTCCCCTCACTGATCCCCGGTGTCCTGTTGGTCTCCAGGGAGACCCTGGAGTAGGGCTGCCTGGGCCCCGAGGCGAGCGTGGGGAGCCAGGCATCCGGGTACGTATGTCTTACTCCACAGCCGAACTCCCTTCATCCCAGCTCTTGCCTCTGATTTCCAACCTCTGAGTCAATGAACCTAATGTCACCATCCAGGGTGAAGATGGCCGCCCCGGCCAGGAGGGACCCCGAGGACTCACGGTGGGTCCCGCTGGGGAAAGTGACAGTGCTGTGACTTCAGTCCCCTGCCTGTGCCCTTTGTACCCCAGGACTCTCTGCCATCCTCCCTAGCCCTCTGGCCCTCCTCGTCTACCCCTGTCCCCTTTGTCTGGTCCCCACTGTTTCCCTCCTCCCCCTGATCCTCCTCCGTCCTCCACTGCCCTGGTTCCTGTAGCTCACGGTCACCTTCTCTCACACAGGGGCCCCCTGGCAGCAGGGGAGAGCGTGGGGAGAAGGTAGGAACGTGGGGAAGGTCCTGGCATGAGTGGGGGGGTGAGTGGATCTTGTATGATATTAGAATTCAGGTGCGGGGCCTCCCCAGTTTGGGCGGGACTCACACTCTTTTGCCCAATAGGGTGATGTTGGGAGTGCAGGACTAAAGGGTGACAAGGTGAGTGTGGGCATGGGGAGGGCAGGGCAGGGGCCAGGGTGCTCCCGACTCCTCTGATTCCTGCCTGCCCCCTCAGGGAGACTCAGCTGTGATCCTGGGGCCTCCAGGCCCACGGGGTGCCAAGGGGGACATGGTGAGTGGGCCCACGTGTGGACTGGGTCTCCCCTGGGTGCGAGAGGGACCCCGTGGGGCTGGCCCAGGGCATCTGAGAGCTCAAACTCCCAGAGGGTGAGGGACCTTCAGCCCCTTACCGTGACTTCTTACCCAAACCAACCCAGGGTGAACGAGGGCCTCGGGGCTTGGATGGTGACAAAGGACCTCGGGGAGACAATGGGGACCCTGGTGACAAGGTACAGGGAAGAGGGTGGTGTACTCTCTGTGGGGTCCTGTGGCTGTGGTGGTTCCACAGCATCTGTGAGGGCAGGAGGGGAGGACAGGAGGAGGCTTTCTGGGGTTTAGGGGGAAGGGGTTCTGTGGCTGACTATGGAGTGGCCGAGAGGAGGGGCTCTAGGGAGGGCTCAAGGCCTTGGTGTGAGGTTAGGAGAGCTCTGTGGACTGGCCCTATGAAGGGGCCCTATAGGGACAGGAAAGGGGCTCCTTGGGTGTCCCCATCTGAAGGTGCTTCAGATGGGATGAGGAACCCAGTGATAAGAGGGCGGGGCAAGGGTCTGGAGTCCTTGGGGTGAGAAATGAGCCAGTCTGTGGACTACAGCCCCCAGTTCCACCCGCTATGGCACAGGCTGGGAGGACGTGCTGCTAGGGCCGTTCGGGAGTGACTTGAGCTCTGCCCCAGCTGGCGGGCTCGTTGTATTCTAAGCCCCCAGCCTGATCTGGTCCTGACTGAATCCCTCTCCTGGTCACTCCCACAGGGCAGCAAGGGAGAGCCTGGTGACAAGGGCTCAGCCGGGTTGCCAGGACTGCGTGGACTCCTGGGACCCCAGGCAAGTTCTGCCCCAGGCCCAGGCCCAGGCCCAGGTCCAGAGCCAGCATCACACACACACATATCCTGGGGGTCCTCTTAAGTGCTGGGGGTTCTGGCTCCCTTGCTGCCGGCCCCATGTGTGTTCACCCGGGATCTGTGTGTGGCCTGGGCCCTGGCCGCTGAGCATCTGAGTGGCCACACATGCAGCGGATGGGCCAGTGTTGGGGACAGTCCCACTGAAGGGCTCCCCCATCTGTGTTTCTCACAGGGTCAACCTGGTGCAGCAGGGATCCCTGGTGACCCGGTAAGATGCCCCTGCTCCCACAGGGGCCCCCTGTCCCCAGAGGGCCCCCGTCACCATGGTGGTCCCACCAGTGTGGTAGCTTTTGACCTTATAGTGACCCAGTGCTCTCATGGTGTCCTCATGTCACCCAGGGTCCCCCACCTCCACAGTAGCCGCCTATGATGGTGTCCCCTGCCTATGGTGACCCTTGTCCCCATGGCAAGCCCCAGTGGCTCTGGCCTCCAGAGGTGACTCCCACCCCATGGTGTTCCCTACCCACTATCCAGGGCGATTCTCTTTGGTCCCTCACTGACCTCCTCTGACCTCACATGGACCCTCTCCCTGCTAGGGATCCCCAGGAAAGGATGGAGTGCCTGGTATCCGAGGAGAAAAAGGAGATGTTGGCTTCATGGGTCCCCGGGGCCTCAAGGTAGGAAAGAAACAAGATTGGTTTTTTTCTGGTCAGGAAGGCCTAATGTTGAAGGGCGAGGGACCTGGGGTCAGATATTAGGGCACTGGGTCAGAGGTTGGAGTAGCTGAGGCCTGTTTGGAGAGTTAGTTTCAGGGTGAAGGGGGTCACAGAGTGAGGTGTCTGGGAATCACTTCTTCATCTGCTTTTCTCCCTCAGGGTGAACGGGGAGTGAAGGGAGCCTGTGGCCTTGATGGAGAGAAGGGAGACAAGGTACAGAGGGGATGGGGGCTGGGGGGCTACGTGGCCTGGGGCCTAAGGCTCACCCCACTGCCTGATGCCTGCAGGGAGAAGCTGGTCCCCCAGGCCGCCCCGGGCTGGCAGGACACAAAGGAGAGATGGTGAGTGTGGGCACGCTCAGAATGAGGGGGCCACGGGTGGACGGGGGCCAAGTTCATGTCTTTTTTTCTCCAGGGGGAGCCTGGTGTGCCGGGCCAGTCGGGGGCCCCTGGCAAGGAGGGCCTGATCGGTCCCAAGGTACAGGGTCTGTGGACAGTGGACATGACAGGGAGTCAGGATGGGGCAGGGAAGCTCATGGTCGGGTCATGGGGGTGTAGGGACAAGGAAGGCTGTAGAGGGTTGGGACTTTGGGGGCTGAAGTGGGGCTGGTCTCGAGGTGTCAAGGTGGGTTGGGGTCACAGTGGAGTTAGGATGAAAGCATGGGAGGTGGAGGGGGCATGTGCATCAGGGCAGGGGGCTATAGTGGAGTTGGAGTCATGGGGATCACATCTGGTTGGCTCACAGGTGCTTGGGTTACAGAAGGTTTGGGCATTAGGCCAGGGAGCTCATGGGAGTTCAGGGAGGTTCCAGAGCTGAGGGAGGTCAGGGCAGAAGGTCTCTCATGCTTCTTCTGTTCCCAGGGTGACCGAGGCTTTGACGGGCAGCCAGGCCCCAAGGGTGACCAGGGCGAGAAAGGGGAGCGGGTGAGTTGAAGCCATGGTCATGGTGAATTGAGGGGAGCGTGCACTTTGGGAGAGGGTCCATCTCTGGGGCCTCTGATTACTGACTCTGTCCTATATCTCCCCAGGGAACCCCAGGAATTGGGGGCTTCCCAGGCCCCAGTGGAAATGATGGCTCTGCTGGTCCCCCAGGGCCACCTGGCAGTGTTGGTCCCAGAGGCCCCGAAGGACTTCAGGGCCAGAAGGTAAGGGGCCCCAGCTCTGACTCCTGATCCCTGAACCTTCCCTACCCTTCCAACCTCATAACCATCTTCCAGCCTGCCTGCCCCAACCTCTGAAGCTGTGGCCCCCAACCTGCCTGACTCTGATCCCCACTGCCTCTGACCCTGCTCACTTGGTCCCTGTGTCTGACAGGGTGAGCGAGGTCCCCCCGGAGAGAGAGTGGTGGGGGCTCCTGGGGTCCCTGGAGCTCCTGGCGAGAGAGGGGAGCAGGTGAGTAGGGATTCCAAGGCTTGGGTCAGAGATCGGGGTGACTTCTGTTGTCCCTGAGGTCAGAGGTCACAGCCTGGTCCCATCTGTTGCACATAGGGGCGGCCAGGGCCTGCCGGTCCTCGAGGCGAGAAGGGAGAAGCTGCACTGACGGTGAGTGTGGGCCTGGATGGGCCTGGGAGGGCCTGGGTGGGCCTGGGTGGGCTGGGGCCCTACCTCCCTCACCCAGCACCCTGACCCCTGGGCCCTGGCTCCATGCAGTCTCACCATAGTCCCTGTATTATGTGCCCTATGTCCTTCCTGTGGGCCATGGGTTCTTTATGGTCCCTGTGGTCTTCTGCTCCCAGGAGGATGACATCCGGGGCTTTGTGCGCCAAGAGATGAGTCAGCACTGTGGTGAGTGGTGCCCAGCCCGCAGTCTCCCACTCCACCCCAGCACCCTAGGCAAGGGCAGGCAGGCCCCTAGAACTTACAGGGCAAGCAGTCAAGAAGATGGGGGGATGGATGGATACACAGAAGGACACATGTGCTGCAGGACTGACACATGACATGTGTCCCCAGTGGAGGGAGACACACAGGCAGATGAGGATTGCCATGCAGTGCTCTCAGATGTCCAGCTTGGCTGTGTGGGGAGTGGGATGATGGTGGGAGCAGAGCTGGTCCCCTTGGGCCTGACCTGGACCCGGTGGGAGGGGCATCAGAGTGAAGCTGTCTCTTCCCGTCTCTGTCTGCACCACCTGCCTGTTTCTGTGTCTGGCCTGCTTCTGTCTCTTGCCTTTTGTTGGCCTGTTCCCAACTTCCCTCTCCTCTGCCTTCTTCTCTTTTTCCATCTCTCTATCTACCTCCCACCCTCTCTCTTCCTCTCTCTCCTGTTACCCTCTCCTGCTATCTCTTTGTGTATCTCTACCCCTCTGCCTGTGTGTCTCTGTCTGTCTCTCCATCTTCCCATCCTTCTCTCTGTCATTGTCTCTCTATCCCTCTCTGCCCCCTCTAGCCTGCCAGGGCCAGTTCATCGCATCTGGATCACGTGAGTAGTTTTCTACTCCCAGAACTTTCTTCACCCCAGGCCCTGCCCTGCCTATCAACTGGGGTCCTCTCAGGGGGGTTGGCTGGGATGGCTGCCCATGGTGACTTCAGGGCCCTGAGGCCCCTGCTCTTGGCTCCAGGACCCCTCCCTAGTTATGCTGCAGACACTGCCGGCTCCCAGCTCCATGCTGTGCCTGTGCTCCGCGTCTCTCATGCAGAGGAGGAAGGTGAGGACAGCTGAACCCGTGGGGCAGCTATGGGTGGGGCCGAGACACGCACATGGGTGTCCATGAATGCAGGGCACACGCCAAGCACGTAGGGTCTGCATGCAGGGCACACGCATGGGCACTGTGTGCACACAGTGGAAATCAGTGCTGCCCACCTTGCCCCGGGGCCAGCAGCCACTGCTCCCAGCACACCCTGCCCTACCTGCAGAGCGGGTACCCCCTGAGGATGATGAGTACTCTGAATACTCCGAGTATTCTGTGGAGGAGTACCAGGACCCTGAAGCTCCTTGGGATAGTGATGGTGAGAATGGGGGGCTGCCAGCGGGGTCTGGGGAGGGGCAGGCAGGGCTGAGCCCTGCTGACCTCCCCCTGACCTTTCAACCCTCTCTGATTCCCACAAACCCTGCTGACTTGACCCCATTGGCCCAGACCCCTGTTCCCTGCCACTGGATGAGGGCTCCTGCACTGCCTACACCCTGCGCTGGTACCATCGGGCTGTGACAGGCAGCACAGAGGCCTGTCACCCTTTTGTCTATGGTGGCTGTGGAGGGAATGCCAACCGTTTTGGGACCCGTGAGGCCTGCGAGCGCCGCTGCCCACCCCGGGTGGTCCAGAGCCAGGGGACAGGTATGGGCTGAGCCCCCACCGTGGGGAACTGGGCACTGAGCCTGCCTGGATCGGGTTCTGGGGGAGGAGTCCTTGGGCCAGGGTTCCAGGTCAGGGTCCTGGAGGAGACGCTCCCTCGCAGTAGGGGACCTGGGGCAGACGCCCAGACCAAAGAGCTGAATATAGAGCCCCAGCCGTGGAGCCCCCAGTAGGGTCCCCTTCCATGTTCCCTCCTTTAAAGACCTAAGTATGGACCCCTCTGAGGTCAGAGCCCCCACTTCCTGTTGTAGCCTCCGCTCCCTCCCCTTGGCGGTGCCTCTGCCTGAGCGTCTCCGGGGAAGGTCAGATGGCTGACGACCGTTTCCAACCTGTCCTCACCAGGTACTGCCCAGGACTGAGGCCCAGATAATGAGCTGAGATTCAGCATCCCCTGGAGGAGTCGGGGTCTCAGCAGAACCCCACTGTCCCTCCCCTTGGTGCTAGAGGCTTGTGTGCACGTGAGCGTGCGTGTGCACGTCCGTTATTTCAGTGACTTGGTCCCGTGGGTCTAGCCTTCCCCCCTGTGGACAAACCCCCATTGTGGCTCCTGCCACCCTGGCAGATGACTCACTGTGGGGGGGTGGCTGTGGGCAGTGAGCGGATGTGACTGGCGTCTGACCCGCCCCTTGACCCAAGCCTGTGATGACATGGTGCTGATTCTGGGGGGCATTAAAGCTGCTGTTTTAAAAGGCTCCTGTTGTGACTGTTTGGGAAGATGGGGGGTTTCAAGGGGGAAGGTTTTCCTTGGGGGGTTGGTATTATTCTGCATGGGTACAGAGTCCCTCTGCCCAGTCCTGGTCACTGTCTTGTGATTCTCAGTCCCCAACTTGTCCCCGGAAAAGAGTAGATAGGGTGGGGGCTAAGGACACCCCCGGGAGGGATGAGTCATAGGTGGGGGGCTGCCTCATGCCAGGAAGCATGTACCAGCTCCCACCCCAGGGGGCTGAGGGAGATAAATGGGCCCTGAAGCGGGGTAGAGGGTCAGACCACAGGACAGTAGTGCCTGGCCCCAGCCCCAGGCAGCCACAGCAGGCTGCCTTACCCCAGAAGCAGCTGGTGGCGGTAGGACTGGGTTGGGTCGGGATGGGAAGGGTCTTGGAGGTTGAGTGGATGTGGGGTTTGGCTTTATGGAGGGCTTGGACCCAGGGGACTCTGGGATCTCTGGCTGCTTTTCTGCCTCTGAGATCCGATTCCTGCCCTTCTGTTTCCTGGATCAGCTGCAAGCTCTCCTGCTGAGAACCGCCTGCCCTCCTGTGGACTCTGTGTTTCTGTCTGAATCTTTCTTTCCATCATGCTGTCTGTCTCTGGGATGGTTTCTGTCTGTCTTTTTCTTCTAGTCTCCATTTTGCTCTGCCTCCATCTCCTTCATCTCCCTCTCTTGCTGTCCCTCTGTCTCTGGATTTCTTTGTTTCTTTTTTTCTGTCTTGCTTTCTGCCTCTTTGTCTCATTCTGGCTCTCCTCTTGTCTCCCCTTCTCTGTCTCTGGCCTGGCCTGGCCTCTCTAACCCCTTTCTCGGTGTCTTCCTCTCTCTCCATCCCCCGCTCTGTCACTCTGCCCTTGCCATCTGTCTCTGTCCATGGACCCCAGTTGACCAGAGCCCCTGCCCTGAGCCCATTTTCTCCTTGCAGCCTGACCTCACGATGACCAGGTGTGCTCTGCTGTTGCTGATGGTCCTGATGTTGGGCAGAGTCCTGGTTGTCCCAGTGACCCCTATCCCAACCTTCCAGCTCCGCCCTCAGAATTCTCCCCAGACCACTCCCCGACCTGCGGCCTCAGAGAGCCCCTCAGCTGCTCCCACATGGCCGTGGGCTGCCCAGAGCCACTGCAGCCCCACCCGCCACCCTGGCTCGCGCATTGTCCTATCGCTGGATGTCCCCATCGGCCTCTTGCAGATCTTACTGGAGCAAGCCCGGGCCAGGGCTGCCAGGGAGCAGGCCACCACCAACGCCCGCATCCTGGCCCGTGTCGGCCACTGCTGAGCCTGAGAGAGGGGGTCACAGTGATAGGGCCACCCTGGATGGGAAGACCTGGAGGGCAGCCACACAGCTGGACGGATGCTGCCACATCTGGGCATACAGTGTCTGGACGCTGCCACATCTGGGCATACAGTGTCTGGACACTGCCACATGGAGCCACTGTCATGCAGGTCATATCAGATCTGAGTGCCCCACAGAGTCACAGTGTGTCTGGACAGCCTGGACATTGGACATTGCTAAGTTGGGTCACTGCCACATGGAGTCTTGCCATGCCTGTGTGCCCCACAGACCTAATATATGTCCGGACAGCTTGGATGCTGCCACGTAAGGTCACTGCTGTGGCGAGTCTTGCTATGTCTGGGTGCCCCATAGTCACAGAACACCTGGACACCGCCACATGCAGTCATCATCATGTTACTTTCAGGAGCCTCAACACGAGAGCTCAACACTGCCTCCGACCAGTCCCTCTGAGGCCCACAGGTCTGTCATCCCATAGGCCACCACACAGAGAAATGCTGGCTGAGGGTCACTTGCTTGCTCTGTGCCCCATGAGGCAGCACCTGCCCCAGATGGACGGGGCTGTGAGGGGTGTCTCCAGGCACAAAGGCCCGAACACAGGAAGCCTGTGACCATGGCAGCCTTGTCTTATGGGCGCATATGTGCGTGTGTGGCTGAGTCTCTGACAGCTGTGAGTGTGTGTGAGCAGGGTAAGGGTACGTGAGGGGTCTGAGAGGAGTGGGTGCTTGTCCCCCAAACCTGCATGAAGCAAGAACAACTCCTGGCCAGGCCCTGTCCTCCCCACGTACCCCTGCATCCCCAGCCTCGACCCAGGGACATGCAGGGCTCACAGGAGACAGGGCTCAGGCTGCCGGAGCTCCAACCAAACTCTGTCCCACTTCACGCACGGACTGTCCTGGGCAAAGGTGTTCACCTTTCCGAGCCTCGGTTTCCTTATCTGTAAAGCAAAGCGACACCAGCAAGCCTGTGAGCATTGTGTATATAGCAGACATGGAGGTCCTGCAGCAGGAGGTGCTCAATAAACACAAAGCGACTGAAGGATGGGACCAGCAAGCCTGTGAGCATTGTGTATGTAGCAGACATGGAGGTCCTGCAGCAGGAGGTGCTC
Organism: Homo sapiens; assembly: GCF_000001405.40. Taxonomy (NCBI): domain Eukaryota; kingdom Metazoa; phylum Chordata; class Mammalia; order Primates; family Hominidae; genus Homo; species Homo sapiens. The sequence continues at coordinate 48,561,662 of NC_000003.12, read as the reverse complement.
AATAAACACAAAGCGACTGAAGGATGGGATGTGCGAGAATCCCAGTGGTGTGCACCCAGGCCGCGACACATGGTGGGTGAGTCATACCTGGCTTCTCTGCCTTCCTCCCTAGCTCCCCGGTTAACTGACCTGGTCCCTTGGTTTGGAAGGACTAGGTTTTGCCTGATTTCACAGCCCAACTCCATTGCTGGGCCAGAGACAGAACTGACTTTCCAGGCAGTGTGGACGGGCTTGCCCGCAGAGGGGGCAGGCACTCTGGGCTGTGCAGACAACTCTAGGTGGACATGAAGGCAGACGCTGGGTGGCATGGGCAGCTCTGGCGGGAGAGGGAGACTGTACTGGCCACAGCGTGGCCGGCTGACTGGAGTGGGGGCACTGGCGCTGCCCTCACAGTTGTAAGCAGCCCTGTGGGGGCGGGCCTACAGTGGGCTGGGGAGGCGGGGCTGCAGGAGCCGCAGGAGTCGCTTCTCTCTCTTCAGAGTGCTAGGCGGGGTTACCCCACTCTGGAGCTGCAGGGGGCAGTGGCCCTGGCCAGTTTGGTTGCAGGATGGACAGAGGCTCGTTAGGAGGCAGCTCCCTGACCGACCTGGGGCCGGGGAGCAGCAGGCGGGGTAGGCACGGGACAGCGTGGGGAGGGTGGAGGGTTAGGGAAAGACCTGGATGAAGTCAGGGTGGTGCTGGAGGGGTGCGAGAGTGTTGGGGGGTCTCTCCTGGTTTAGGGGTGCTCTGAGGGCCATTCATCTGTCAGTGGCCCGAAGGAGGGGGAAAACTGTCGCCCTGCAAGGGAGAGGGGGCTGGGCCAAGGGGGAACTATAAATAGTGTCTTCCTCCAGCCCAGGGGGAGGGACCGCCAGCTGGCGCTGCCCAGGCCCTCCTGCTCTGCTCTTTGCTGGCCTCCAAGGGATCATGTTTGTCCAGGTTTCCTCTTGGGGTCACACCAGTTTGGGGAAGTCTAGAGGCTCATTTAGGATGGGTTTCACATGATGTGGCTTTAGCCCTTAAACCAGCACTTCTAGGGTGTCTGCTGTGTGCCCTGTGCCAGTCCTGAGCTTCTCTGAACACCTGCTGTGTACTCAGTTTGGTCATGAACCTCTCTGAACCCTTTCTGTGTGCCCTTGCTGGTCCTGAATCCCTAAGCACCTACTGTACGCCCTGTGGCAGGCTGGAAGGAGGAAGTGCAGATCAGGGTTCCCAGGCTGCTTGGTGACATGGTTCTATAACCTGAAGTCAGAACTTCACACTCCTTGTGAGCCCTGGGCCCAGGGAGACACAGGGGACAATCCTTTGCTGGAAATGGCCAGAGGAAGCTGGAATTCCTGGAAACTCCTGAACCTCCCAGTGGACAGCAGGGCTGGGGGTGGAGAGATATATGTGGGAAGGGAGGCAGCAGAGAGCAGCAGGCCCCACTGCAGCCTGCCTGTCTCTGCACATGCTGGGGTGCAGGACTTGTGAGTGTGTGTGCGTCTGTGTGTGCATGTGCAGCTGTGCCAGTGTCTCTGTGTGCATCAGTGTGTGGGCCTGTGTGGCATGCACTGAAACCCCTGGGTCTTTATGCTGCAAAGGGTGGTTTGTGGGCCAGATGTGGTGGCTAATGGCTATAAACCCAGGGCTTTGGGAGGTTGAGGCGGGAGGATCGCTTGAGGCCAGGAGTTCAAGGCTGCAGTGAGCCATGATTGCACTATGTGCTCCAGGCTGGGTAACAGGAGCGAGACTGTGTGTGTGTGTGTGTGTGTGTGTGTGTGTGTGTGTGTGTGTGTGTGTGTGGTGGGATGGTTTGGCAGTTCTGTCAGGACTGGCCAGTAGATACAGGGACTGGGAAGAGTTTGAGCTTTGAGAACTGGCCACCACATGGCTTCTAGGCTGGGACACTGGGAGGAAGTCCAGTGGTCAGTGCAGAGGGCACCCTGGGAGCCAACCAGGGTCAGGCCAGCCAGGTTCATGGTGGGCAGAGGCTGAGCAGAACATGTTCACACGTGTGTACAGACATCCCAGCATACTTCCCACGCCTGGGACAGAACAGCTGGCTCACTTTCGGATATACTGAGGAGGAAAAAGCCATGAGGGCCAGAGATTCTACCGGGCATCCGCTGATGCTGAGAGAGCAGACGCTGGGACAGCATCTCCATGGAGAGGACACAGGGGAGTGGGAGCACACATGTGAAGGTGGACTGTGCGATTCCACTGTAGTGTGGCAGGCAAGGTCTGGAAGGCTGGGAGTTGAGCTGAGTCCATGCTGCACTGTGGACTCGCTTTGTGATCTTGGACCCTTCTCCCTCTTCCTGACCCTCAGTTTCCCACCTGACAAACAGGGCCATGGGAGGGGAGATGGAGAATATCCTCAGAGCAGATGTGGACGGTGGCCTTGGGGAGGAACCCCAGGCATCTCCTGATGTTGACCTGTGGCCTTCCAGCTGGACATAGGGCCTTGAAGGAGGGTGCCTGGGTCAGCCACGGGTAGACTTTCTGGGGAAGAGAGGAAGGTGCAGAGCTGTTGCATTTCCTGGGAACCAGGCTCATCCTGTCTGGGTGTGAGGATGCCTTCCCAGAGATAGCCCTGGCCCCCTGCCCAGGCCAGCTGTCCTCTACCCCCAGCCCTTGATTAGCATCCCAGGAGGTCTGGGAAGAGAATGGACAGGCCAGAGGAGGTGCTGGGTGTCTGTAGATATCAGAGGAGATAGCTTTTGCAATGAGTGCTGCGGGTTAGACAGGGTGTGGGCATGTGGTAATGAGGTCTCAGAGGCCACGGTGGCCCCAAGATGGCCTTGGCAGTGGCCAGAAGACAAGAGGGCTGGCTGTGTCACGAACAGAATGAGTGGCTTTGGAGAAGTAGGGAGCAGGTCACGAGGGGCACCCAGCTCATCAGGAGCCGCCCATGGATGTGCTCAGATCTGCTGGGACTGGGGTGGAGGAATAAGCGGGTAGATACTGCAAAAGGAGGATGAGGAAGGAGGAAGTTGTTGACTCTGCCTGGGGCAGGGTGTTCCCAGGGCAAGCAGCTAGAGCTGGTTTGGGGGAGGGTCCAGATGGGCTTCCAGCATGTGGACCTTTGGAATCTTCAGTTCCTATGAAGTGGGCAAGACATCTGTGTCAGTCATCTTAAGGGTCCTTGCCAAGCTTTAAAGAGCTGGGTGGACTTGGACTGATCCAAGGCAGGGCTGTGGCAGGGAGGGCATGGGAGGGGGTGCTACACCTATAGCCCACGAGGCCAGTCTTGTTGCCAGTCCCATGCCCTCAACACCTGGCTCCTGGCTGGGTACACACTGGGCAGAGAGAACCTGAGGATGCAGGGCACCTGCCAGGGGTGTTGTGGATGACATCGCTAGAGGGCAGTGTGGCTCAGGTTGAAGCCGTGTTGGTGGGGGCTGGGGCAGAGAGTGTACAAAGCTTGGAGAGGCGGGGCTGGGGATCCCGAGGAGGCGGGAAACTGCAGGAGTCCGGTGGGGGCCAAACAAGAAAGTGAGCCAGGGGTTTAGGAACTTCTGGATCTCTCCCTTGTTCCTTGTCCCCAGTGCATTTTCAAAGACAAGAGGGAGATACAAATATAGTAAAAGGCAACCATAACGTATTTTAAAATGAATTTCTTAGAGATTGACATACTTAATTTATACTGTAATACTGTAAGATAGACAATGTGCACATCCCATTTTCCTGAAGAGAAAATGTTATTAACATATTATTTTCAAAAAATATGTAAAACTTTAGTTAAAAAAACCAAAATACTAAAAATCAAAAAAAAATTGTAAAAAATGAAATTCTGGAAAGACGATTAAGATACTCCCAGGGCTTAGTGAGTACCCAAAGTACTTGGTTACTAAGTGCCACGCACGGCCGGGCGCGGTGGCTCACGCCTGTAATCCCAGCACTTTGGAAGGCTGAGGAGGGCGTATCACCTGAGGTCAGGAGTTCGAGACCAGCCCGGCCAACGTGGTGAAATCCCGCCTCTACTAAAAATACAAAAATTAGCAGGGCGTGGTGGTGGGCGCCTGTAATCCCAGCTACTTGGGAACCCGAGGCAGGAGCATCCCTTGAACCCGGGAGGCGGAGGTTGCAGTGAGCCAAGATAGCGCCATTGCACTCCAGCCTGGGCAACAGGAGCGAAACTCCGTCTCAAAAAAAAAAAGTCCCACGCATTTGCTCCCAGCAGCCAAAGCAAAGAAAGAGGAACAATATTGAAATGTGTTTTGAGTCTCTATCCATGAGGTAAAAGAGCTTTTCCAGCGTGGTTGAGCATGCTCCTATGGACGGCGGAAGAGTCCCGGGGCTCGGAGCAGTCAAGGGGGACCCCGAGGAGGGGCAGGAGGGCGCAGCGGAGTTGACGGCTGGGACTGCAGGCCTACTGGCCCCTGTCGGCTCTGACCAACCTGGCCGTGCGGGTCACGTAGGCCTCGTCCCACTGCATGAAAACCCCTCCCTCCTGGGGGCCCTGGGCTCCCTAGCAAGGAGGTAGCAGAATTCACGCGTGCCGCTGCTCAGGGATGCAGCGCCAGGGCGGAGCCCGTAGGTGGGGCCTATGCAAATCAGCGCGGGCAGGTTGGGAGAGCTGAGTTTGCGCATCCGGGGCGGGCCTGCACAATCCGGGCCTTGAACTGGGGCGGGACCAGTACAATCCGGAGTTGAGCATGCGCATTCTCGATCCTGGCCTGAAGAACTGGGCCCACTTGTTCCAAAACGGGCGGGTAGGTGAGTTGGGCATGCGTGGTCGGAGGCCGGGCCCCTTTCAGCTGGGGCGGAGCCTACTCACTCTGGGGCGGGACCTGCGGGAAGATAGACATGGGCTGTCGCGGCTTGAGGAGGGGCGGGGCCCAAGGGGCGGGACCTCGGGTGGCCCGAGGTGGCCCGGCTGCTGGGTTGGAAGCGGCGCAGTCCGACTCATCCCGGCCCCGGGATGGCGTCCCCACGGGAATTGACACAGAACCCCCTGAAGAAGATCTGGATGCCATACAGCAATGGGCGGCCCGCTCTGCACGCTTGCCAGCGCGGTGGTGAGGCGGGGTCCTCTGGGAGGAGGTGGGAGGTGCACCGGGATGGGTGGGTAGGGCGGCCTGGGCGGGGGTCTCGCATGGAGAAGGGGCGGGAGACAGATGGGGAACCGGGGACAGGTGAGGTTGCCGTGACTGGGGAGGCTGCTGGGGACAGGTGAGGCGGTCGTGACAGTGGTGGGCCAGAGACAGGTGTGGCAGAGCAGGGGGCGGGGACAGGTGTGTGGGGGCATATCGGCTTGGCGGTGGCTAGGTCTGGCCACCATCACCTCGGGGAGGGCTCTGGCCCCCTCGCTTCCCTCTCCAATCCCCATCGCCCCCAGTCTGGGGAGGACCCTGTGGGCACCCCAGGCCCTTCCCTCTCTCCTGGCCAAGGAGTGTGGGCCGGGTTGTTGGACTGGAACTGAGCTGTGTGGCCCTAGGTGAATTACTTGGCCTCTCTGAGCCCAGAACTTTCAAAGGTGGGCTAGTTTTCCAACAGGAGGAAGGGTGCCTCTTGGCCTTAAAGCTGAGCTTGGGCAGGAACTTCAGCAGAGATGTGCTCAGGATAGAGACAGAAAAGTATGCCGTGTGGGCCTGTGTCTGTGTCCCGGGACATGTAAGTATCCACCTGGGGTCATGGGTGTACAGTAAAACTGGAGAGTGAAACAGCTAGGAGAATGCTGAAATTCATGGAATTGTTAAGGGGCTCACCTCTCCTAGGGTCCCAGGTGTTTAAACCGCTTCCTTGAGTTTCTGCCTGTCCTTAAATGAGCTGGCAGTTTTTTTTTTTTTTAAGAGATGAGTCTCGCTCAGTGGCCCAAGCTGGAGCAAGTGCAGTGGCGCGATCATAGTTCACTGCAGCCACGACCTTCTGGGCTCAAGCAATCCTCCCACCTCAACCTCCCGATTAGCTGGGATTATAGGTGCGCCACCACACCCAGCTTTTTTTTTTCTTTTTTCTTTTTTTTTGTAGAGACAGGGTCTTGCTATGTTGTCTGGGCTGGTCTCCAACTCATGGCTTCAAGTGGATCCTCTGGCCTCGGCCTTCCGAAGTGTTGAGATTACAGGCGTGGGTCCTGGCCTGCAACTTTTTTATTACCAGGAAAAGAAAGATTTGTTTTAGGAGTAACTGAAACATTGTAATGAATTTGCAGCTTGTCCAGCACCTCAGAGAACATCTAGTTTAACAGACAGTGAAATGGAGATCAGGAGATTGAGTGACATGCCTGGGTCTCCCTGTGATCCTGCCTCTGCTTATGTATGATAAGCAAGGGGAGAGTTCTTTGTGCTCATCCTGCTGCAGCAGCCTGGAGCCATGGCTTTGATCATGATATGAGTCCTGGGGGAAGGGTGTGTGTATTTCTGGCCACACTGTGAGTCCTGGCAGGGGAAGGCCATGTTTCTGACCAGACCAAGTCGTGGTAACTCATGGCTTTGATTGTGATGTAGGTCCTGGTGGGGCTGTGCTGTCTATAATGCACACTCAGTCCTGAGGGCTATGGCCACCCCTCCTTTGAGACTCTTCTGGAGGCGGGGAGGCTGAGCCAGTCTGTGTTATTAGGGCTGTGTGGTCCTGACTTAGGGGGGTGGCTGCTATTACTACATAGGGGAAAGGAGTGAGGACCTGGACTTTTTTTTTTTTTTTTTTTTTGAGACGGAGTTTCACTCTTGTTGCCCAGGTTGTAGTGCAGTGGTCCTATCTCAGCTCACTGCAACCTCTACCTCCTGGGTTCAAGCAATTCTCCTGCCTCAGCCTTCCAAGTTGCTGGGATTACAGGTATGCGCCACCATGGCCGGCTAATTTTGTATTTTTAGTAGGATGGAGTTTCACCATGTTGGCCAGGCTCGTCTTGAATTCGTTATCTCTAATGATCTGCCCCCCTTGGCCTCCCAAAGTGTTGGGATTACAGGCATGAGCTGCCATGCCTAGCCAAGTCTGTGAGCCTTTAAGGAGTAGGTCCTCAATAAGCGGAGGCAGGGTATTCTGTCATCACTACCATTCTTTCTTTGCTTCTCACTACGTCTGAGTCAGGGATTGATGCATCAGCTCCAAGCCAACCCCCGTTACAGGTGAGAGGAAGCTGAGGCCCAATGGGAAGGTCTCATAGCTCCTGAGGCAGGGCTTGTGTTTCTCCAGGCTCTAAGTGTGGAACTGAAATGTGGCTCTGGCCTGAGCTGAGGGGCTCGTGCCATCACGGTGTCTCAGGGTGTTGGGGTAGGCTGGGTTCTAGGTCCGCACTTTTTCCTGGAGGAGGAGGTAGCACCTGAGAGGCCAAAGATGAGACCTGCAGGTTGTTTGGGGATTTGGGCCTCAGGGTTCACAGCAGGGAGTGGGTAAGCAGTGAATGAACATGGAACCCGCCCATGCAGCACCTCCAGCTCCCAGTGCCTGCATTTGGGCAACACTTTACCCTTTGCATAGTAGACTTGTAGGTTGAGTGACTGCAAGGACAGTCTGGACCCGGAGGGTGTGGGTGGGGATGGAAGCGGATTTGGTCCCAGGGCTTTGTGGGGAGGAAGAAGCAGGACCCACTGCTGGTCTGTGCTTTGTACTGGGTTTTCTCTGGAGTCTAGTCCCCAGCTCCTCAGGGCACTAGGGGCTGGTGGACTGAGGGATGTACTGCACCTCCTCCACTCCCACAGGCACGCCCCCGCTTGATAAAATTTAAAGCCACACCTGAGGGCTTGGGAGGCTTTTACCTTTCCCATCATTGGCCTCCGAGCTCAGACCTGGAGGAACTCTGAGGGCAGGTGGGGCAAGAGCTGACTCAAGAAGGACTGCAGAAAGGACGGTGTTTGATGGCTTTTCTCAGCTGAAAGGTGGCAAGACTCTTCCTGGGTAAGGACATGACTGGTGTGTGCACAGGGCAACAGGAGAGATGACTTTCAGTCCCCTCTGAAAAGGGCCTCCATGGCACGTTACTTTATTTTAAAGAGCTCTTCCTTCCCTAGCCTGGCCTAAGGAGGTGAGAGCAGTTGCAGTTCAGGAGTCAATTCTGGCACCCCCTCCAGGGACTTGTGGCTGCTCCTTGGGTAGAAGTAATGGAACATAGACACTGCCCATTGCCAGGCACGTCTCAGGCCCCTTGGGCCCCTTCGCTCCTAGAGCTCATGGGGCCTGCAGCGAATTTACAGGAAAGGAACCCATGAGGGAAGTTGGGCTGACATGTCTTCACATTTCCTTCCGCACATGCTCAATGTTATAAACAGTGTGTTCTTTTTTTTTTTTGGAGACAGTCTTGCTTTGTCCCCCAGGCTGGAGTGCAGTGGCACAATCTTGGCTCACTGCAACCTCTGCCTCCTGTGTTAAAGCAATTCTCCTGTCTCAGCTTCCCGAGTAGCTGGGATTACAGGTGTGCACCACCACACCCGGCTAATTTTTGTATTTTTAGTAGAGACAGGGTTTCACCATGTTGGCCAAGCTGGTCTCGAACTCCTGACCTCAGGTGATCTGCCTGCCTCGGCCTCCCAAAGTGCTGGGATTACAGGCATGTGCCATCACGCCCAGCTATAAACAGTGTATTCTACCATCCTGTTTGCTCAGTGTCAGGGTCCTGTGGGCTCAGAGCCACAGGTGCAGCCGTGCACCCAGCCCGCTTAGTCCACGTGCTCTGTTTTGAGAGCTGCAATGTGTTCCCTCCTTGTTGTGCCTCAGTTGGCAATTTCTTATGGCTGGAATTTCCCAGTGTTTTGCTATGGTAAGCAGAGCTGTTGTGATACACTTGAACTTTGGTTTTCTTTTGGGTCATTTCCTTGGGAGCTTATCTTGGGGAGCAGAGGAGATAGGTAATTTATTGCCTTGTTTTGCACCCAGGCCTGATTTGCTGCCCTGCCTGCCCACCTTGTGCTGCGCATGTGGGTGGAAGGCGGGAAGGGAAATGCCACCAAATGCCATGGGAGGAGGCTGGAGCTGTCTCTGGGAAAATAGGAGATGTGGAGAGGGGGTGCAGATCCCCAGTCCTGAGGTTTTGGGAGTCCCTGAAGGAGCAGTTGGGGGGTGGCCCCATCAGCGGGAGCAGGGTAGATGCAGGATTTCCTCCTGCTTAGCAGCTGTCGCACTGCCCTTGGTTGCTTGAGAGCCCGGCCACCTGGCCGGGAACTATGCAAACAATGCACAATGCGGGCCTCAGCTGTCCACCGGCCCTGAGGAGGCAAGGCCTTGCCTAACTTGTTTTCCTCTCACCTTAGCTAATACTGAGAGTTCTCTGCAAGTTTCTCCACTCTCACTCAGTCAGCCTGTTTCATGGGGTCTCCTCCTTCCCGCCCCTGAGGCTCACCATTTGGGTCACCTTTAAACAAGGGGAATGCACAGGAGTGATGGAGCCCCCACTGGCAAGCAAGGCCCTTTGTTTCTCTGCAGGGCCTGCCTGGGGCCAGGCCACCGCCTCCATGCCCTGAGTCCCAAGGGCAGTCGGTGCCGAGGTACACCTATGGCTTTAGCTCAGTATCCGCCAGGGTAGGACAGAGGGCACAGCTTCCCAGAAGTGCCCAGGCTCTTGGATAGCACTAGGCTTCTCTGAGGGATGACTGCCCCATTTTACAGCTGGGGACACCGAGGCTCAGAGTTCCCAATGAGTGTCAGACTCAAGATGGCAACCCAGGCCTGACTCCTGATCCCCTGCGGAAGTGCTTCTGGGGCCTCTGTGCTCTGAGGGAAACAACTTGTTGGTGGGGACAGTCTGTCTAGGCAACCAGGTGAAGGCACTTGCAGAACCAAGAAGAGGGGCAGTGACAGGTCCCCACATCTGTTCATCTGCCTGTCTGCTATGGTTTTACCTGACCCAGGTCCTAAGGATGAGGAAAAGGAAGCTTCCTGAGGCTTCTGACGTGAGACCGCGTTTGATGGCACTGGAAACTGAGCTGAGGGCTGGGCTCACGCCTGTAATCCCAGCACTTTGGGAGGACGAGGCAGGCAGATCACCTGAGGTCAGGAATTCGAGACCAGCCTGACTAACATAATGAAATCCTGTCTCTACTGAAAATACAAAAATTAGCCAGGTGTGGTGGCATGTGCTTGTAATCCCAGCTACTTGAGAGGCTGAGGCACGAGAATTGCTTGAGCCCGGGAGGCAGAGGTTGCAGTGAGCTGGGTACCAGTGTCCTCCAGCACTCCAGCCTGGGCAAGGGCGACAGAGCGAGACTCCCTCTCAAAAAAAAAAAAAAAAAAAAAAAAAAAAAAAAAGAAGGCTGGAGGTGATGGCTCACACCTGTAATCCCAGCACTTTGGGAGGCCCAGGCAGTCGGATCACCTGAGGTCAGGAGTTTTGAGACCAGCCTGACCAACATGCCGAAACCCCGTCTCTACTGAAAATACAAAAATTAGCCAGGTGTGGTGGCAGGTGTCTGTAATCCTAGATACTTGGGAGGCTGAGGCAGGAGAATCGCTTGAACCTGGGAGGCAGAGGTTGCAGTGAGCCAAGATCGCACCACTGCCCTCCAGCCTGGGCAACAGAGTGAGACTCCGTCTCAAAAAAAAAAAAAAAAAAAGAAAAGTGAGCTAGGTCCCATAAGATGAAGCTGGCAGTTCTGCTGCCTTGGTATCTGTTCTAGCCAGCTGGGAATATAGGGGGCTGTATTCAGATCCTTCCGTGCCTCTAGCCTGGCATCTTCTCTGGCTGGCACACTGACCTGTGGCACATGGATGGTGGTGGGTGGGCTATCAGAGGGACTGTCCTTGTGGGCATCAGTCTGGGTCTCTGGTCTCAACCCCTTGTGGTCCTTACCCTGAGAGACTTCTAGATGCCTCCCTCCCTGATCCTGCCCACAGTTCCTGAGCACCAGCGCTGTGCCAGGCCCCAGGGCCCTAAAGGGCTCAGATACCACAGGGCTTCTTCTGCTGTAAGTGATCAGTCTAGAGAGAAGAGTGTCATTAGTGAGGTGACCAGGATTGAGGGTGAGGGGTGTTCCCGGTGGCCATGGAGATGCCTTGGGGAAAGGACTCATTGAGGAAGTGACTTTTTAGCTGGGCTTTGTATGATGAAAAGAAGTTCACCACAGGGAGGGCATGCAGTGGGGCTATGTGTTCTGGGAGCACTGAGTGATGGATGGGGTGGGAGAGATGTAAAAAGGTTAGGGTATGGATTCCTGGATGACAGAGGCAGGGTGTTGATTACCCTGCTGGGTTTTGGTCCTGTCCTTCATGCGGTGGGGACCCCCCTAGCCATGTTTAGCCAGTGGCAAGTTCGGTTGACTTTATGCCTGGTGGTGCACATCAGGATGAAAAGGGCTGGAGAGATCCCACTGTGTCTGCCAGAGCCCAGGCGGGCCTGGGGAAGGGGGACATGCCAACGGTGGCTTGAAACCAGCATCTGGGGCCACTCCAGGAGCTGTGTGGGGATGCTAGGAAGCCAAGAAGATACGTCTGATGCCAGTCCCATGCCCTGAGGCTGAGAGACCACAGGCTGAGAGGGAGGGGTGCGCTGGGAGGGTCCCAGCCCTCATCTGACACTGTGCTGCTTGCCTTTTAGTGTGCATGACCAACTGCCCAACTCTCATTGTCATGGTGGGCCTGCCCGCCAGGGGCAAGACCTACATCTCCAAGAAGCTGACTCGATACCTGAACTGGATTGGTGTGCCCACTCGGGGTGAGGCTTGGCCCCAGCTGTCTAAGGGGAGCTTTGTGGGGCATGACGAAGAGAATAGAGAAGGCCTATTCTCTATTATTTGGCCTGGGGTTGGGTCAAGGTCAGGGTTGGTAGGGGTTGCTGTTGCTGTGAAAGCTGAGCCTCTCCTTCCCTCCAGAGTTCAATGTTGGCCAGTATCGCCGGGACGTGGTCAAGACCTACAAATCTTTTGAATTTTTTCTCCCCGACAATGAAGAGGGCCTGAAAATCAGGAAGTAAGTATATGTGTTGGGTGTGGGGGGAGAGGTTGCTGGGGGACCCAGTGTGGAGAAAGCTAACACATTACTGACCATTTACTGAGAAGCCCCTGGAGTGGAGCTGCTGGTGAATGACTGAGCTACTCCTGAGCCCTGGCCTTGCCCAGCCCTGATGGCTGTGTGACAGGGCTGTGTGACAAGGCTGGTCTCTGGATCTCTCAGGATGTGGTGGGGGTGGGAGGTGATGGGTTTGGGGATGAGAGGAGAGGGTGTGTTGTGTGGCCTCCTGGTGGCTGGGCCATTCCTGCCCTGGGGTTAAGGAACCCTTGGGAAGGACAGAGCTTCAGGGAGGTAAGAGGGGCTCAGCCCATGCAGGTCGTTGGAGCTGCTGCCTGGAGGTCACGCTCGCTCACCCCAGCGCCCCGTGGGGATGGCTGCTGCTGGGGAAGGGAACCTGAGTGAGTGCAGGCATACAGGCCTTAGGGATGGAGCTGGGGGTGGGGGGCTTCCTCCCTTGCCCCAGGATAAGCTCTCTCCTGTGTATTTGGAGCATGTTCTTGGTGTGTGATTGCTGGTGCGATTGGCTTTGCATTGACATCTCCTAGATGCTGCTGGGTGAGTCGTTCACACTTCTGCTGTTACTCTGGAGATAGAAATATGTATATGCTACCGCCCCACCCTCAACAACTTTCAGACTTGAACTGAGTCCTTTCTTCAAGGAACTGAGCACCAGCTGGTGGTCTGAGCAGCCATGCTGTGCTTTTCTCAGGAGGTGTTAGCTGTGGTCTTGAGAAGCCCCTTATCAACCTAGGGTGGCAGAGACTTGCTCTTGGCCCAGCCATCAGGATAGGGCAGTGAGCAGAGGTTGACCCAGCTCTAGTGACTTCCCCAAATCAAGCCCAGTGGCTACCAGGCTGCCACTGGGGTCCACACTAGGCTACCCGTTCCTTCTCTGGCCACCAGGGGGCAGGAACTCCCTGCTGTGGGGCTTGGACCTTCAGACTGGAGACTGCCTTTGTTCTTGCATCGGTGTGGCTGGGCCAGGCTGTGGCACCAAGAAGGGAAGGGGAGCCTGATATTCAGGTTTCTATGGCCAAATTGTGGGTAAAAATCAAGGCTGGACCCTCTGGTTATATTGAGCCAGATAAAAAGTAGAGGACTAATGTCTGAACCTACCGTGTGCTGGGTTCTTGATGCCCATTGTCACCCCCTACTTTTACAGATGAGGAAACTGAGGCTCAGACAGGCCAGGAGTCTCGCACAAAATAGCAAGTTTACATCAGCGCCCAGACTTGAATCTAAGCCCATCCACCGCTAAAAAGTGTCCATCATTCCAATATTCCTCAATAGGTAGGTCAAGGAACATCAAATGCAAATTTTATTTATTTATTTTAAAAATTATTATTATTTGTGTGTGTGTGTGATGGAGTCTCACTCTGTCGCCCAGGCTGGAATGTAGTAGTGCAATCTCAGCTGACTGCAACCTCCGCCTCCCAGGTTCAAGCAATTCTTCTGCCTCAGCCAACAACCCCAAGCTGTGGACGCTGATAGCCTACTGTCTGATCTTCCCAGCAGCTTCTGTGGTGGGCGGTGCCTCACTTTTCCAGATGCTGGGACCAAGGCCAGAAAGTGATGGGGGTGCCTTGGGTCACTCAGGGTTTGAATTTGAAGTCCGTCCTGCCTGAATCCATAGTGTTTGTGGGGAGAGTCTGCCAGCTGTTCCACTCTGGCTGTCCCCCTAAGGTAGGGATATTTGGGATTAATTCAAATGAAGAGACCTAGACTCAGAGAGGTTGGGAAGCTAGTCCAAGGTCACCCTGCAACAGAAGCTGGGGACAGGCTCATTGCTGCCTTTCTGCAGGCATACCCTCTGGCTGCCCTAGAAACCCTCTCTGCTGTATCCGAATCCTGGCTCTGGCTGGGCCACAGGGCCATCTCCTATTAATCAGCCCAAAATTTCCCAATTAGCAAAATAAAAGGACCAGAGTTTTTAAAATGGAAAACCTGGGAAGAGACAGCTGCATTTCCCAGAGGCCCAGTTACTCACACAGTGTTGAGGTCCATCTCTGACACTGGACACAGCAGAAGATCTAGAAAAGTGCGTGCAAGGCCGGGTGCAGTGATTCACGCCTGTAATCCCAGCACTTTGGGAGGCCGAGGTGGGTGGATCACTTGAGGCCAGGAGTTTGAGACCAGCCTGGCCAACATGGCAAAACCCCATCTCTACTAAAATTACAAAAATTAGCCACATGTGGTGGGGCGCCTGTCATCCCAGCTACATCAGGAGGCTGAGGCATGAGAATTGCTTGAATCTGGGAGGTGGAGGTTGCAATGAGCCAAGATTGCGTCTCTGTGCTCCAGCCTGGGTGACAGAGTAAGACTCTGTCTCAAAAACAAAGTGTATGCAAGGGCATAAGTACACATATTCTAAACAGGCACACTCATACTCCTGCACACAGTCCTATACCACACACAAGCCCCCTATGCACACACACACGTGGGCACATGCATGCATGTGCATACCTCATAGGCACACATCCGGACATGCGTATACCATATGCACAGGGTACATACACATGCACACCCCCTGTGTACACAGTCACGTTATACATAAGGGTATATGTACATGTGTGGGCACCTACACATATAAATACTTGGGCTCACTTAAGCCACACGTAATTCAAGGGCCATTACACACACGAAGGCGCACATGTTCTCACCCTGTATATACACACACACCTGAGCACGCTCATACATGGTGTGTAGGGGGTCCCCAAGACTGCCCTCAGGTTCAGTGATTTGCTAGGGTGACTCCCAGGACTTGGCATATAGCTGGACTCATGGCTAAGACTTAGTACGGCAAAATGACACAAAGCAAAATCAGAAAAAGGGGCCTGGGGTGAAGTCCAGAGGAAACCAGGAGCGAGCATCAAGATTTTCTCCTCATGGAGTCACACAGGACGCACTTAATTCCTCCTGCATTGAACATTGACAACATGTGTAAAATGTTGTCTGCCAGGGAAATTCATCAGAGACTCAACGACCAAGGTTTTTACTGGGGGCTGGTCATATAGGCACCCTGTGCCTAGCATGTACCAAAATTCCAGACTCCCAGAAGGAAAGCAGATAATCAACATAAACCATGTTGTTTGTATAAACAGTCTATGCACAGTGAGCTCCTCTTATAATTCAGGGAAAGTTTCATATCACTAGAGGGAACTGTTTACCATCAAGTTCCCCAACCCTGGCCAAGGGCCAACCTCACAAGCAGGCCTTTCGAAGGGGACCATTCTCATACCTGCTGTGTTAACTCTTCCACACACATGCAGTCACCCACTACACATGAAGGTGGGTGCACACACATATGCATACCTCAGAGTCATGTGTGTGGGCACATATACGCTTGTGTTCACCTGTATGCACATGTGGATCTGTGCACATGTACACACCAAGCATGATCGCATATGTTCTCACACAGTCACATGGCACATGAAGACATGTATACACACACACCATGTGTACACACATGGTCACCCCCACATGCATACTCTGTATATGCTTGGACACACACACACAAACTTATACACATGGGTGCATGCACACACATCCTGTGTGCACACATGTGGGCACACTCACTCATACCTGTGCCCATTTAGTCACATACCGCACACAGGGGTTGTGCACGCTCGTGTGTGTGCACCTGTGCTCATACATGGGCCCAGGGAATACTCACACAGGTACACTCACAGATTTACATGTACACACTTGGGCACAACACACACATAACCACCCACACGTGTGGATTCATGCACATATGCATCTCTTCACCCCATTTGCACTCTCTTATACACACACACACACACGCACACACACAGGCTCCCAGGCTCTTCCCTCAGCATCTCCACCGGGGCCCTGAGGTCTCTCCTGCATGGTGGTGTCATGGCCAGAGCAGCCCACAAAAGAGATCTTAGCCCAGAACGTGGGGCTCTAAGGAGAAATGTCCCTACCAATGCCAGTTACCTGGACTCTCAGAATTCAGATGTTTTTGGCATGAGGAAGAAAGCACTTTGAGGCTTTAACTGGAAGACCCATTGGGGCACAGAAATGGTTACAAGGGCTGGACATAGTAGCTCACATGTGTAATCCCAATATTTTGGGAGGCTGTGGCGGGAGGATCACTGGAAGCTAGGAGTTAAAGACCAGCCTGGGGAACATAGTGAGACCCTGTCTCTTAAAAAAAAAAAACAAAAGAAAGAAAAGAAATGTCACAAGGAGCCGTAAGAGTAGAGCTCTTTTCAGTGCCCTGGACTCAGCTCTACCACTGATTTCTTTGTGGTTCTCAGATCAGCTTCTGCCGCTGTATTTCAGGCATATCGTCCTGATGAGAGCCCTTTGACTTTGACATGCTGGGAGTTTAAACACAAAATCCAAAGATCAACAAAGCCAGGAGGGCTGGGCACTGTGGCTCAAGCTTGCAATCCCAGCACTTGGGAGGCTGAGGAGGGTGGATCACCTGAGGTCAGGAGTTCAAGACCCACATGGCCAACATGGTGAAATCCCATCTCTACTAAAAATACAAAAAATTAGCTGGGTGTGGTGGCACATGCCTGTAATCCCAGCTACTCGAGAGGCTGAGGCAGGATAATTGCTTGAACCCAGAAGGTGGAGGTTGTAGTGAGCTGAGATCATGCCACTGCACTCCAGCCTGGGCAACAAAGTGAGACTCTGTCTCAAAAAACAAAAAACACAAAGCTAGGAGATCTAGCTTTACCCTTACATAGAAAAAGGGAAGATAATAGATAAAAAGGTAATTTATCTATCTCCAGACCTCATAGGATAAATTGATGAGAATAATCCTGGCTGGGTGCAGTGGCTCGCGCCTGTAATCCCAGCACTTTGGGAGGCCAAAGTGGGCAGATCACTTGAAGTCAGGAGTTCGAGACCAGCCTGGCTAACATGGCGAAACCCCATCTCTACTGAAAATACAAAAATTAGCCAGATGTGGTGGCACGTGCCCATAATCCCTGGTACTTGGGTGGCTGAGGCACAAGAATTGCTTGAACCTGGGAGGCAGAGGTTACAGTGAGCTGAGATTGCACCACTGCACTCCAGCCTGGGCAACAGAGAGTAAGACTCTTGTCTAAAAAAAAAAACAAACCTTCTGTGTCAATCCACTTTGCAGCAATAAATGAAAAAGCTGAGAACTTAAAAAGATTGTGTAAGCCTGGGCAACATAGCAAGACCCCATCTCTAAAAGAAATTTAAAGATTAGCCAGGTGTGGTGGCATATCCCTGTAGTTTCAGCTACTCTGGAGGCTGAGGCAGGAAGATTGCTTGAGCCCAGGAGTTTGGGCTGCAGTGAGGCATGATCCCACTGCTGCACTCCAGCCTAGGTGGCAGAGCGAGACCTTATCTCAAAAAAAAAAAAAAAAAAAAAAAAGATCTGAAAACTGTATAGTCAGTGTTTGGTCATAGGTGGGGGATTCCCATTCTGGAGGGTATGGATATGATAGAAGAAGAGATGCAGAACCCTCCCTCAGAAGGGGTGGTTTGGGGAACTCTCTTTCAGGAAAGAAAGTTGAGCACTAAGCCTAACACTGCCCGAGGGCCAGCCCTAGTGTTCCTCCCATCCCCACCACCAACTCCTGACATGCACACAAGAAAACGGCTGCTTTTAAAAATGCTTATTTTGAAATATAAAAATTAGCTGGGCGTGGTGGTGCACGCCTGTAATCCCAGCTACTCAGTAGGCTGAGGCACGAAAATTGCTTGAAACTGGGTAGAAGTTGCAGTGAGCCGAGATCGCACCACTGCACTCCAGCCTGGGTGACAGAGCGAGACTCAGTCTCAAAAAAAATAAATAAATAAATAAAAGGCGGGCGGGGGGGGGCTTATTTTGATAATCAGGGAAAATATATGACAATTAGAAATCATGAATGTGGCACAATGACAGCATGGATTTGTGCACAATGAGAGGATGAGGGAAAATACAGAAACGTAGTGCTTAAAAAATGTTCCTAATAGCCAAGAGTGTATAGCCTTCCACCTCACAGGAGCAGAGTTAGCCAAACACTGAACATTATCCTAAGGAAAGAGAAGGGAAACTTTGAAAAGAGAGCAAGAGACCTCGGGGCTGTTCCTTCTCCTGTCATGTCTCCTCCTGTTGTGTGTCCCTGGCCACCCTCCTGGAGCCAGGGTCGGGTGCTGGGCTGACCCTGTGTTTTCTCTCCTGAAGGCAGTGTGCCCTGGCAGCCCTCCGTGACGTCCGGCGGTTCCTTAGTGAGGAGGGGGGACATGTGGCGGTGAGTGTGACACCCTGGTGACAGCTGGGAGTGACACATGGGAGCCCATCCACATCTGTGCCTTTGCTCGTCAGGCATCTGGAGGGGAAGGCAGGGTGTGTGTGCCCCAGCTGCTCTGGGTGCCAGCCCTTGGGAGGAAGTCTGCAACAGCTATGCAGGAGGAAGCCAGAGACTGGATATGGGCCAGGAGTTTCCCTCTGGGCATGTGGTGGCCGCATTTGACCCTGCAGGACTTCCCTCTGGATGCTTGTATTCTTGGCCACCCCAGAAGTTACAGGTATCAGGTTGCCTAAGTCTTTAGTAAATGTGATTTCTCCTGGTGTGGGGAGAATCCTGCCCAGCATTACTGGTTGTTGTAGGAACCCACTGAATCCTGGATTAAGGGGATTCCACCTGTGTGTTGGCCCTTCTAGTCAGACGGAAGAGCAGAACAGGGCTAAACTGGGGTGTCTGTGGGAAACGGCTCTACCCCAGCCTTATATAGTCAAACACAGGGGCTGTTCTTTCCCTTCCTTCTTCTTCCTGGAGTCATGCCTTCTGGAGTTCTCTGTCCCCAGCTACAATCTGTGCCTGTAGCACAGCCATTGCCCTTCTCTCTCCTGGGTTGAATGTTCTGCCTGTGGATCCCACATCATCCTCTCTTTGACTTACTGATTTGTTTCATTGAAGCACATCCTCCAGTAACTTCCTGAGAAAGGTGCTTGGGGAGGTAAATTGTGTGAGACCTTGCACATCTGAAATGTCTTTTTTTAATCCTCACATTTGATGGTTGGGTATAGAATTTCTAGGTGGAAAGTGCTTTTCCCTTAGAACTTCTACAACATCACTCTGATGTCTTATGGCTTCTAGTGTGGCTGTGGAGAAGTCTCATGTCATTCTGATTTGCTGATCTTCCTAAAAGCTTCATCTCTTAGAGGGAGCTGAGAGTTTCTCATGCCCCTTCCGCTTGGGAGGCCTTTAGGGTCTTCAAGGTGATGTGGTTTGTGGTGGGTCTTCTCTCCACCATACATGGTCCTAGGGGGCCCCTTTTCATCATAACACTCTTGTTCTCCAGGTCAGGGAAATTGTCATGTATTATTTCTTTGACAAATCACCTCTGCCCCTTTCTGGCAACTCACTCCATCCCTACTCCCATTTTCTGAGCTGCTTTTTCTAGAACTTCTGGTGGCTACATGCTAGCTTGATTCTGAGATTCTGATTTTATCTTTTTTCTCTTAATTTTCTTTCTTTCTTTTTTTTTTTTTTTGAGATGGAGTCTCGCTCTGTCACCCAGGCTGGAGTGCAGTGGCGTGATCTCGGCTCACTACAAGCTCCTCCTCCTGGGTTCACGCCACTCTCCTGCCTCAGCGTCCTGAGTAGCTGGGACTACAAGCCCCCGCCACTGTGCCCGGCTAATTTTTTGTATTTTTAGTAGAGATGGGGTTTCACCATGGTCTCGATCTCCTGACCTCGTGATCCGCCTGCCTCTGCCTCCCACAGTGCTGGGATTACAGGCGTGAGCCACCACGCCCAGCCTTTCTCTTTATTTTCTCTGTTTTTTTTGGTTGTTTGTTTTGAGAAAGACTTCTTCAACATTATCTTACAAGTATATGAGTGTTGTTGTTTTTTATTTCCTTGAGACATGGTCCTGCTCTGTTGCCCAGGCTGGAGTGTAGTGTCTCAATCATAGCTCACTGCAGCCTGTCTCCTAGGCTTAAGTGATCCTCACACCTCAGCCTCCTGAGTAGCTGGGACTACAGGCACGTGCCACCATGCTTGGCTAATTCTTGTATTTTTCACAGAGACAGGGTTTCACCTTGTTGAGCAGGCTTGTCTCAAGCTCCTGGCCTCAAGCAATTTGCCTGCCCCAGCCTCCGAAAGTGTTAGGATTACAGGCATAAGCCACTGCACCCGGCCCAAATTTCTTTTTTTGTTTGTTTGTTTGATTTAGTTTCTGTTTTTCTTGTTAAAGGTTTTGCTGGAGTGTCCAGTGAGCCCTGGCTGGATGCCCTTTTTAAAAAAGTGATGCTGGGCTGACATGGTGGCTCATGCCTGTAATCCCAGCACTTTGGGAGTCTGAGGCAGGAGGACTGCTTGAGCCCAAGAGTTTGAGACCAGCTTACATAGCGAGACTCTGTGTCTACAGAAAAATTTTTAAATTAGCCAGGTGTGGGCCAGGTGCGGTGGCTCACACCTGTAATCCCAGCACTTTGGGAGGCTGAGGCGGGTGGATCACGAGGTCAGGAGATCAAGACCATCCTGGCTAATATAGTGAAACTCCATCTCTACTAAAAAAATACAAAAAATTAGCTGGGCGTTGTGGCAGGCGCTTGTAGTCCCAGCTACTCGGGAGGCTGAGGCAGGGGAATGGCCTGAACCCAGGAGGCAGATGGGAGACTGAGGCAGGAGAATGGCGTGAACCTGGGAGACAGAGCTTGCAGCGAGCTGAGATCGCGCCACTGCACTCCAGCCTGGGTGACAGAGCAAGACTCCGTCTCAAAAAAAAAAAAAAAATTAGCCAGATGTGGTTGGGCACAGTGGCTCACCCCTGTAATCCCAGCACTTTGGGAGGCCAAGGCTGGCAGATCATGAGGTCAGGAGTTCGAGACCAGCCTGCCCAACATGGTGAAACCTCGTCTCTACTAAAAATACAAAAATTAGCCAGGCGTGGTGGCACAAGTAGCTGTAATCCCAGCTACTCAGGAGGCTGAGGCAGGAGAATCGCTTGAACCCAGTAGGCGGAGGTTGCAGTGAGCCGAGATCACGCCACTGCACTGCAGCCTGGGCGACAGAGCAAGACTCTGTCTCAAAAAAAAAAAAAAAATTAGCCAGGTATGGTGGTACATGCCTGTAATCCCAGCTACTTGGGAGGCTGAGGCGAAAGAATAACTTAAGCCCAGGAGGTTGAGGCTGCAGTGAGCTATGATTGCTCCACTACGCTCCAGCCTGGGCGACAGAGTGAGACCCTGTCTCAAAAAAATTTTTTTTAAATAAAAACAAAAAAATGATGCTGTAACCGAGGTGTGGTGCACACTTGTAGTCCCAGCTACTCAGGAGGCTACTCAGAGGATGCTTGTGCAGGCCCCAGGTACTTCTCAAAGAGCTCCAGATGGGTCAGTGCCTGGCTGGATGGGGTTGGGAAGGGGGCCTGGGCCTCCAGCTCTTCTTTATCAGCCAGCTAGTCCTCCCATTTCGTCCCCACCTTTGTCCCTTTTCTTAGCAATGCCACTGCACCCTCTGGAGTGCTCTGGTCCTGCACAGGTGGTGTGCTCTGGTTGGCCAGCACCTGTGTTTGGTTTCCTACATGACTCTGAGTCCGTCACCGTGGATCTCTCTGACAGAATTGTGTTGATGTCTCCATCTCCTGTTGTCTCCTTTTTCTCCTGTCATCTCTTTTTCTCTTTATCCTTCTGTTCCCATTTTACTGGGGTGTCAGGATGGAGTAGAAATAAACATAGGTTCAGTTTACTAGGTTTAACTGGTTTCACTGCAATTCCTGTTGGTCAAACACAAACTGAGTGCCCACTGTGTGCAGAGCAGCACTGAGTAGGTTCTTCTGTGCCACGGGTCTGCTCCCCTGCTGGGAGCACAGGCATCCTCTCCTTCTAACTTCCTTGGGGCATTCTCTCCAAGGAAGGGGAGGGCCAGCCCAGCCGTTGCAAGTCTGGAGGAGACTGGCCAGGCAGGTGGACCTGGCAGCAGCTGGTCCTTATGAGAAATCCAGTCCCCAGAGAGCCTGTGCTGCGGCCCTCACTGCCCACTTCAGGGCCCACTCTGGCCCCTTCCTTCCCCAGGGCCAGAGGCTGAGTTAACCCTAGTTTGGTCCTAGGTTTTTGATGCCACAAACACCACCCGAGAACGGAGAGCGACCATCTTTAATTTTGGAGAACAGAATGGCTACAAGGTGAGGCCTCCTTGGCTCCTCTCCTTGGCGGAACTGTGGCATGTCCCCTGCCCTCCAGGGCTCCTTTCACCGCCTGCTTATGCATGAGGGGCATGGGGCTGGCATGGCTCCTGAGTGTAATTTGGGATGAGAGGGGCTGTCTCCACTTGGGGTTTGCTTTCCAGAGGGAAGGGGGTTTTCGTGGGAGAGTCTAGGAGAGGGCAGCACCTGCTTTAGCTCTGGACTCCTTGACCCCGCCTCCAGCCCTCTGAAGCAGGGTTTCAGGGCCTGGCTGCTTGTCAGCATGGGCCTCAGGGGATGGAGAGCTCCGAGGAGCAAGGCGGGAGGCCCTGAACATGTCCGTGTTCCTCCCTCCCACCACCCCGGCGCTTCTGGTCCTGCCGCAGACCTTTTTTGTCGAGTCCATCTGTGTGGATCCTGAGGTCATAGCTGCCAACATCGTGGTGAGTAGTGCATCTGACCTTGTCAGAAGGTCGTGTGTGACAGGGACATCCCTTTTCAGGTTTTGGCTAACCTTAATTTGATCTTGAACCTTGTGGGGGTAGGGAGGAAGTGTAACTTCAAATGCTGGGTCAGGTATGCCTCGCCCTCTGTGGATCACTGTGGAAGGCTGGGTGGCTGGTGGACATTCACTCACCCCACCTCCGCCTCGTAACCACCTGGACACTAGGAGAGCACCTTCAGCAGGGGTGGAAGGGTGGGTGAGGGGCATGTTTTATATTTCAGAGAAAGAAAGACTCATTCTTTCCTTCCCCTCCCCCAGTTTATCTGAGGAATGGGCATCTGGGTCTGGGAAAATGAGAGTTCAGGGTGGGGAACGGCCTCCAGGCCTCCCCCTGTACCACAAGGATGAGGGACTTCAATCCCTGGACCCTCAGTGATACCCTCTTGGCACTGGTGTGAGAACTCAGACCAGGGAGCTGCTGGACCAGCCCCCACCTCAGCTTCCAGCCTCAGGTTCCCGCACTGGTCTCCGGTGCAACCTCCTCCAGCCCCCTGCCCAGCAGTCTCCTTGGTCTCTGGCCCCGCCTGGCTCCTGACCCTGATATGTCCTTTCTCTGTGCCTGGCTCCGGCAGCAAGTGAAACTGGGCAGCCCTGACTATGTCAACCGCGACAGTGATGAGGCTACGGAGGACTTCATGAGGCGCATTGAGTGCTATGAGAACTCCTACGAGTCGCTAGATGAGGACCTGGATAGGTGAGTCAGGGCAGCGCCAGGCCCTGCAGCTGTGATGGTGGGCGGCAGGGGTCATACTTGGCTGCCTCCTATGGCTCCCCATGGTGGTGGCTGGAGGACCAAAAAGCAGAGATGGTCTGACCTTTCTTGTTTATTTCCTTGGGGCAGAAATGTTTGGTCAGAGGTGACTTGCAGAACACCGGTTACCTCATCCAAAACTCTGCGAGTCAGGATTTTATACTATTCCATCATGAAATCAAGCCGAATTTCTATGCAAGGGGTCTTAAAGCAGGGGTTGGCAAATATTTTCTGTCAAAGATCAGAGAGTAAATATTTTATTTAGACCTTGGAGGATGTACAGTCTCTGTTGCAGGCACTCACTCTGCTGTCACAGTACAAATGAAACATAGATGATATGTAAATCAATGGGCATAGCTGTGTTCCAGTAAAACTTGATAAAAACAGCCCACGGCTGAGTTCGACTGGCTGGCCACAGTTTACCAAATCCTGTCTTACAGAACACATGGGGCAGTGGCTGGGTAAATAATAATGTAGCCCTTGGTGAAGTATTACAGTCATCATTACAACTCGTCATTGTGGAGAGACATGGGAAAATATAATATTGCATTCAGTGAAAAGGCTGGAATACAAACTTGTGCTTAGGTTCTGTAATTCTATAAGATTGTGTAATACGGGCCGGGCAGAGTGGCTTATGCCTGTAATCCTAGCACTTTGGGAGGCTGAGGCGGGAGGATTGCATGAGCCTAGGATTTTGAGACCAGCCTGGGCAACATGGTGAAACCCCGTCTCTACAAAAAATACAAAAATTAGCCTGGTGTGGTGGCGCATGGCTGTAGTCCCAGCTACTCGGGAGGCTGAGGTGGGAGAATCACCTAAGCCCAGGGAGGTCAAGGCTGTAGTGAGTTGCAGTTGCACCACTGCATTCCAGCCTGGGTGACAGAGTGAGACCCTGTCTCAAAAAAAAAAAAAAAAAAAAAAAAAGGATGCACATGAACCAAGAAACACAAGCAACTCTGAGATGAATGCTTTTGGGGTGTGCATAGAGCAGGGTCCTCAGCTGGGTTCTAGAGCCAGCCCAGGCCGGGCCTGAGCTGAATGGCACCTGCCACCTGGGCCTCTCTATGGCTTTCATGGTCCCCCAGCACAGCATTTCTCTTCATGGTTCTGTGATGTGATCCATTTGTCTGGAGCGGCTTCTGTTGGATTTGTCAGTAAGCGTTGCTCTTGCTTTTATTGGTGGTGTCATCGTGACACCCCCAAACCAAGGTCCCAAGGTCCAGACAGTGAGAGCTCAACTGAGAATATCCAGAGGACTCTCAGCCTGAACCAGAGCCCACCCTGCACCCCCACACCCAGAGACTGATCAATGTGCTGTCCAAGCTGCAGTGCCACATAGGTCCAGAGTAGGGAAAGTGGCTGAGCTGGACTTATCGGCTGCCACCACCAGCACCATCCTCCTGTGCTTCCTGTCTCATCCACCAGCTGCCCAGGATGGGGTGTGGCAGCTGCTCAGCACACTTGGATGACCAGGACTGGGCTCTAGTGGGAGGAGGTCACTGGGGAAGGAAAGGCCAGGTCCTTGTACAGCTGACCAGGAAGAGTGAGGGCGTGGAGCGTTTGCCAGCTACTCCCAAGTCAACAACCCTCGGGAAAACTGTCTCTTGGTTCAACTTACAGACAGTGTATTGAGAGTGCGGAGATAGGCCAACAGGGGCCCCAGGGACACATGAGCAGCGGAGAAAGTCATGATGTGGTATGGCGGACCCCCCACTTTGGATGTCACCTTTGGGAAGCATGATGAGTGACGAGCACCTCCCATCTCCCGTCTCCCACAGGGTTTGCCTGTGCGTCACACGCACTGTGTTGCTCCCGCCTCACCCCCATCACTCGCACACCAGCTGACGGTCCTGAGGGTTGTAATCTCTGGTGGTTGGAAGTGCAAGGCCTCGCAGCTAGATTCCGTGGCTAGCCAGATGTGCTCTGTGAGAACCCTGGCCACGCTCACAGGCCTCTTTCTACTTTCTCTCTGGACAGGGACCTGTCCTATATCAAGATCATGGATGTGGGCCAGAGCTACGTGGTGAACCGTGTGGCTGACCACATCCAGAGCCGCATCGTATATTACCTCATGAACATCCACGTGACCCCCCGCTCCATCTACCTCTGCCGGCACGGGGAGAGCGAGCTCAACCTCAAGGGCCGGATTGGCGGGGACCCAGGACTGTCCCCTCGGGGCAGGGAGGTCAGTGCATGTGTCCCTGCGTGCGCACACGGGCCTGCATTTGTACCCTGCGTGGCTGGGTATATGCATGTGTGAGTGCGCTGGGGCTAGGCTCCCATTCTTTTAATGTGCAGTCGAGGTGAATGACCTTCATTCAACCTAGAATCTTCCCATCATGTAGGGAAGGTCATCAAGCAACAGGCAAATGCCTGGATCTCTGGTTTCCATGTGAGCTGTCACTCACTGAGCCCCTTTTGTCAGAGGCATGCCACCCTTAGAGCGACCTGAGTCCATACAGTGTAGCAGATAGCTGTGCCACAGTCCAGGGGAGACCTCAGTGGTCACGTAGCACAGGGCACCTGGTTGTGGGGAGGCAGTGGCCCTGATGAGTCTCAGCTGTAACTGTGCTGCTGTGCTCAGGGTCTGGGAGGGTGCACAGGAACAGCACTTGTGTTCTTGTGTGTCAGCATGTGTGTCATCGACAAGTTAGTTCATGCTTTTTACCAAACCTGTAGTGAGTGTTCAAGGCGAGGGTGATCTCATGGACCCTGCGGCTATGGGATGCTTTAAGGGCAGCCCAAGACCTGTGGGTCTGAGTTTGCTTATGATGTATTTCAGTTTGCCAAGAGTCTAGCCCAGTTCATCAGTGACCAAAATATCAAGGATCTGAAGGTCTGGACAAGCCAGATGAAGAGGACAATCCAGACGGCTGAGGCACTGGGTGTGCCCTATGAACAGTGGAAGGTCCTCAACGAGATCGATGCGGTAGTTACCGTCCCTCCCTCCCTGTCTACCTCCCAGATACCGCAGGGCTGCTGCATCATATTGTAACAACAGTGACCATTGCTCCCCTTGGGCAAAGGAGAGGAGAGAGAAAGGATACAGGAACCTAGGGGCTGGGAGCAGAGAGGAAAAGGCAGCCTAACAGGATGGGACCTTGGGTGAGCCCTAGACCATTCTCAGGAGTGAGCCTGGGAGTTGACACCTCAACCTCACTCTCCTCCCTCCCTGTGGCCTCCTGCTAGGGTTCCTCATGGTCTAGCTCAACAAGAAATCAGCGGCCACGGGAGCTTGGTAGCTGCAGTCAGCCATAGCCAACCTCCCAGGGATCTGGAGACACAAATGAGGTGAACCAGCACGGCCTTTGTCTCTTTAAAGATGCTGTTCTCGCCAGGTGCGGTGGCTCACCCTTGTAATCCCAGCACTTTGGGAGGCTGAGGCGGGCGGATCACCTCAAGTCAGGAGTTTGAGTCCAGCCTGGCCAACATGGTGAAACCCCATCTCTACTGAAAATACAAAAATTAGCCAGGCATGGTGGTGGGTACCTGTAATCCCACGTACTCGGGAGGCTGAGGCAGGAGAATTGCTTGAACCCAGGAGACAGAGGTTGCAGTGGGCTGAGATTGTGCCACTGCACTCCAGCCTGGGCAACAGAGTGATGTTCTGTCTCAAAAAAAAAAAAATGCTCTTCTGCTGACTTCTGGGTTGCATTGTTTCTAAGAGAAGTCTGTTG
The DNA here is from genome assembly GCF_000001405.40 of Homo sapiens. NCBI lineage: Eukaryota > Metazoa > Chordata > Mammalia > Primates > Hominidae > Homo > Homo sapiens. The sequence goes on along the minus strand of NC_000003.12, from coordinate 48,534,763 downwards.
TCATTCTCATCTTTGCTCTTCTGGATATAATGTTACCTCCTTTTTCTCTGACTGCCTTTAATATTTTCTTTTCTTCTTTTTTTTTTTTTTTTCAAGACAAGATCTTACTCTGTCACCCAAGCTGGAGTGCTGTGGTGCAATCATAGCTCACTGTAGCCTCAACTTCCTGGGCTCAAGCCATCCTCCCATCTCAACCTCCTGACTAGCTGGGACTACAGGCACTTGCCACCATGCCAGGCTAATCTTTTCTAATTTTTGTAGAGACGGAGTCTCATGATGTTGCCTAGGCTGGAATATTTTCTCTTTATTGCTGATTTTTAGCAATTTGATTATGATGTATCTCAGTATGGTTTTCTTTATGTTTATCATCCTTGGGGTTTATTGAGATTCTCGGATTTCTGGGTTTCTAAATATAAAATGTGAAGAATTGTTGGCCATCATTTCTTCAAAGGTATTTTCTGCCACCCCTTCTCCCATCCTGGACTCCCACTCTGTGTGTGTTAGACTGTTTGGTATCATCCCACAGGTCACTGAACTTCTGGTTTTTTAATTTCTTCTGTTCATTTCTTCTCTGTCTTTTTTTCCTTCCGAGCTTTAATTTAGATAGTTTCTACTGCTATGTCTTCAAATTCACTTATCTTTACTTCTGCATTTTTATTAAACCCATCCAGTGAACTTTTCATATCAGATGTGGTGTTTTGAAGCTCCAGGAATTTCATTTTGTTCCTTTTTTGAATCTTCCATTATTTCTTCATTATGCTTGGCTCTGCAGTCCAGGAAGTGCCTCTGGGCAGTAAGCTGCTGCCTCCTCCCCTCAGCTTGCTTCCCTTCTCTCAAGGATCACAGTCCTGCCTAGTCTCGTGTCTAAAAACAGTTGTTTGATTTGTCCCTTTATTTATTTATTTTTTTGAGACGGAGGTTTGCTCCTGTTGTCCAGGCTGGAGTGCAATGGCACGATCTCGGCTCACTGCCACCTTCGTCTCCCGGGTTCAAGCGATTCTTGTGCCTCAGCCTCCAGAGTAGCTGGGATTATAGGCACCCGCCACCACACCAACTAATTTTTGTATTTTTAGTAGAGACAGGGTTTCACCACGTTGGCCAGGCTGGTCTTGAATTCCTGACCTCAGGCAATCCACCCACCTCAACCTCCCAAAGTTCTAGGATTACAGGTGTCAGCCACAGCGCCCTGCCAATTTGTCCTTTTTTAATAATAGTTGTTTTTGTTGGGGCCAGAGCAAATCTGGTACCAGTTGCTCCATCATGGCTTGGTCTTTATTATGGGTGGTTCCCATTTCAATATGAAAAGCTTTTTCTGTGGATATATACTTTGACTAATTTGAATATTACCACCCCTGCTTTTGTTTTTCCATTTTTTTTTACTGTGGTAAAATATGCATAACATAAAATTTACCATCATAGCTGTTTTGAAGTGTACGTTTCAGGAGTATGAAGTACATTTACATTGTTATGCAACTCTCACCACCATGCATCTCCAGAACTCTTTTAATCTTGTAAAACAGAAACTCTGTACCCACTGAACAATAACTCAAGCCAGATGTGCTGGCTCACACCTATAGTCCCAGGTACTTGGGAGGCTGAGGTGGGAGGATTGCTTGAGCCCATGAGTTTGAGGCTGTGGTGTGCTATGATTTCATTCACGATTGGCCCTTGCACTCCAGCCTGGACAACATAGTGAGACCCCATCTCTAAAAAAATTTTAAAAAGAAAAACAATAACTCTATTTGCTACTCCCAGCCCCTGGCAACCACTTTCTGTCTTTATGACTTTGACTACTTTATATACCTCATATAAGTGAAATCATATAGTATTTGTCTTTTTGTAACTGGTTACTTTAGTTAGCATAATATCCTCAAGGTTCATCCATGTTGTAGCTTGTGCAAGAGTTTCCTTCCTGTTTATTTTTTAAGACAGCATCTCACTCTGTCACCCAGGCTACAGTGCAATGTGGAAATCACTGCAGCCTCAAACTCCTAGACTCAACGATTCTCTTGCCTCCCTAGTAGCTGGGACTAACAAGTGCACACCACCATGCCTAGATAATTTTTTTATTTTTTGTAGAGAAGGGAGGCTCACTATATTGCCCAGGTTGGTCTCAAACTCCTAGCCTCAAGCGATTCTACCACTTTGGCCTCTCAAAGTGCTAGGATTACAAATGTGAACCATCACACCCAGCCTTAAGAATTTTCTTCCTTTCTAAGGCAGAATAAGATTCTATTGTATACCACATTTCGTGTATCCATTCATCTGCCAATGGACACTTGGACAGCTTCCACTTTTTAGCTATTGTGGATAATGCAGCTGTGAACATGGATACAAATGTCTCTTTGAGACCCTGCTCTCAATTCAATTCTTTTTGGTATAGACCTAGAAGTGGAATTGCCAGATCCTATGGTAATTCTGTTTTTATTATTTATTTATTTATTTATTTATTTTGAAACGGAATCTCGCTCTGTCGCCCAGGCTGGAGGGCAGTGGCATGATCTCAGCTCACTGCAACCTCCACCTCCCTGGTTCAAGCAATTCCCCTGCCTCAGCCTCCTGAGTAGCTGGGATTACAGGCCCACACCACGATGCCTAGCTAATTTTTTTTGTATTTTTAGTAGAGACAGGGTTTCACCATGTTGGCCAGACTGGTCTCAAACTCCCAACCTCAGGCAATCCACCCGCCTCGGCCTCCCAGAGTGCTGGGATTACAGGCGTGAGCCACCGCACCCGGCCTCTGTTTTTATTTTTTTGAGGAACTGCTGTACTGTTTCCCATAGCAGCTGCATCATTTTACATTTCTACCAGAAGTACACACAGGTTCCAATTTCTCCACATCCTTGTCAACACTTGTTGTTTTCTTTTCTTTTCTTTTTTTAATAGTAGCCATCCTAATGGGTGTGGTATTGCATCTTGGTTTTGATTTGTTATTCCTGCTTTCTGTCCATATATTTTTTCTTTTTTTTAAGTGACAGGGTCTTGCTCTGTTGTCCTGGCTGGAGTGCAATGGCACCATCATGGCTCACTGCAGCCTTGACCTCCCAGGTTCAAGTAATCCTCCCATCTTAGCCTCCCGAGTAGCTAGGACTACAGGCACACATCACCATACCCAGCTAAATTTAAAAAAAAAATTTTTTTTTGGCCGGGTGCGGTGGCTCATGCCTGTAATCCAAGCACTTTGGGAGGCCAAGGTGGGCAGATCACCTGAGGTCAGGAGTTGGAGACCTGGGAGGCGGAGGTTGTGGTGAGCTGAGATCACGCCACTGCACTCCAGCCTGGGTAACAAGAGCAAAACTCCCTCTCAAAATTAAAAAAAAAAAAAAAAAATTTCTGCTTCCCGGGTTCAAGTGATTCTCTTGCCTCAGCCTCCCGAGTAGCTGGGATTACAGGAATGAGCCACCAAGCCCAGCTAATTTTGTATTTTTAGTAGAGACGGAGTTTCTCCATGTTGGTCAGGCTGGTCTTGAACTCCTGACCTCAGGTGATCCCACCTCGGCCTCCCAAATTGCTGGTATTACAGTCATGAGCCACTGCCCCTGTCCTAAATTTAAAAAATTTTTAGAGATGTGGTCTTGCTGTGTTGCCCAGGGTGGTCTTGAACTCCTGGGTTCGAGTGATCTCCTTCCTTGGCCTCCCAAAGTGCTGGGATTACAGGCATGAACCACCATGCCCAACCTGTCCATATTTTTTTATTATATTTTTTCCCTTTTATTTTTAACATTTTTGTATCATTTTCTTTAGAATAAAGAGCATAGGCCAGGCGCAGTGGCTCATGCCTGCAATCCCAGCACTTTGGGAGACTGAGGTGGGTGGATCACTTGACATCAGGAGTTTGAGACCAGCCTGTCCAAGATGGTGAAACCCTGTCTGTACTAAAAATGTAAAAAGTAGCTGAGCGTGGTGGCGCATGCCTGTAATCCCAGCTACGTGGGAGGCTGAAGCAGGAGAATTGCTTGAACCCAGGAGGAGGAGGTTGCAGTGAGCCAAGATATGTCACTACACTCCAGCCTGGGTGACAGAGCAAGACTCTGTCTCAAAAACAAAAGAAAAGAAAACAAAACAAAACAAAACAAAAGCATATACTTGCTTTGAGTTTTAGCCTAGCCCAAGAGCTTTTTTCATCAAGGCATCTGCAACCACTTAGGTTTATTATTATCATTACTGGTATGTTTGATCTTGTTTTCAATACCTTGGAATTTTCTCTTTATTCCAATTTTTCTGTGTAGATATGATCTTTTTTGTTATTTGAAAGGTAGGCAATGTTTTTATTCCAATAGTCTTTACCTTAAAGCTTTTCAAAGACATTCTCAGGCTGGATGCACATAATTGAAATATACTTAACAAAGCTCATACTGTCACAGGAAAATAATTTTTGACCTTCTGTTGGGAAAGATGATGTTGTATTATTGCCATTCATTTCCTTTTTGCTCTGTTTTTTCGATGTAATTGGGCAGAGTACAGCATCATGGTTTTATTTTATTTTATTTTTATTTATTTATTTATTTTTTGAGACCAAATCTCACTCTGTTTCCCAGGCTGGAGTGTAGTGGTGCAATCTCAGCTCACTGTAACCTCTACCTCCCGGGTTTAAGTGATTCTCGTGCCTCAGCCTCCCGAGTAGCTGGGACTACAGTTGTGAGACACCATGCCTGGCTAATTTTTGTATTTTTAGTAGAGACAGGGTTTCACCATGTTGGCCAGGCTGGTCTTGAACTCTTGACCTCAGGTGATCCACCCGCCTTGGCCTCCCAAAGTGCTGGGATTACAGGTATGAGCCACTATGCCTGGCCTATTTTATTTTATTTTTGAAACAGGGTCTGGCTCTGTCACCCAGGCTGGAGCGCAGTAGCACCATCTCAGCTCACTGCAACCTCCGCCTCCTGGACTCAAGCCATCTTCCCACCTCAGCCTCCTGAGTAGCTGGGACCACAGGTGTGCAACACTACGCCTGGCTAATTTTTGTATTTTCTGTAAAGATGGGGCTTCACCATATTGCCCAGGCTGGTTTCAAACTCCTGAACTCAAGTTGTGGTTTTATTTTTTATCTATTCTTTCTCTTCAGAATTGATAATCTCTTTCAAAAAAGTAAGCAATTTTTATAACTCATTTTGTAGCTCATTTAACCCATTTTGTGCTTGGTGGGGGTTATCCAGCCACTGATTTCTTTCTCACACAAACAGCAGCTACCTGAGGCAGGTTATAGGACAGTGTCTTCCCTCCAAATATATAGATTTGATGCTAACATTCAGTTTTGCAGAGAAGCCTGCAGCCACCCCAGTTTTTTTCCTTTGAAGTTAATCTGATTATTTTCCAAGATGCTTGTGGATTTCCTTCATCTTTCAAGTTTTGAAACTATTACAGTTTTTATGATCCATTAATCATCTTTCCATGTTTATCTTCTGATAAACAGCCTTGGGCTTGTCTTCTATTCCAACATTATGACTTTTTCTTAGTTTAATCCACAATTTATTGCCTTATAGTTCCTTTAAAAAAATGATAGCTTTATTGAGATATAATTCATATACCATAGAATTCACCCATTTAAAATATACAGTTCAGGCCATTTGTGGTGGCGCACACCTGTAATCCCAGCTACTCGGGGGGCTGAGGCAGGAGAATCACTTGAACCCAGGAGGTGGAGGTTGCAGTGAGCTGAGATCGTGCCATTACACTCCAGCCTTGGAGACAAGGCGAGACTCAGTCTCTAAAAAAATAAATAAATAAATAAATAAATAAATAAGTATACAGTTCAGTGGTTTTTAGTGTGTTCAGAGTTGTGCAACCATCACCACAATCAGTTTTAGAACATTTCATCACCCCAGATAGAAATCCTGTGCCCATCAACAGTCACTTCCCATTTCCCTCTAACCCTTCCTTCTGCCTTAAGCTACCACTAATGTTTTCAAGGTTTATTCGTGTAGCATGTAGCAGTATTTCATTCCTTTACATTGCCAAATAACATCCTATTATATAAATATACCACACATTATGTATCCATTCATCAGTTGATGGGCATTTGAGTTGTTGCCACTTTTGGGCTATGTGGATAATGCTGCTGTGAACATTCATGTCCAAGGTGTTTTCTATGTTTGTTTGTTTGAGACAGGGTCTTGCTTTGTTGCCCAGGCTGAGTGCAGTAGCACGATCTTAGCTCACTGCAGCCTCCATCTCCTGGGCTCAAGCAATCCTCCCACCTCTGTCTCCCAAGTAGCTGGGACTACAGGAACTCGCCACCACACCCAGCTAATTTTTGTATTTGTTTGTAGAGATGGGGTTTCATCATGTTGCCCAGGCTGGTCTCAAACTCCTGGGCTCAAGAGATCTACCTGCCTTGGCCTCCCAAAGTGCTGGGATTACAGACATGAGCCACCGCATCCGGCATAAGTTTTTGTGCGGACTTATATTTTTATTTCTCCTCACTGTACGCTAGGAGTAGAATTGCTGGGTCATATGGTAATTATACATTCAACCTTTTCAGAAACTGCCACACTGTTTCGCCATCTCACATTCCCTCCCGCAGTGTGTGAGGGCTCTGATTTCTCCACATACCCGCCTGCGCTTGTTACCATCAGTCTTGGTTGTAGCCGTCCAACATGGGAACTCAGTTTAGCCACATTCTCTGCCACTTTATAACATGGATTACCTTTTCTCTAGGGTCCAGGAAAAGGTACCTCATTTCCCCTTGTGGGCTCACAGAGGCACCTTTAATGTTCATATTTCTATCAACGTTCTTTTCATGATGATATATGTGCTCTTTACGATGGTGGAAGCTGGCCGGGCGTAGTGGCTCATGACTGTAATCCCAGCACTTTGGGAGGCCGAGATGGGCAGATCACATGAGGCCAGGAGTTCGAGACCAGCCTGGTCAACATGGCGAAACCCCGTCTCTACTAAAAATACAAAAAATTAGCCAGCCATGGTGGCCTGTGCCTGTAATCCCAGCTACTCAGGAGGCTGAGGCAGGAGAATTGTTTAAACATGGGAGGCAGAGGTTGCAGTGAGCTGAGATTGCACCACTGCACTCCAGCCTGGGCAACAGAGTGAGACCCTGTCTCAAAAAAAAAAAAAAAAAAAAAGATGATGGACGCTTTCTCTGTCATCCTCTTCACTTCCTTCTGTGCCTTCACCAGAATAATCTTTAATGTCTAAATTTCTACTAACAGTCTCTTCAAGACAGTCTAAGCTTTTTATCATGCACCACAAAATTCTTCCAGCCTCTACCCACTATCCCATTTCATAACCACTTCCACATTTTTAGTTCTTTATTACAGCAGCCAGCAGCACTTCACCTCCTGGTACCAAAATATGTGTTAGTATTCAAGTGTGGTGGCGCACACCTGTAGTCCCAGCTACTTGGGAGGCTGAGGTGGGAGGATCACCTGAGCCTGGGAAGTTTGAGGCTGCAGTGAGCCAAGATCACACCACTGGACTCCAGCCTGTGTGACAGAGTAAGACTGTCTCAAAAAAAAAAAAAAAACCACTAAATGTTAAAAAAAAAAAAAGTATTAGTTTACTAGGGCTGCCGTAACAAAGCACTACAGGTGAGTGGCTTAAAACAACATGAATTGATTCTCTCACAGTTCTGGAGGCTAGAAGTCTGAAATCAAGGCGTCAGCGGGGCCATGCTCCCTCTGAAGGTGCTAATAAAGAACGCTTCCTCACCTCTTCCTAGTTTCCAGTTGTTGCTGGTAATCCTTGGTATTTCTTGGCTCATAGCCTCATCACTCCAATCCCACCTCTGTCCACGGTCATCACATGGCTTTCTTCCCTATGTATGTCTGTCTGTGCCTTCACATGACATTCTTTTTTTTTTTTTTTTTGAGATGGAGTCTCGCTCTGTCACCCAGGCTGGAGTGCAGTGGCATGATCTCAGCTCCCTGCAATCTCTGCCTCCCGGGTTCAAGAGATTCTTCTGCCTCAGCCTCCCAAGTAGCTGGGACTACAGGCGTGAGCCACCACGCCTGGCTAATTTTTGTATTTTTTTAGTAGAGACGGGGTTTCACCATATTGGCCAGGCTGGTCTCAAACTCCTGACCTCATGATCCACCTGCCTCAGCCTCCCAAAGTGCTGGGATTACAGGCATGAGCCACTGTGCCCGGCCTACATGGCGTTCTTAAAAGGACACCAATGACTGGATTTAGGACCCACTCTAATCCAATATGTCCCCATCTTTTTTTTTTTTTTTTTGAGACAGAGTCTCATTCTCTTCCCCAGGCTGGAGTGCAGTGGCGTAATCTTGGCTCACTGCAATCTCCACCTCTTGGGTACATGCGATTCTCCTGCTTCAGCCTCCTGAGTAGCTGGGACTACAGGCGTGCGCCACCACGCCCAACTAATTTTTGTATTTTTAGTAGAGACGGGGATTCATCATGTTGACCATGCTGGCCTTGAACTCCTGATCTCAGGTGATCCACCTGCCTCAGCCTCCCAAAGTGCTGGGATTACAGGCTGTGAGCTGTGAGCCACCACGCCCAGCCAACTTTTCTTTTTTTTTCTTTTCTTTTGAGAGGGAGTCTCTCTCTGTTGCCCAGGCTGGAGTGCAGTGGCACAATCTCAGCCCACTGCAACCACTGCCTCCTCCACCATGTTGGCCAGGCTGGTCTTGAACTCCTGACCTCAAGTGATCCGCCTGCCTCAGCCTCCCAAAGTGCTGGGATTACAGGCGTGAGCCATCGCGCCCAGCCAGCTTTTTTTTTTTAATGGCATTTGTAGAAGATGATCTATGCTCTGTGTGTGTGTGTGTATCCCAAATAACACAAGTGAAGTTTTCCTTCATAGTTTGCATAACAACCTACACTCACAAGTACTATTTCCACAGCACAGAAAAGAAAAAACACATAGCATCTCTGTGTGTATTGGATGGGTGATGGATAGGTGGACAAGACCATCCTGGTAGCTTTTTACAAGCAAGGAACCACCAATGATCAGTGTTCCTAGAGGTCCTCCCCTCCTTAGACAGGTTTCTGTTCCCTTCACCCAGGAAATGCCCGTGAACTTGGTCTCTTCTGCTTGATGCTGCCTCACCCCACATGTCCCCAAGGCTCATCTTCTGGGCCTGTAGGAGGTGTGATGACTGTGGTATCTCCCTAGGGCGTCTGTGAGGAAATGACCTACGAGGAAATTCAGGATAATTATCCACTGGAGTTCGCCCTGCGGGACCAGGACAAGTACCGGTACCGGTACCCTAAAGGGGAGGTAGGTGGGATTTGGGGCTTAGTCCCAGCCACCTACTGCCCGCCTGGGAGTACCACCTGTGGCTGAGGGCCTGTGGGGCTCTGCAGGGGCTGCGTGGGTAGCAGAAGGGGCCTGGTCTCAGAGGCCTGCCAGCCTGGGTGTGTGGTTCATCTCCACCCCTTCCCAGCTATGCAGCCCAGGCCTTAGTCCCTTCCTCAGGTGTGGAGTGGGCAGTGCCATGTAGGGCAGGCCTTCAACCTGGAGACCTTTGGCTCCCTGCTCTCCATTCTTGTCTTTCCCCTTCCCAGGGGTGGAGAATTCGGAAGGGCAGGGCCTGAGGTGGGGGATCTGCGGAGTTAGGCTTTCCTGGGACCCCTGTAGACAGTGTGCGGTCCCCTGGCATTCCCAGGCCAGCTCCTTTCCCAGCGAGTTGTCAGCCCTTTCCGGGGCGCTCAAATGGCTGGGGAGTTGGGGAGACCATGGCAGGCCTGGGACTCGGGTCTCAGCTCACTCGAGTCCCTGTCTCGGGCCTCATCCTTCCTTTGGATGCTTCCTCTTGTCACAGGCTGAGCCCATCCTGTCCTTCCTGTGGCTCCAGGCACCACCCCCAGCCCTGGCACCAGACCCAGGGAGACCTTCCACACATGAGTTGGCTACCACAAGCCACTGCACTTGTCACCTTCTCTGACACAGTTCAGCCCAGGCCCCAGGTCAGAAACTGAGGGTCACCTTTGACTGAGGCATCTCCTTCCACTTCCAGGAGGTGGCCTGGGGCAGGGGCCAAATAAAAATACACCCCGTCAACACACATATGTACACATATATATACACATGTAGAAGCACCTCCACCCAGAAGCCAGGCTGACAGGTCTCTACACTGTACCATCCTCAGGATAGTATAGCTCTTGGGAACATTAATTATTCCCCACATTATGTTAGGCCAAGTTCAGATTTAGAACCAACCCAGATAACGGTCAGGAGAAACAAAGCAGCTGGCTGCTCAAACATGAGAATACAGTGAGGAGAATTGGTTGAGAAATTCATGTTACCAAAAGAACCGGTCTAGGATTTTCTCAGAACTACCAGGAACTGGCACAAATCAGCGTGTCATTTTTGCTTCCTAATCAAAGCTTGGGGCACGTTCAGTTCTGACTGCTGGAGGCCATTTTTGAAGGACCACTCATTGTGTGCAGAAGGATGAAACTGATGAAAATCTCTAAACCTGCCAGGTTGAGAGGCCCAGCAGGGGCCTAAACCGTACATCACGGCAGGCATAGGGGGAAGATACTGGGCAGGTAGACTGAGGATAGTTCCTGGGGACCCCAGCTGTTTCTGATGAGTCACACTCCAGAAAGTTCCAGGTCTTTGCTCTCTTCCCCTTCGCTCTTGTCAGTGCACTCTGTTTGCTGTGGGCTGGAAGCAGGCGAGGTCTTCTCCACCAGTCACATGAATTCTATAGCTGAGGATTCAGTGCAGAGCCCCATGGGTGGGCACTGAGGTGGACCCTGGGATGGAGCCTGAGGCCTAGCTCTGCGCTCTCAATCCTACCAGGACCTAGCCCTGAGGTGGGAAAGGTGGCCCCTTTCCTCAGCTGCCCACCCCCATGGCCTCAGAAGGCTAGGCTGGAGGAGGCCCAGCCACAGCTTCCCAGAATGGTGAGTAGCTGCAGGAGTGGAAGGTGGCCCAGTGTCCAGGATGTGTCTGTCCCTCCCCCGGAGCCAGGCCTGAGGGACCCCTCTCTGCTTGCCCTTGCAGTCCTACGAGGACCTGGTCCAGAGACTGGAGCCTGTCATCATGGAGCTGGAGAGGCAAGAGAATGTGCTGGTCATCTGCCACCAGGCTGTGATGCGCTGCCTGCTGGCCTACTTCCTCGACAAGGCAGCAGGTGTGGGCTGTGCCCCGGGGGAGGTGGGAAGGTTGTGTGAGAAGGTAGGCACTGTCACCAGGCATTTCTGGTGTGCTAGCCATCCCCCTCTGTGTCTACAGAACAGCTGCCCTACCTCAAGTGTCCGCTGCACACAGTCCTGAAGCTGACTCCTGTGGCATATGGTAAGGAAGCTTCCTGCACATTGACCATGGGTAGCCATGACCTTGGATCTCTGCACAGTTCCATGATTTTCTCCGAATTCCTTGAAAATTGTGTTAGGAGCCCATTCCTCCACCTACTACCCCACCACCTTTCCCAATTTGCTTTTTTTCTTTGAGACGGAGTCTCGCTTTGTCACCCAGGCTGGAGTGCAATGGCGTGATCTAGGCTCACTACAACCTCCACCTCCCGGGTTCAGATGATTCTCTTGCCTCTGCCTCCCGAGTAGCTAGGATTACAGGCGCCTGCCACCATGCCCAGCTAATTTTTGTATTTTTAGTAGAGACAGAGTGTCACCATGTTGTCAGGCTGGTCTCGAACTCCTGACCTTAGGTGATCTACCTGCCTCGGCCTCCCAAAGTGCTGGGATTACAGGCGTGAGCTACCATCATGAGCTACCATCTGCGGCCCTAATTTGCTTTTAAAAAGTTTGTTCTGGGGCTGGGTGCGGTGGCTCATGCCTGTAATCCCAGCACTTTGGGAGGCCGAGGTGGGTGGATCACGAGGTCAAGAGATAGAGACCCTCCTGGCTAACATGGTGAAACCCCATCTCTACTAAAAATACAAAAAAATTAGCTGGGCGTAGTGGCGGGCACCTGTAGTCCCAGCTACTTGGGAGGCTGAGGCAGGAGAATGGCATGAACCCGGGAGGCGGAACTTGCAGTGAGCCGAGATCGCACCACTGCACTCCAGCCTGGGCGACAGAGCGAGACCCTGTCTCAAAAAAAAAAAAAAAGTTTGTTGTGAAAAAGTTTATGTGGCCACAGAAGACCTCCCCAGTGACTTTGCTTAACCATTGCCTACCTGCATGAGGGGCTTTTCTACTGATTTTTCTGAACCCCCACAAGGCCCCTTGGTCCTCAGGGCCTGGACTTTATTCTGGGTGCAGGGCAGTGTGAGTCCCCACCCTGCCTCTTGCTATACCAGCAGAGACTTCAGGCAACTTCTTCATCTCTCAGGTCTTAGCTCTTCACCTTTAACACAGGTGCTCTTGGGGGAATGGCTGTGAAGCCCAGTGGCAGCTGATGTCACTCCAGTGTGTGACAATGGCCTCATCCCCCATTGCACTGTGCACCTGGCACACGGTTGACTGGGCCTTATATGGTAGAGTTGGAATGTGGGTGGTTTGGGGGCCCTGAAGACTTTGAGAGTCAGTAACCTCAACTTAGGCCTGCTGTTCCCCCGATCCCTCTCGGTCCTGGGGTTGGGGAGCCTGGGGCCTCTGTGTGGCCCTGTCTGGGCCGTCACATAGATATGCGTGGGTCTGACAGCGTGTCTCATCCTTCCTCCCGGGGCTCCCCAGAGCTGCCTAAAGTGGAAGAACTAGAGTGAGGCTGAGATGGCTGCTCCATTCCACACGCCCAGACCCCCCTCCAAGAGAAGTTTCTAGCATCTGCAGCTCAGCTGCCTTTCAGGAGTGGGGATGGATTTGCATCTTCCCTTTGGCAGGTTGTAAAGTGGAGTCCATATTCCTGAACGTGGCTGCTGTGAACACGCACCGGGACAGGCCTCAGGTAGCAATGGGGTCACTGCTGGGGTAGCGGGGTGTTCCTGATGTGGGGGTGTCCAGACTGCACATCCTCCAGGGCCAGGCCCAGCTGCGGCACCTGCCAGAGGGAGCTTGAGTCTTCTGCCAAGACTGTTGTCCCATCAGCAGGGCGGGGCCCTGGCTCTGGGTGGGGCCTGCATCAGGCCTTCCCAAGGCACCTGCCCTGGGGATGGGGAAATCCCTGACTCTGGGCCACCAGGCTCAGGAGTGCCTGAACTTGGGTGTGGTTGGAGCCCCAGGACTTGAGGAGCCACAGGGCTCCCAAGCAGCAACTTGGAGGTCTAAGTCAAGGGGGCCCTTGGGCTCAGTGAGAATGAGGCTGGAGGCTAAGAATGAGGCTTCTGGCCTTCTGAGGGCAGGTGGGCACTCTTCCCACTCCCCATCCCTGCAGCCGAGGCCTCATGAGCCCCTTTCCTAACCCCAGCACCTTTAAAAATTAAAATGGGATCATGTACTTTTGGGGAAAGGGCCATGCAGATACTGAAGGGGCCTCAGCATGGGGTGGAGACCTTGGTCCAGAAAAGCAGTCACCACCTGTGCTCCCCAAGTGCCTTGTGGAAGGTAGAAGCTCCTCAGAGTGTAGCTCAGAACCACTCTTAGTCCCATGTGGGGTCCCTCCACAATGTTGGCTCCCTCTCCCACTGGGGCCAAGGATAGGACCTACACTTCTGGGAGCCCCGGTCCCAGTTCCTGGAGGCCACTGCACGGAGAAGGCTCTTGGGCCTCAGTCATGCCTCTTGCCATCCATGATGGGGCCTGCTTGGGCTCTGGGTCCCTGCTGAGGATGCACGTCTTGGGCTGGACCAGGACATCTGGCCTTGGACCTCACAGCACAGGTGTGTAGATGTGTCCTGTCCCTTCCCAACACCACTGCCCCCAAGCAGGACCAGTTACCCTGCAGGCCTCTCTTCCCATTGCTCTGATAGTTCGTGCATGTCTTGGCCAAGTTCAGCCCAGGCCCAATTTGGTACCCACAAGTCACAGGGGAACGTACCTCCCAACGGGCATCCTTTGGGCCAAGGAAGGCCCAGATGGCACTGGGCCCCCAGCGCTGACAGAGTGATGGTAAGAGAGGCCCCTGGGTTGGCAGGGTGATGGTAAGAGAGGTCCCTGGGCCTGGCAGCCCTTGGGAGCTGACCCTACCAGTCCATCACCATAGTGTGGCTGGCGGTCATTCTGCCCACTATGGGTGGGTGCTTCTGAGAGGCAAACCGCTACTAACCCCAGGTTCCTGGATGGCTCCCTTCTGGCCCATCCATTGGGGCAGGCTGTGGTGGAAAAGGGGCGCCTCAGGAAGCCTGCCCAGCAGTAAGAATTATACCTGCCCCTACAATTCCAGGGGCCGGTCCTATGAGCCCAGGCTGTGGGCCATGGGGGCCATGTCTCTCTCCCTGAAGATCTGGGCATGTCATGTTGCATGGGGCAGCAGCTCAGGTCATCAGTGACCTGCTCCTGCAGGTGATGGTTCCGGGGCCCACAGCTGGGAGGAGGGGCCACCAGGCTCTGGGGCACATAAGACAGCCTCAGAGAGCTAAGGGAAGTTTCAGATTCCCTATTCCTCAGGCCTGAGACTCCCTGAGCCCGACAGGCCAAGGATGGGACTGAGCTCTGCAGTTTGGTGGGGTCCTTCTATAGCTGAGGGCTTCAGGAGGCCCTGTACCCCAGTTCTGAGGGGACAGACCAGGCTGCAGACCAGGAAATGCCCATAGGCTTCTGGGGCACCTCTGACACCTGCGTGCCAACACTTTAAACTAGGAAGGAGGCACCCCCAGGAGTTGAACCCCTTCCCTGCCCCACAGATGAGGATAAAATCCCCAAGCCAGGGGTTCCTCCTCAATTGACTCAGCCCTGAGATAGGAGGTGGGAGTGGCCTTGCTTTGGGTATTGCCTGACCTGGCTGCAGTGGAGCAGGAAACGAGGTGGCATCCTCCACCGCACCTTTGTTCTATTGTCCATCCACCCGCTATGTGGCACGAAGCTCTTGGCCATGTATTCTTAGGGAAGCTTGTGGTCTAGAGTCTTGCGGCTGTGGCTGCTACAGTGAGAATGTGAAGCCTGATGAACCACAGTGATGAGGACGGCAGACAGCAGGCATCTCATCTATTCCTGCCATGGAGTGAACGCTCTGTGTTTTTATTGTACAGAACGTGGACATCTCAAGACCTCCAGAGGAAGCCCTTGTCACGGTGCCTGCTCACCAGTGACCATGTTCATCCACTGTGACCACTAGGCAGGCACTGCTCTCTGCAGAGGGGGTCATTCCAGGCCCTCCAGTGTGTGTGATAGTCACCATGCCATGCAGGGATATTCTTGAAGCCACACATGGCTGGCGGAACCCAGAGCCCCCACCCCAGCCCACCTGGCTCTTTGTTGACAGTCGGCGACAAGGTTGTGCGTGGCTCCTGACCTGCTGCTAAGAGTCACTTGACCAGACTGCATCTGCATGGGCTGCGCGGAGGTTGCCCAGCCCCAGTTTCTTCCGGCGCAGCTCTTAGGTGTTCACTCTCGCCAGCTCAGTTGGCTTTGTGAAGTGTGAAACCCTACAATGTGAAAGGAAAGTGCTTGCTGTGATGTTCCTACTGTGGCCCAGCTGCCCAGCATGGACCTGGTGACTCTCCACAGGGCCTCTACCATCCTCTCTGTGGCCACTTCCTGAGCCAGAGGCCAGGTCTTCATGGGGCCCTGAGCTTCTGCTGCCTCTGGTGAGAGGGAGAGCCCTTCCCATCCTTACCCACCAGGAACTAGAGCCCCAACCACAGCAGATGCTTCCTGGGCAGCCACTGGCCAGGCCGTTGTATCCATGTCACCCTTAGTTGTGGGCATTCATGAAAGCAATGCGCTTGCTTCAGCACATTGGGATGCACAGAAACGTGAGGGCAGGGGGGCAGTTGTGGTCGCCCCTCCCCAGTTGTGCATGTACCCGGCTACTTAGGTATGCTTAGGGGAGCTGGTGGCCAGGGGTGCCCCTTCAGGCCTGCTCTCACAGTGAAACCACTTCAAGACAGGGCAGGAAGTTACCTTCCTGGTGCACACACCGAAGTGCTCGAGGGAGAGGCTGCCGCCCCCTCTCCCCTTCCCTGGCTGTGGACACTGGCAGCCAATGGGGAGGCGGCCTCTCCCCTGTTGCTGCCCGTGTCCACACAGGAATGTACACTGGTGGCAGAAACATGCATTTGCCATAAATAATTCAGAAACACTTGTATGGTCCTGTAAAACTTCTCTGGTGTTTGTTGACTTCTGCCTGTGGGTCTGAGGAAGGGAGAAGGCAGAACCCATAGGCAGTCCCTGGGCAAGGGAGGATTTTCCCGGCCGCAGCACAGCCTTCCATTCATGTGCACGTGAGTCTGGTGAAAATGGCCTTGTGAAGTCCAGTGTCTGTCATGCCCCTGAGTTCTTTTGGTCCCAGAGAGGCAGCCTGGGCAGTCTGTTTACAGCTGGCAAACAGACTGGCTGGCAAGTTGTGGGGCTGGGTCAGAAAGTGTCTGGACTTGTAATCGGGTGCCCTGCTGTCCACAGGTGGACTCTGGGGAAGCCAGGCCCCTGGATCCCAAGTCCTTTGTGTCCGGAGCCTTTCCTGGCCTGTGCCTGGAGGGTAGCACATCTTTCCAGCCTCCCAGGGCTTTGCAGCCTGCAGATGCCACCTGTCCCTGAGAGAAGTTAGCGTCCCTGGCCCTGGCCGGTGGTCTCTCATCCTTGTGTGCTGCTCTGCTAAGAGATGTCCAAGGCGGAGCCGGGGCAAGATCCTTCCAGACTCATCTGTCAGAGCCCCAAGCCCTTTAGACCCAGAGCCCAAGGACCATGCCTTTGGGACATTAGGACTGCAGCCTTTGCTTCTGTGTATTTTGGAGTTTTGGTGACTTTTGTCACCTGGACACACTCATTTGTTAGCCATAGTGGGTTCCCTTGGTCAGCAACAGTGCATGTACCTCTGGATGTCATCTGAGGTGAGACCACCGAGGCCTTTTCTCTCTGTGTACAGAGGGGAGTTAGGAGTTGCTGGACTGGATGCATTACGAGGACTGGGGACAGGGTAGAGGGACATCCAGGGATCAGGGCATGAGTGGGGGCAACCCCCCGGCCTCTGCCCTGGCATGGTCTCCGCATGGGCTGAGGTGTAGCTGATTGGCTGCCACATTTCGGCCATGCTGGCTGGCGTGCCCATGTTGCAGATATTTTCCCGAGTTCCCCAGAATGGATGGTATTGAATCTCAGCCACATGCAACACTGTGTCCAGCATTCTTTGCAATAAATACTTTTTAAAAAATAATCTCAGGTTGTATTTGGTAGCCAGTTCTCCATTTCTGAAGTGTTTTTTTTCTGGCCTGCTCTGTCGACACCTGGTGCTGTGGTCTTCCTCGCAGGTCTGTGTTGGGATCCTTCGTTCAGCTTCCACCCCCATGTTCACTCTCACTGAAGAGGAATTATGCTGCCCTGGAGTGAGTCCTGGCCTGGCATACATGGGCAGGCGGCCTGGGTCTTCCCTGGGCTGACCTGGGGTATGGGGCCCTTGGCCCTGAACATGAGGCAGATGTGGAGGGGGCAGTGCAGCTGGAGTGGAGCACTGTTAAGGGAAGGATTCTGGGGTCCCTGGGAATGTGGGCTCCAAATGCGGCATTCTTGGGGAGGAGGCCCCGGGAGCTGGGTCAAGGATGTAGTGGCTGCGTGAGGCTGTGGTGACAGTATGCTGACCAGTGTTTTGGTATTTTCTTTTTCTTTTTTTATTTTTATTTTTTGGAGACGGAGTTTCACTCTTGTTGGCCAGGCTGGAGTGCAATGGCACGATCTTGGCTCACCACGACCTCCGCCTCGGGTTCAAGCAATTCTCCTGCCTCAGCCTCCCCGAGCAGCTGGGATTACAGGCATGCACCATCATACCCAGCTAGTTTTTATATTTTTAGTGGAGACAGGGTTTTTCCATGTTGGTCAGGCTTGTCTTGAACTCCCAACCTTAGGTGATGCACCCGCCTTGGCCTCCCAAAGTGCTGGGATTACAGGCGTGAACCACTGCACCCGGCCTATTCTGGTATTGTCTTTGTCACCTGCAT
Source organism: Homo sapiens (assembly GCF_000001405.40). Lineage (NCBI taxonomy): Eukaryota > Metazoa > Chordata > Mammalia > Primates > Hominidae > Homo > Homo sapiens. Next base: position 48,516,905 of record NC_000003.12, on the reverse strand, counting down.
CTGGGGTCGGGAAGGTGGAGACAAGGGGCTGGGTGTTCTCTTTCCCATGCCTCAGAACATCATGGGCTGTCCATACTTCCTGCCCTGGAGCTGGCTTTCCGGGAAGTGGGTTGTAGGCGGGGCTCCTCTGTGGGCAAGATGGGGCAGGGCATTGCCGGGTGTTCGCCTGTGCTCCTCCCAGTGTGTCAGGGCAGAGGATGGCTGTCGCTGGGCTGCTTCTGGGTGGTTTGGGGTGGCCAGCAGCTATGTTTCTGCCTTCTCCAACTATGCCAAGGTGTCTGAGGGAGAGGCAACTTTGCAGGATTCAGGTGGTGACTAACCTCTGCCTGGTGAGAGCCTGGGGGACAGCTTCGGGGGTCCTCACCTGTCTCTTGGCTCTGAGTTCCTAGGGTGGACACCTGACTCCCTTTGAGGCTTCTCAGCACTTTTGGAAGAAGGTTTTGAAGATTTTAGTAGAAAACAATAAAAGGAATGAAATATAACAATATCAGAGTTTTTCTTCAGGTCCAGTGTTGTACCATAACCTAGAAAGGGCAATTATATTATTATGTTGAGTAGCATTTTGGGTTACTGGGAAATAATAGCCATCATATAGGGTCACAGGATATTTGTTTTTTATTTTATTTTATTTTTTTGAGACGGAGTTTCACTCTTGTTGCCCAGGCTGGAGTGCAATGGCGTGATCTCCGCTCACTGCAACCTGCCCCTCCTGAGTTCAAGCAATTCTCCTACCTCAGCCTCCCAAGTAGCTGGGATTACAGGCATGCGCCACCATGCCCAGCTAATTTTGTATTTTTAGTAGAGATGGGGTTTCTTCATGTTGTTCAGGCTTGTCTAGAACTCCTGACCTCAGGTGATCTGCCCGCCTTGGCCGCCCAAAGTGCTGTGATTACAGGCGTGAGCCACTGCACCTGGCTATTTTCATTTTTTCTTACACCAATAAGAATGAGCTTGAAAGGATCAGATAATATTTGGATAGAATCAAATATTGTTGCAAAGACATAGGTAGGTTTCAGCAATATTGGATTTATATCTAAAAATATATATATAATACTTCTTACTTGCAGAGAAGAGTGTTGCCATATTTGGTTTAGACTGATCATTACTGGGTACATTATTGTTTAAACGAAACTATTTTATCTTATTTTTGTAAAAACGGGGTCTTGCACCGAACACAGTAGTTCACACCTGTAATCCCAGTGCTTTAAGAGGCCGAGGTGGGAGAGTTGTGTGAGCCCAGGAGTTTGAGACCAGCCTGGGGAGCATAATGAGACCCTATCTCTACAAAAAAAATTTTCAAATGACTAAGTGTGGTGGCACGTGTCTACAGTCCTAGCTACTTGGGAGGCTGAGACAAGAGAATACTTGAGCCCAGAAGTTGGAGGTTGCAGTGAGCCGGGGTCAGGCCACTGCAACCTGGGCGACAAAATAAGACCCTCTCTCAAAGGCAAAAACAAAAACAGGATCTTGCTCTGTAGCTCTGGCTGGTTATGAACTCATGACCAAGCGATCCTCCTGCCTCAGCCTCCTGAGTAGCTGGGATTACAAGCACGTACCACTGTATTGGCAAAACTATTTTATTAAAAGTGAAAAATGAGGTGGGGTACAGCGGCTCATGGCTGTAATCATTTGAGATTAGCCTGGGCAGCATAATGAGACCTTGTCTCTACAAAAAGATCAAAAACTTAGCTGGGCATGGTGGTGCGTGCCTGTAATCCCAGCTACTCAGGAGTCTGAGGGGGGGAGGACCGCTTGAGCCCAGTAAGTTGAGGCTGCAGTGAGCTATGATTTTGCCACTGCACTCCAGCATGAGTGACAGAGCGAGACTCTGTCTCAAAAAACAGAAAAGTGAAAAATGGCTTTGTGGTAGACCACAAGTATATCTGCCACACCTGGCTTGTGGCCACAGGTCTCTTTGGGGAGATTGTGAGGAAAATGCCAGGATGAATCTGTGCTGTTTTTACAGGGCCCTCCTTAAGGGTGCATGCCCCACCTCGTTCAGGGGCCCCTGAGTTTGCAAACTGATTTTTATCTAGAAAATTGGTGAGGGTTTCCTCTCTGTTGCAGTAGAGTCTCTGTCAGTTGGACCTCACACTCTCTTGTTATATAGGTGGGACTCTACTGGCCTCTCCATCTATTTTGGTACTAGGGGTCTGGTGATCGGGTCCCTATTGCTAAAGATTCCTGCAGGTTGCTAAAGATCCCTCCAGGTCTGACCATTCAGATAACCTGTAAATCCTGCATTCCCAGTCTGTGCTCCTCTCTCTCCTCTGGCAGCTCAACACTGCTGCTTGACCCTTGTCACCCCAGACTCCTTGTATCTGCATTGAAATCAAGGAGCTGGCTTGGTGCGGTGGCTCACGCCTGTAATCTCAGCACTTTGGGAGGCTGAGGTGGGTGGATCATTTGAGGTCAGGAGTTTGAGACCAGCCTAGCCAACACGGTGAAACCCTGTCTCTACTAAAAATACAAAAAAATTATCTGGGCCTGGTGGTGCATGCCTATAATCCTAGCTACTGGTGGAGGCTGAGGCAGGAGAATTGCTTGAACCCGGGAGGTGGAGGTTGCGGTGAGCCAAGATCGCGCCATTGCACTCCAGCCTGGGTGACAGAGTGAGACTCCGCCTCAAAAAAAAAAAAGCAATCAAGGAGCCATTTCAACTCTAGTGTCTCCCACTAGAATCCCTAACCTATGGAGAAGAGTCTAGAACCCCTAACCTATGGAGAAGAGTCTAGAACCCCTAACCTATGGAGAAGAGTGACCATGGTGCTTACTATGCACCCCCCACCAATTTATATGTTGAAGTTCTAACCCCTAGTACTTCAGAATGTGACCTTATGTGGAAATAAGGTCATTGCAGATGTAATAAGTTAAGACAAAGTTAGACTGCAGTAGGATGGCCCCTAATCTAATATAACCTAGTGTCTTCAGAGAGAACATTGGCCTGCGAACACCCTGATCTCAGACTTCTAACCCCTGGAACTGTGAAACAATACATTTTCTGTTGTTTTAGACACTCAATTTGTGGGACTTTGTCATGGTAGCCATAGCAAACTAAAACTAAAACTTTTTAAAGATGCACCCCTCAGCAATGAATTTCCCAAGGCTTTGGGGAAAGGAGTATCTTCTGAATCTTCAATCCCTTCAATCCAGGAGATTGGTTAGGGAAAAGATGAGTTGTCCATGACAAATTCAGTCCAACATTTATTCATTTATATATTTATGTATGTATTTATTATTATTATTATTATTATTATTATTATTATTTTTTTTTTTTTTGAGATGGAGTTTCACTCTTGTTTCCCCTTGGCTCACCACAACCTCCGCCTCCCAGGTTCAAGTGATTCTCCTGTCTCAGCCTCCTGAGTAGCTGGGATTACAGGTGCGTGCCACCACACCTGGCTAATTTTTGTATTTTTAGTAGAGACAGGGTTTCATCATATTGGTCAGGCTGGTCTCGAACTCCTAACATCAGGTGATCCACCCACCTCAGCCTCCCAAAGTGCTGGGATTACAGGCATGAGCCACTGCACCCAGCCTGTGTGTATTTATTTTTTGAGATGGAGTCTTGCTCTCCTGAGTAGCTGGGATTACAGGCACCCGCCATCATGCCCAGCTACTTTTTGTATTTTTGTAGGGATGGGGTTTCACCATGTTGGCCAGTCTGATCTTGAACTCCTGACCTCAGGTGATCCACCTGCTTCGGCCTCCCAAAATGCTGGGATTACAGGCGCGGGCCACCGCGCCCGGCCTCAACATTTATTTTGAATGAATAAAAATAAATACATCTTCTTAAGGCTTTGGATTCTTTCCTCTGTGTTATATCAGGGAACTTTTGGCACCTTAACTGCATTGAGTGGGATCCAGTTTTGTTGTGGAGTCTCGCTCTGTCGCCTAGGCTGGAGTGCAGTGGAGCAATCTCGGCTCACTGCAAGCTCCGCCTCCCGGGTTCACGCCATGCTCTTGCCTCAGCCTCTGGAGTAGCTGGGACTACAGTCGCCCGCCACCACACCTGGCTAATTTTTTTGTGTTTTTAGTAGAGACGGGATTTCACTGTGTTAGCCAGGATGGTCTCGATCTCCTGACCTCGTGATCCGCCCGCCTCGGCCTCCCAAAGTGCTGGGATTACAGGAGTGAGCCACCGCGCCCGGCTGGGATCCAGTTTTTATTCAGCCAACCAAATAGACGTGTGGAACAACCCCCAACAGCTTGAGCTGGTGCATGGAATCCAAATCCTTGCTAAGTGCACCCATATTGATAAATTCAGCCCAATATAAACTTATGTTCTTATCTCCTTGGTCTAGGACTTCAGTCTGTTCCCACACATATTCTCTATATTTTGGCCAACATAAAATAACAGTCTTGCAACTCTTTTGATATGTGAGCCTCCTGCTCTGGGCTTGACTTTGTGAAAGGGTCTCCAGACATGCTGAAATATCTCTCTAGTTAAAAGCTCTGGAAATCATAAGGAATTGGGAGGAGGGGCCATGAGAAGAGTTAGCTTCCTCTTACAGGGTAACTCCTTCATGATGTCCATGGTGTCTTTCAGGGGAGGACACATTGCTTCAGCAGGCAAAGGAGGTGCAGAAGAGGCTAGGGGTTGGTGGGGATCTAATTCCTCTGAATTCTTTCATGTATCTTCATTCCACTTCAGTCATTAATTTCATACTTGTGGGGGTTCTTTGCATTTTTTGTGTTTGTTTTTGAGAGAGTTACATTCTGTTCCCCAGGCCAGAGTGCAGTGATGTGATCTCAGCTTACTGCAGCCTCAACCTCCTGGGTTCAGGTGATCCTCCCACCTCAGCCTCCCTGGTAGCTGGACTACAGGTGCACACCACCACAACCAGCTAATTTTTTTTTCTTTTTGTAGAGGTGGGGTTTTGCCATGTTGCCCAGGCTGGTCACGAACTCCTCGGTGGAAACAATCTGCCCACCTCAGCCTCCCAAAGTGTTGGGATTACAGTTGTGAGCCACTGCACCCCGCCTGTTTTTTTTTTTTTTTTTTTTTTTTTATTTAAAATATTGTTTTTGTAGCGATGGGGGTCTCACTTTGTTGCCCAGGCTGGCCTCAAACCCACGGCCTCAAGTGATCCTCCCACCTTGGCCTCACAAAGTACTCAGAATACAGGCATAAGCCACAATGCCTAGCTGATTCAGCACATTTATTAAGTGCCCACCATGTGCCAAGCAGTGGGGATACAGGAGTAAGCACTACCCTGCTGTCAGAGAGAGAATGTTCTAGTGGTAGGAGATACAGTAAGCAAATAAGTAAAACACAGAGTATATAGGGTGCTGGGATGGAGGGAACGGGCATGGGAGGGGGTTGCAAGCAGGCCTCACTGAGAAGGTGACCAAAGGCTGAAGGAGGCCATGGAGCATCCCATAGCCAATGCAAAGGCTCTGAGTGTGGCTATGCCCAGTCAAAAAACACAGAAGAGGCTGGTGGGGCTGGAGAAGAGAGACGAGGAGGAGGAAGACCAGGTCAGAGAGGTCATGGGATACAGAATATGTGGGGCCTTGGAAATGGGGGGCCCGGGAAAGGGTTTTGAGCAGAGTGACTTGATCTGATAAACGTTTAAAAAGAACTCCTCTGGCTGCTGCAGAATCAAGACTCGATCTGAAATGGGGCTGAGTGGAAGCCAGGTCACTTATCTGGAGGCTGCTGCAATGTGAGAGACAATGAGCTCCTGATGGAGCTGCCGAGAAGTGGTTGGATTCTGCATATACTTTTCAGGTAGAGCCAAGTTTGGCTGACGATTTGGATGAAGGCATGTGAGAGAGAGATAATCCCAAGGTCTGGAGTTGCCACTTATGGACATGTGGAAGCCCGTGGGGGAAGCAAGCTGTGGATTGGGGTTGGCAGTTGAAGGTGGGTTCAAAATGTAATGCCCGGTCCAGCACAGTAGTCAGGTCTGTAATCCCAGCATTTTGGGAGGCTGAGGCGGGTGGATCACCTGAGGTCAGGAGTTCGAGACCAGCCTGACCAATATGGTGAAACCCCATCTCTACTAAAAATACAAAAATTAGTTGGGCATGATGGCGTGTGCCTGTAGTCCCAGCTATTTGGGAGGCTGAGGCAGGAGAATCACTTGAACCCCAGGAGGCGGAGGTTGCAGTGAGCCAAGATCACACCACTGCACTCCAGCCTGGGCAGCAGAGTGAGACTCCATCTCAAAAAAAAAAAAAAAAAAAAAAAAAAAAGTGCAGCTTGAGAAGCAGCAGTGTGAGGAGTGTGTGATGGAAGCGGGAGTGTCCCACCCTGTCACTGAAGCTGGAGGGTCAGGGAAGGTAGACAGAGAACTGACCACTGGATGTAGACATGCGTGTGGGCTCCAGTTTCCCAGGGGCATGCTTTGTCCTGATCAGTGCCTAACTTTCACAGGAAAAACTGAGTGAGCCTGGTCAACAATGAAAGGAAAATAACGACTGGGCGCGGTGGCTCACGCCTGTAATCCCAGCACTTTGAGAGGCTGAGGTGGGCGGATCGCAAGGTCAGGAGTTTGAGACCAGCCTGACCAACATGGTGAAACCCTGTCTCTACTAAAAATACAAAAATTAGCTGGGCGTGGTGGTTCGTGCCTGTAATCCCAGCTACTCAGAAGGCTGAGGCAGAAGAATAGCTTGAACCCAGGAGGCGGAGGTTGCAGTTAGCCGAGATCGTGCCACTGCACTCCAGCCTGGCGACAGAGTGAGACTCCGTCTCAAAAAACAAAAAACAAAAAACAAAAAACAAAAAAAAAGAAAAAGACTGAGTGAGGCTGTGATTCAACCAGTATTTTAATCTGGAACACACAGAATCAGCCCTTGGGTTAGATATTGAGCCATCTCAGCCCCATGGCTGCAAGAGGCTCATTTTAGCAGAGTTGAAAAAGTTTTCAGTTTGTGCCTTGTTGCAAGCAGCTAACAACTTGACCTCATCATGCCATTCTCTTTCTTTAAGCTGTTTGGTGCCATTAGAAGCAACCACCACTCATTGTAATTTTCTCTTTTAACAAGCCAAATGAAGCTATGCACAGGGCAAGGTATGAGGGGAGGGGGCACAGAGCTTCCATGTCGTCTCCGAGCACACCAATCTTCCCTGCACCTCAATGTGTTCTCCAACCCAGAAGCTCCCAAACCCCACTATTTAATGATTTTTATGGAGGTTTCATTACAAAGGCATGGTTGATTAAATCATTGGCTATTGGTGATTGAACTCAATCTCTAGCCTCCCTCCGTTCCCCAGAGTTTGGGAGATGTGACTCAAAGTTCCAAAACTCTTATCCTTATTTGGTCTTTCTCTTTCTTTTCTTTTCTTTTCTTTTCTTTTTTTTTTTTTTTTTGGAGACAGAGTTTCACTCTTGTTGCCCAGGCTGGAGTGCAATGGTGCGATCTTGCCTCACCGCAACCTCCGCCTCCCGGGTTCAGGTGATTCTCCTGCCTCAGCCTCCGGAGTAGCTGGGATTACAGGCATGCACCTCCACGCCTGGCTAATTTTTTGCATTTTTAGTAGAGATAGGATTTCTCCATGGCTTGTCTTGAACTGCCAACCTCAGGTGACCCGCCTGCCTCTGCCTCCCAAAGTGCTGGGATTACAGGCGTGAGCCACTGGGCCTGGCAACTTATTTGGTCTTTCAGGCCAATATCGTGAAGCTATCTAGTGGCCCTCTGCTAGGAGTCATCTCATTTGCATCAGAAGGATGGTAAATTCTAAGGGGTTAAGGAGTTCTGTGTGAGGAATGGAGAACTAAAACTAAATATTTAGTTTTTTATCATGCAACACCACCAGCAGTGACTTTACCAGCTCGGTCTCCTCTGCCTGCCACAAGTTGCCAGAGCCCTTTCCTTCCTCAGGCCTGGACTTCCACTGCTTTTAGCTCCAACCAGGCAGATGACAAGTCGGACACCCCCATTTCCCTGGGCATCTGCTACCATTCCTGATGGGGACTAATTTTTTAAAAAAAATTATTTATTTTTTATTTCTCTCTTTCTCTCTGTCTCCCCTTTTTTTATTTTTTTATTTTTTGACAGAGTCTTACTCTGTTACCCAGGCTGGAGTGCAGTGGCACGATCTTGGCTCACTGCAACCTCCACCTCCCAGATTCAGGTGATTCTCATGCCTCAGCCTCCCCAGTAGCTGGGATTACAGGCATGCACCACCACACCCAGCTAATTTTTGTATTTTTAGTAGAGACGGGGTTTCGCCATGTTGGCTAGACTGGTCTGGAACTCCTGACCTCAAGTGATCTGTCCGTTTCAGCCCCCCAAAGTGCTGGGATTACAGGCGTGAGTCACAACGCCCAGCCTAGTTTTCTCTTTTTTTTTTTTTTTTTTTGAAGCAGTCTCGCTCTGTTACCCAGGCTGGAGTGCAGTGGTGCGATCTCGGCTCACTGCAACCTCCGCCTCCTTGGTTCAAGTGATTCTCCCACCTCAGCCTCCTGAGCAGCTGGGATTATAGGTGCACGCCACCACGCCTGGCTAATTTTTTTTGTATGTTTAGTAGAGATGGAGTTTCGCCATGTTGGCCAGGCTAGTCTTGAACTCCTGACCTCAGGTTATCCACCCGCCTCGGCCTCCCAAAGTGCTGGGATTACAGGCTTGAGCCACCTTGTCCAGATGTTTTCTTTTTTTTTTTAGGTTTTTTTTTTTTGAGACAGAGTCTTGCTCTGTTGCCCAGTCTGGAGTGCAGTAGTGCAATCTTAGCTCACTGTAACCTCTGCCTCCTGGGCTCAAGCAATCCTCCCTTGTAGCTGGGAATACAGGCACGCATCACCATGCCCAGCTAATTTTTGTATTTTTTGTAGAGACGGGGTTTTGTCATGTTGCCCAGGCTAGTCTCAAACTCCGCGCTCAAGAGGTATCTGCCTACCTCTGCCTCCCAAAGTGCTGGTATTACAGGCATGAGTCACCACGGTGCCCGGCCCTGGTGAGAACTTCTCTGTCAGTTGGAGGAAACTGACTCTGCCCAACTTAATCAGAAACCCAATTTATGAAAAGCAACTGTGGAGCCCTCAGAGCCAACAAGGCGGCTGGAAAGAAAGGTTCCAAGTCGAAGCAGTATCGTCTCCAGCCCAAACCACAGTGCTACTTTGGCCTGGTGAGCATGCCACTGCTCCTGCCACGAGGGGGAAGCAGGGGCCTTTGTGACTCACACAGCCCTCCCCACAGGTGCAGACTCATGTTTCTGCCAGGACTGCTGCAGCCCTCCATCAAAGCTGGTGGCCAGTACCCCTGACTGACTCCAGGGAGGCTACATCTGATTGGTTGGGGCTGGGCAAAAGCTCTTGCCCTGGGGCAAAGGAATCTGAAAAAGATAATATCTAGCGTGTTCCTCCTCTGATGTGGAGGAAAGGGGACCAGGTGCTGAATGAAGAAGAATGGCAAGGATCCTTGAGCAAGCGTTCCACTGTAGAACTCACCGATCTGGTCCTGCAGTCAGTCCTGGGGCTGGGCTGATGGCCTCATTCTCACCTGGTTACTCTCACCCTGGGCTTTACAAGCATCAGTGGGTGTTGCTTTGCTCCACCAGCCTGATGCAGAGTTCTCACCTACAAACTGTAACCAAGGTCCCAGCAGAACACAGTCATTCTTAACAAACTGGGTATTTGAGGAGAGTTTGATAAAAGTGCTGTTGCACTTTGGGAGGCTGAGGCGGGCAGATTGCTTGAGCCCAGGAGTTCGAGACCAGCCTGGGAAACATGGCAAAAACCCTACTTCTACAAAAAATACAAAAATTAGCTGGGCGTGGTGGTGTGCATCTGTGGTCCCAGTTACTCCAAAGGTTGAGGTGGGAGGATCACCCCAGTTTCCTGGGGAAATTGGGGCCGCAGTGAGCCGTGACTGCACTCCAGCCTGGGTGACAGTGAGACCTTGTCTCAAAAAAAAAAAAAAAAATTGCTGTTTACAGAGCTGTAGGAAGGTTTGGGGAGCCACCTAGCTTTGGTACAGCATCTGGGCCAAGTCCTAGCCTTGGTACAGCATCTGGGCCAAGTTTGGTTTCTGCCTTGGAGGGGTCACTTTCCCCAGGCAACTTGTATTTCCAGGCTTTGCAAGCCTGAGCTGCAGAGACAAAACTCCTCAGACACCGAGTTAAAGAAGGAAGGGGTTTATTTGGCCGGGGGCATCGGCAAGACTCCTGTCTCAAGAGCAGAGTCCCCCGAGTGAGCAATTCCTGTCCCTTTTAAGAGGGTGCTCGTGAGAGGGTCGTGATCGATTGAGCAAGCAGGGGGTACGTGACTGGGGGCTGCATGCACCAGTAATTAGGTCAGAACAAAACAGGATAGGGATTTTCACAGTGCTTTTCTATACAATGTCTGTAATCTATAGATAACATAACTGATTAGGTCAGGGGTCGATCTTTAACTACCAGACCCAGGGTGTGGCGCCGGGCTGTCTGCTTGTGGATTTCATTTCTGCCTTTTAGTTTTTACTTTTTCTTTCTTTGGAGGCAGAAATGGGGCATAAGACAATATGAGGGGTGGTCTCCTCCCTTAGACCCACAGAAAATGCCTGCACACATGGGCACATGCCTGTGAGATGCATGGTTGCGATTTCCAAGCCACTGGGGTGATCCTAGCCTCCACTCACTCCTGCCCATGCACAGCCCTGGGTGGAGCCCAAAACACCCACCAAGCTCAACCATGAGCTGTGGGCAGATAAGAGGGTATGGGAGAGCCAAAGACCAAAAAAGTAGGGAGGAAGAGGCCAGGTGAGAGGCCCCTAAAGGATCTGGGGTTGGGGGCAGCAGAGTAGAGAAGCCAAAGGCAAGCATAGGAGGTGGGAAAGGACAATTCTTTTTTTTTTCATTTTTTTTTTTCGAGATGGAGTCTTGCTCTGTCACCCAGGTTGGAGTGCAATGGCGCGATCTTGGCTCACCACAACCTCTGCCTCCCGAGTTCAAGCGATTCTCCTGCCTCAGCCTCCTGAGTGGCTGGTATTACAGGCATGCACCACCACACCTGGCTAATTTTGTATTTTTAGTAGAGACGGGGCTCTACTGAACATGGAGATGTTGGTCCATGTCTATCCAACATGGAGATGTTGGTCAGGCTGGTCTCAAACTCCCAACCTCAGGTGATCTGCCTGCCTCTGCCTCCCAAAGTGCTGGGATTACAGGTGTGAGCCACTGCACCAGGCCTTGTTTTTCTATTTTTGAGACAGGGTCTTGCTCTGTTGCCCAGACTGGAGTGCAGTGGCACAATCATAACTGCAACCTTCATCTCCTGGGCTCAAATGATCCTCCCACCTCAGCCTCCCAAGTAGCTGAGACCACAGGTGCTTGCTACCATACCCAGCTAATTTTAAAATTTTCTGTAGATATGGGGTCTCCTTATGTTGCCCAGGCTTAGAACAACTCTTAGGAGCTTGGCTGGGGGGCAGGGACTGGAAAACCAAGGAACAAGAAACCAAGCTTGTGGATGGTGCAGAGTGGAATGAGCAACCTTTAGGGAGGCAGAGGGCTGGGCACCCAGGGTGTGGAACACAGGATGGCTCTAGAGCTGGACATGAGGAGCATACACTGGCCATTCTGCAGAAGGGGGACCTAGGCTGCACCCAGCTTTGGAGAGTGGCGCTCAGGAGGCAGAGGTGGGATAACCAGGCTGGGCTGTCAGGGAGGATGTGACTCCAGTCCCTCACTAAGACCCTCCCAGAGGGCATCCTGCCTGGGAACTGTCATATCCCTGCCCCCCACATGTGTATTGAGCACGGTGAGTCTTAAGCCCTTCTTGGCCAGGAGGTGATGGGGGCTTATTGGAGACCCAGGCCTTCCTCTCCCTGTTCTAACACCCTAGCCTGGGAAACTACTGGGAACATCCCAGATTGTCCCCTTGGGTTTCTCTTTGTCCACAGCGATGCCCCCACCTTTAGGTGAGAAATATATGGTGGCACACAGGGTGCACAACCCAGCCTGGGTGCCCCACTAGTGTGACATTTCACGTTTTCTGTCTTGAGTGAAATGTTCTGATTGTGCTAGGTGCAGAGTGGGGGTGGGTCAGGAACTCTGGGCATAAAAGGAAGAATGACTCAACATCCCTGATTCTGCCTGGACCCCTGCCCCGAAGTGAGGGGGCGGAGCCCTGTGTGGGAAGTTGGCCTGGCTGTGTGCCCTGGGAGCTGCCAGTTTCTAGCTCAGTCCTGGCCCACTGCGCCAGCGCTGAGCCTGCCAGGGCTGGGGCTGGGGATCACCTTGGGATGATGGTGTCAGTCCCAGGGGGCAGGAGATCGAGTGTCCTCTGAGCTGGCGACTGGGCCTGTAGAAGGGAACCGGCATTTGTGGAGTGTCTACTGAGTGCCAAGGTCTGCGCTGGGCACTGTCCTCGCACCGCCTCACCTAGTCCTCACGTAGCCCTCGGGCAAGTGAGGATCCGCCGGGACTGCGGCTGGGAGGGATGGCTGTGGCTGTCCCCCAGCCCACACAGTAGGCGCTCAGTGTCAGGGTGCATATTCCCGGGGACGCCCTCCAGGCCTGAGAGCTGGGGGCCGCCGCCGCCCCCCATGCATCCGGTGAGCAGAAGGAAACTCCGTGCGTCGCCCGGCGCCTGTCCGAGTCTGGGAACCGGTACCAAGTTTTCGCGCAGACCCCGGGCGCGAAGCTGGCCCCGAGGCTGGGAAGTCGTCCGCTTCCTTCCTTCCTCCTCCTTCCACCTTCCTCCCTCCTCCCTCCTCCCTCCTCCTCCCTCCTCCTCCTCCTGCTCCCCCGGACAGAGGTTCCGGGAACCAGCCGGGCCGGGGCGGGGCGGGGCGAGGGAGAGGGGCGGCCGCGCGGATCACTGAGGCTGTGGCGGCACTGCGCCCGGCGCTCGCGTCCGTCCGCCCGTCCGCCCGCCCAGCCATGACTGCGCCGGTCCCCGCGCCGCGGATCCTGTTGCCGTTGCTGTTGCTGCTGCTGCTAACGCCGCCTCCGGGTGGTGAGCCGGGGGTGGGGGCGGCCCGTCCTGCCCTGGGACCGGGCAGACACTTCCCCGCGCTGCCTCTCCAACGAGCCGGGCAGCACCAGCCCCACTATGCCCCCCACTGACCCCTGATTGCCCCGAGGCCGTCAGCGAACCCCCACGACTGCGGACCCCTCCTCCACCCCAGCACCCTCCTTGCCTGAACAACCCTGCCTAGACACCAGGCAGCTGCCACCTTTGTCTGTCCTGGAACGGTGGGGAGGGGTCTGCCCTCCCGCCCATGTTCCAGGGGATGGAGTCCCCAGAGGCTAGGGTAGGGTTCCCTGCCTGGCTTTAGTCTGGCGGGTGGCTGCAGGGCGAGCTGGCCCCTCCATCAGAGGCCTTCCCTCTTTGCCTCTGTTTAATGTCTGGGAGCCCCCACCGCTGCCTCCGTTGGCCCTTGTGTTCCTGTAGAGCCCGGCGCTGAGGCTGGCCTCTGGGGTGGAGACACCACTGTGTGTGTTGGTTGCAGATAGGTGATTCACAGAGTCTGGAAGGCTGGCTGGGGGCGGGTCCTTTAAAGGGTTAGGAATTGGAACAATCCCCTGCCCACCCATGGGAAGCCAAAGACCCTTTTGGGGTGGGTGGCTTCGTGGAGGGGAAGGCTGTATTTCCTGGGGGCTGGGATGAATCCAGAGGACCTGGGCTAGAGAAATGAGAAAGGGGAGACTTGTGCCCAGAATCCGCCCACTCCTGGAGTGAGCCTGTAGGAGGGTCGGTCACTGATTCAGTGAGGTCTGGGGGTCAGAGAGCATTTGTGCCATGGACTCAGCCTAAACAGCCTCACCGGTGTGTCTTCAGCCCTAGCTCAGAGGCTCAGATTGGGCTGTGAAGACCTTGCTGCATATGGGTTCACCTGAGCCACCAGGCACGGGCCATGCTGATGATACCAGCTTTCAGGTGGGCAGCTGGCCAAACTGGGCTTGTCAATGGTCCAATCCTCTGCTCCATGGCTTTGCCCAGAGCAGGGTTCTGCCTGGAGCTGCCAAGAAGTGCAGTTCCCCCCAACTCCCCACTAAAGTTCCCTCTTCCCAAGGAGGTCACTTGGTGTCTCTGTCTCTGGGCTTCACTCTACTGACAGCCTCGGGGTGTGTGGTGTCCTGATCAGGCCCGGGCACCAGATGCTGCACATGGCCAGGTGCCTGGCCTGGCTGGGTCTCCAGAGGCCACGTGCTATGGCAGACTGTTTCCAGGCCGATGTAGTTATGCCTCAGGGCTATCATCAGACCTGTCCCCTGCCTACTGCGGACTTGTGGGCCTTGCTGGACTAGGTATTCTCTTTGGAGTCTGCCCTGGCAGAATCCGGTACTGTTCCTTCCTGTTAGTGGGCACAGGTCTCTGCTAATGTAGCCTGAGGATACATGGGAACATTTGACTGTAGCATCTTCCTGGAGGTTTGTAAACCTTGTGGTCATCCAAAAACCTGGGTTATTTTCCACATTTGTTGTCAGCCAGATCCCCTCAGCATGACCTCGTTTATTGAGACTTGTAAGGATGTCAGTAGATCCCAACTCTGTGCTGAGAGTCTTGTGATGGCTCCAGGGCTACAGATGGTGCCACTGCCTTGGAGCCCTGTTGCCCAGGCTGGTCTCAAACTCCTGGAAGGCACAGACATTTCCTGGACACCTGCTGCAGGCCCAGCGCGGGGCTAAGTGCTTTATGAACGCTGGTATGGTGGGTGTGACAATTTCTGACCAGGATCTAGCCTGCCATCATGGTTATGGGGTGGTCTGTGAGAGCCAGGCCCCTGCAGTTGTGGTGCCCAGCAGGGGCTGAGGTTGCTGTGGTTGAGTGAGGGAGAGAGTGAACGAGGATTAAGAACTAGACAGTCTGGCTGGGGTGCGGTGGCTCATGCCTGTAATTTCAGCACTTTGGAGGCCAAGATGGGTGGATCACCTGAGGTCAGGAGTTCAAGACCAGCCTGGCCAACATGGCGAAACTCTGTCTGTACTAAAAAATACAAAAAATTAGCTGGGCCTGGTGGCAGGCACCTGTAATCCCAGCTACTCGGGAAGCTGAGGCAGGAAAATTGCTTGGATCTGGGAGGCAGAGATTGCAGTGAGCTGAGATCGCACCACTGCACTCCAGCCTGGGCAACAGAGTGAGACTCTGTCTCAAAAAAAAAAAAAAAAAAGAAAGAAAGGGACAGTCCAGTGTCTGGTCCCCTGCAGGTGTTGAGCTGTGTGACTTCTCGCCTGGGCAGCTTCTGGAGGAGGCCACCTGGAGTAGGGCCTTGAAGGATGAGTAGAGTTGAAAGGCAGGAGATAGGAACCAGGCAAGAATGTGAGCGGAGTGTGGACAGGTTGGAGAGCTGGAGTGATCTTCAGGACTCTGCAGTTTAGACCCTGCTTGGAAACTCGGGCCTTGATCCTGAAGCAGTGGGAATTAGGGGAGGTTTGAGAGCAGGGTGTGGCCCCATCAGACTCACATTGAGAAAGTTCACCCTCCTATCAGGAGGCCAGTGCACTGGTGAGGGAGAGAGGGAGCCCAGTTAGGGCAGCTCTGTTGTGGCCCGTGGGATAGGGCAAGGCTGAGGGGGAGCAGTGGCCAGGGGTCAGAAGGTGGCCTGTGGCTAGGGTGGCTCAGAGACGGTGCAGCATGTGTGTGTGTGTGTGGTCTGGTGGCTGTGCCAGGGAGGGCGCTGTGTCTGCTGGGGCCTGGCCCGTGGGCACAGGTGAACAGATGTGTTTCTCCTCTCCAGCACGTGGTGAGGTGTGTATGGCTTCCCGTGGACTCAGCCTCTTCCCCGAGTCCTGTCCAGATTTCTGCTGTGGTACCTGTGATGACCAATACTGCTGCTCTGACGTGCTGAAGAAATTTGTGTGGAGCGAGGAAAGGTGTGCTGTGCCTGAGGCCAGGTGGGTGCACCAGTGGGTCACAGGGTGGGTGGCTTGAGCCTGTGCCCCACAGGAGAGTATGTGGAAGAGAGATAGCTCTGCCCCTCTGGCCTCTCAGCCCTCTCAAGATGGTGGCCAGAGCATTGGAGCAGAGGGTTTAGGGATCCCCTGTTCTGGGCTGGACCCCCTAGACCTGCTCAGTTAGTCCCCTGTCCATCTCCTCCCTACCCTGAGGGCTCCAGCTTGCTGAGCCTTGGGCTGAGCAGGTTTCTTAGAGGTCCTTGGCCTCAGCTGGTCCTGTGACTCACCCCGGGTGTGTACCTGTGCCAAGATGTCCTCAGGGTGGGTACTTGGGCTTGACTATACCCCACAGTATGCGCATGCCCCTGAGGGGTATCCTTTGTTCAGAACCCGCTTGTGGAGCCTGTAGGGTGCAGTGCGTAAGCATGTGCCCCAGTGTGAGCTCTATCTGTGTCCTCCCAGCGCAGCCTATGAATTTACCTGCATGTTGGGTGTAGACTGTTTCATGGCTGGGACCAAGGTTCCAGGCCCCTGTGTGTGGCTCTTTGCCGTATTCTGTATTTCCTTTGTGTTTGGCCTCGGTGTAGAGGGTTGAGATGGTCATACTCCTCTGCTCATGGCAGGTGATCATCCTGGGTCTGGGCAAGACCAACCCCCGCTATCTTACATATTTATTTTTGTGAGATGGAGTCTCACCATGTTGCCCAGGCTGGTCTCATACTCCTGGGCTCAAGCCATCCTCCTCCCTCAGCCTCCTGAGTAGCTGGAACTATAGGTGTGCACCACCATGCCTGGCCTATATATTTACTTTAATATGTCAGGACCATTTCATTCCTTTCCCACCCCACAGGCAACCGTCTGCTATGGTCTGCTATGTATAAGGTACATCCTTTTCATTATTTGAGTTCTTGCAAAGTCGGTGTAGTGTAAGACCTAGCCACATTGCTGTGGCACATCTGGCCCTTGCCCACTACTGCTGTGTCCCTCTGAATGGTGTGAATCCACAATGGTTGTCATGATAGATAGCTTCAGTGGGCATCTGGTATACCTCCTTTTATGGAGCTGTGTAAGAATTCTCTTGGAAACACATCTGGTTGTGGAGTTGCCATGTCATAGATGCACACAGTTATCCACTAAGGACTTCCAGGTGCTCTTGGGAGTGGTGCACAGGGCTGCACACCTGTCAGTCCTGCCTGAGGGTTCCTGACAGGTCTTCTTCTACCCTTTCACCCTTTCACTTCACCTTTTGGCTTTTTTTTTTTTTTTTTTTTTGAGACGGAGTCTCACTTCTGTTGCCCAGGTTGGAGTGCAATAATGTGATCTCGGCTCACCGCAACCTCCGCCTCCCGGGTTCAAGCAATTCTCCTGCCTCAGCCTCCCGAGTAGCTGGGATTATAGGCGTGCACCACCACACCTGGCTAATTTTTGTATTTTTGTATTTTTTTTTTTTTAGACAGAGTCTCGCTCTGTCACCCAGGCTGCAGGCTGGAATGTGGTGGTGCGATCTTGGCTCACTGCAAGCTCCGCCTCCCAGGTTCACGCCATTCTCCTACCTCAGCCTCCCAAGTAGCTGGAACTACAGGCGCCCGCCACCACGCCCGGCCTAATTTTTGTATTTTTACTAGAGATGGGGTTTCACCATGTTCACCAAGCTGGTCTTGAACTCCTGACCTCAGGTGATCTGCCCATCTTGGCCTGCCAAAGTGCTGGGATAACAGGCATGAGCCACCGCGCCTGATGGTATTTCTTTTTTTAAAAGCAGGAGCATTTATTCCATTTAAATTTAATGTAGAGGGCCGGGGGTTGCTGTGGCTCATGCCTGTAAGCCCAGTACTTTGGGAAGCTGAGGTAGGAGGATCACTTGAACCTAGCAGGTTGAGACTGCAGTAAGTCGTGATTGGTGCCACTGCACTCCAGCCTGGGCAACAGAGTGAGACCTCGACTCAAAAATAAATTAATTAATTAATTTAATGTAGTTATTGATATTCTGGGGTTATATTTGCATCTTTTGTGCTATTTGTCTCTCCTGCATTATCTTTTTTTTTTTTTTTTTTGAGATGGAGTTTCGTTCTTGTTGCCCAGGCTGGAGTGCAATGGTGTGTTCTTGGCTCACCACAACCTCCACCTCCTGAGTTCAAACAATTCTCCTGCCTCAGCCTCCTGAGTAGCTGGGATTACAGGCATGTGCCACCACGCCCGGCTAATTTTGTATTTTTTAGTAGAGACAGGGTTTCACCGTGTTGGCCAGGCTGGTCTTGAACTCCCGACCTCAGGTGATCCTCCTGCCTCGGCCTCCCAAAGTGCTGGGATTACAGGCGTGAGCCACCGCGCCCGTATGCATTATCCTTTTTTTACTTCCTGTATTGTTTCGATTTGTTTTTACGCCATATTTTTCTTCGACTGTTACTTCTTCTTTTCCATTCTGTCTTTTTTTTTTTTTTTTTTTTCTTTCTGGAGACAGTCTGTGTCTCCCAGGCTGGAGTGCAGTGGCGCGTGATCTCATCTCACGGCAACCTCCACCTGCCAGGTTCAAGCAATTATCCTGCCTCAGCTTCCCATGTAGCTGGGACCACAAGTGCATGCTGCCACGCCTGGCTAATTTTTTGTATTTTAGTAGAGACAGGGTTTCACTGTGTTGCCCAGGTTGGTCTCGAACTACTGAGCTCAGGCAATCTGTCTGCCTCGGACTCCCAAAGTGCTAGAATTACAGGCATGAGCCACTGCCCCCAGCCTTCTTTCCTATTCTGAATGTCTTATTTCTTTTTCTTGCCTTATTGTGTTGGCTAGGCCCTCAGTTACAATGTTGAGTAGAAGTGGAGAAAGCAGACATCTGTGTCTTGTTTCCGAGTTTAGGGGGAAGACATTCAGTTTTTCACTAGTAGGAAGGATGTCAGCTGTGGCTTTTTCATAGGTGTCCTTTATCAGGTTGAGGAAGTTCTCTGCATTTCTAGTACACCTAGAGTTTTAATTATGGATGGATGTTGAATTATGTCAAATGCTTTTTGTGCATTTGTAGAGATGACTGTATGATTTTAAAATTTTTATTCTGTTAATATGGTAAATTATATTACTCTCTAAAACACTATTTTATGTGAGTATAGAGCTTAGGTTGATGGTTATTTTTTCTTAGCATATTGAAGCTTCCATTCTACTGTCTCCCGGCTTCCATTGTTTCTGTTGAGACATCAACTCAACAGCCAGTGTCTCTCATTGAAAGAAATCTCTCTCTCTCTCTTCTTTTTTTTTTTTGAGACAGTCTCACTCTGTTGCCCAGGCTGGAGTGCAGTGGTGCAGTCACTGGCTCATGTCACTCTCAGCCTCCTGGGCTGAAGCATATCCTCCTACCTCAGCTTTCCAAGTAGCTGGGATTACAGGTGCCTGCCACCATGCCTGGCTAATTTTGTTTACTTTTTGTAGAGACAGGGTCTCCCTATGTTGCCCAGGCTTGTCTTAAACTCCTGGGCTCAAGTGATCCTCCCACCTCGACCTCCCAAAGTGCTGAGATTACAGGTGCACCTAGCTGAAATCCCTCTTTTTTTTTAACCCTCCGATTGCTTTTTAAGATTGTTTTTTTCTGGCCGGGTGCGGTGGCTCACACCTGTAATCCCAGCACTTTGGGAGGCTGAGGCGGGTGGGTCACGAGGTCAGGAGATCAAGACCTGCCTGGCCAAGATGGGGAAACCCCATCTCTACTAAAAATACAAAAATTAGCTGGGCATGGTGGTGGGTGCCTGTAATCCCAGCTACTCAGGAGCCTGAGGCAGAGAATTGCTTGAACCCAGGAGGCGGAGGTTGCAGTGAGCCAAGATCATGCCACTGCACTCCAGCCTGGGTGACAGAGCGAGACTCCGTCAAAAAAAAAAAAAAAAAAAAACTTGTTCTGGAAGCCTTAAGACCGTTAACCCCACAAGAAGTAGCAAGACAGACAGCAGACTGGAGAACAATGGCATGATCTCGGCTCACTGCAACCTCTGCCTCCTGGGTTCAAGTGATTCCCCTGCCTCAGCCTCCAGAGTAGCTGGAATTACAGGTGCCTGCCACCACACCCAGCTAAGTTTTTTGTATTTTTAATAGAGATGGGGTTTCACCAGATTACCCAGGCTGGTCTCAAACTCTTGGCCTCAGGTGATCCACCCGCCTCAGCCTCCCAAAGTGCTGGGATCACAGGTGTGAGCCACCACACCTGGCCATTTCTGTGGAATTGACATTTTACTATATTGAGTTTTCCAATGCATTAACATGGTATTTCTGCTCTTGTATTTAGTTTTCTTTCCTTCTCTCTCAATTTTCTATTATATAATATTTTTTCTATTTCAAAGTCTTATATATGTTTCATTTTTTCCTTTGTTTTTTTTTATGGTATTATAAATAGTGTAGTTTAAATTTCTTTTCTTTTTTTTTTTGAGACGAAGTCTAGCTCTTGTCCCCAGATTGGAGTGTGATGGCGTGATCACGGCTTACTGCAACCTCTGCCTCCCGGGTTCAAGCGATTCTACTGCCTCAGCCTCCCAAGTAGCTGGGATTACAGGGGCCTGCCACCTCGCCCAGCTAAATTTTTTTGTATTTTTAGTAGAGACGGGGTTTCATCATGTTGGCCAGGCTGGTCTCGAGCTCCCGACCTCAGGTGATCCATCCGCCTCAGCCTCCCATGTAGCCGGGACTACAGGCACCTGCCACCACGCCTGGCTAATTTTTTGTATTATTTTTAGTAGAGACGGGGTTTCACCATGTTAGCCAGGATGGTCTCGATCTCCTGACCTTGTGAACCACCTGCCTCGGCCTCCCAAAGTGCTGGGATTACAGGCATGAGCCACTGCACCCGGCCTAATTTTTGTATTTTTTTTTTTGACGGAGTCGCACTCTGTTGCCCAGGCTGGAGTACAGTGGCACAATCTCGGCTCACTGCAACCTCCGCTTCCCGGGTTCAAGTGATTCTCCTGCCTCAGCCTCTTGAGTAGCTGGGATTACAGGGGAACGCCTCCATGCCCAGCTAATCTTTGCATTTTTTTTTTTTAGCAGAGATGGGGTTTCACCATGTTGGCCAGGCTGGTCTCGAACGCCTGACCTTGTGATCCGCCTGCCTCGGCCTCCCAAAGTGCTGGGATTACAGGCTTGAGCCACTGCGCCCGGCCTAATTTTTGTATTTTTAGTTGAGATGGGGTTTTACCATGTTGGTTAGTCTGCTCTTGAACTCCTGACCTCAAGTGATCTGCCCTCCTTGGCCTCCCAAAGTTCTGGGATTACAGGTGTGAGCCACTGCACCCGGCCACAATTTTTATTTTCTAATTGTTTATTGATACATAAATGTGGAAAACTGTTTGGGTGTGGTGGCTCACGCCTGTAATCCCAACACTTTGGAAGGCTGAGGTGGGCAGATCACGAGGTCTGGAGTTCGAGATCAGGCTGGCCAACACAGTGAAACCCTGTCTCTACTAAAAAATACAAAAATTAGCCAGGCGTGGTGGCATGCACCTGTAGTCTTAGCCACTTGGGAGGGTGAGGCATGAGAATGGCTTGAACCCAGGAGGCGGAGGTTGCAGTGAGCTGATATTGTGTCACTGTACTCTAGCCTGGGCAACAGAGAGAGAGACTCCATCCCTGCCCCCGAAAAAAGTGGAAAAAAAAACTCAGAGTGCTTCTTCTATTCTCTCACACCAGAACAATCAACACAAGATTTCTGTGACCAAATGTATGGGAGTTTCTCCCCACCCACTGAACAAGCAATCAATTTTTTTTTTTTTTTGAGCCACTTCACTCCAGCCTGGGTGACAGAGCGAGACTCCCTCTCTATTAAAAAAAAAAAAAAAGCGTCGTAAAAGGAACATATTTTTTCTGGGTATGTATCTAGGAGTGGAATTACTAAGTTATTATGTGAATGTGTTCAGTTTAGGCAGATAACTTCCAAACAGCTTTCCAACATGTTATAAATGTGCCATTTGTACTCCCACCAGCCATATGTGAGGGTTCCAGTTTGCTCTACATCCTCTTCAAAACTTGGATTATAAATCTTTTTCAAAATATTGAGATATAGGCTAGGTGGAGTGGCTCACACCTGTAATCCCAGCACTTTGGGAGGCTGAGGTAGGAGGATCGCTTGAGCCCAGGAGTTGGAGGCTAGCCTGGGCAACATAGCAAGACTCAGTCTCTAAAAAGAAAAAAAAATAGATATATAATTACATACAGTAAAATGCACAGATCTTTCATGTTTCAGTTTGATGAGTTTTAACAGATGTATACATTTCATGTATACAACATGCTAGACCAGATATAAATCATTGTCATGGAAAA